>NC_000014.9:61732925-62035955 GCF_000001405.40 Homo sapiens
TGCTTATAAGTGCATAGTTAGGTATTTATATTTATGGGTTCATGAAATATTTTGATATAGGCATGCAGTGCATAAGGATAAATGGAGTACCTATCACCTCAAGCATTATCTTGTGTGACAAACAATCCAGTTATACTCTTTTGGTTATTTTTATTTTATTTTATTTTATTTTTTTCTTTTGAGACAGGATCTCACTCTCGCCCAGGCTGGAGTGCAGTGGAGCAATCTCAGCTCACTGCAACCCCCGCCTACCGGGTTCAAGAGATTCTCCTGCCTCATCCTCCCAAGTAGCTGGGATTATAAGCATGTACCACCATGCCTGGCTAATTTTTGTATTTTTAGTATAGACAGGGTTTTGCCATGTTGGCCAGGCTGGTCTCGAACTCCTGACCTCAGGTTATCCACCTGCCTTGGCACCCGGCCTCTTTTAGTTTCTTTAAAATGTACAATTAAATTATTTTTTACTATAGTCACCCAAAACAAGTACCTTTGACATAAGATTTGATTCTGAATTTTACTCAAATGAATGTTAAGATCCCCAAGATAAGTTAAACTTTGGACTATCTCACCTGTTTAATCTGTACCTATGCATGACTTCCCACTGTGCTTGAGGATACCTGAATATCACTGAGTTTGTGTGACTGATCAGCCTTGAACTCAAGAGTAAATCCAAGTCTGCAGTCAGGACACCCCAATCCTCAAAATAATACCATCATTAGCATTTATTTAGTACTTTCTCCCAAATCAGTATTTAATTTAAATTGCCAAAAGACTTACAATGTGGTATCAATTTATATTTAAATATGCTACATATAGCTTTTTAAAGCATCTTTGGTTCTCTGGAAACCATAGTCAGAATTTAAGGAAGTTATTGTGGCACCATTTTCTTGAAAAAGGCTATTGATTATTCTCTAATCTGACACCAACCTAAGTCATTAAAGGAATTTTAGTTACTGAAGATTGTATATTCATGAACTCTTCACTTAGCTCACTGGCAGCAAAGGAGTTTTATTTAGGGGGTTTGAAAAAGGAAATGGGTACATTTTCAGCTATTCTGGGACGCACTGTCAGAATGTAAGCAGTTACAACTGATTCCACTAAATAAACATTTGTTTTCCAAAACAATGATGAACATTCAGCATCTGTTCATTTAATTGAAAATTCAAAGTTAAAATATTTTCTCTGCATGATTCTTTTTCTTTTCCCCCCTAGTGTTTACTAAAGGACAAGTCACCACAGGACAGTACAGGATGCTTGCCAAAAGAGGTGGATATGTCTGGGTTGAAACTCAAGCAACTGTCATATATAACACCAAGAATTCTCAACCACAGTGCATTGTATGTGTGAATTACGTTGTGAGGTAAGTAAGTTTGAGAAATAAACATTTTTGGGGAACAAATAGTAATTCTTTTTGGATACTCTGTTCATTTATAGGAAGATAAGATAATAAATATTAACTAAATTTTAATTCTTTTACATCGCTACCAAATTATTATTTTCTATACTCTGACCTAGGTTTCCAGTCCAGCTATTCCACAGTGATGCTGCTAAACACTGTCAGTAGTTGTCTATCCCCATACCTTCACTCCTATTTTTAAAAAGACCATGAAAAAAATACCAGATCCATTGATTGGTTTGGTCTAATTATACAGATATCGGCATATACTATCTCAAGACAGCTGTGTTCTTTTTGTAGGAAGAATCCTGGCCTAGATTTGTATCATAGCTCTACCACTCATTAGCTCCCTGACCTTGGGGAAGTCTCTTCATTTTTCTGAATTTCATCTATGTAGATAATCCTTCAGAAGGTTATAATGAAAATTAAATGAAATTCTATGAGATTAGGGAGGGGGGAGGGATAGCATTAGGAGATATACTTAATGTGAATGATGAGTTAATGGATGTAGCACACCAACATGGCACATGTATACATATGTAACAAACCTGCACGTTGTGCACATGCACCCTAGAACTTAAAGTATAATTTAAAAAAGAAAAGAAATTCTATGAGATTAATAAGCTATATGATGTAATACATGGCTCTTGTATATTCATGAACTCTTCACTTAGCTCTTTGGCTTGTGAATATTATGTACATCAAAATTTAATTTTTCATTTGATCTATTTTACTAGACTCCTGCCCCATCTAGTCTACCTGTCCACATTATTACCACATTCTAGTCCATCTTGCCCATTACTACCAGGCTAAGCTTTCTAGTGTGGATATGTCATCATCTTATTTTCCTTAGAATTTTAGCGATCTTTTTATCATTTCCAAGATAAACACTTGCCTAGGTGTACAGCATCCTTGTTTACCATCATACTCACGCATTAGAGATTTAGCCTTCCCTTTAAAATCTAGGGTCACTCCTCTTAGGAAGACTTTGGGCAGTTTTTATTTTTGCTACTTCTGACACCATCCTTTAATGTTTTAATATTAGTGCCACAGAGTTCTTTTGTGACTTTACCATTATGTAAGAATCTTCCACTTGGAATGTCTTTCTCTTCCTCACACCCCAGTCTGCCTAGCAAATGCCACTTGATCCCAAGTATCAGCTTGTTAGCTTCTCAGTGAAGCAAGCCTTCTCTATTTTAGCAGTTATCACAGTGTATTTTAATTGTTTACATATCTACTTTCACAATGGGTTATAAATTTCTTAAGGTCAAGGGTTGGCTATTTTAATCTTTGCATTATCAGTTCATTTCAGATAGTGAACATTTAATACGTTAATTAAAGGAATAATTTACATTTAAGCCAAACGTGAAGATAAACTATTGCTCATCATCCCTCTTCAGCCGTATCCTGTAGGTGGTATCACCTTATATTCTTACCACCAAAGAAAATATGGCCCCTCTCTTAGAAAGATCTTAATCATTTATCTGTGTATCTTTAGGACTATCCTTAGATCATGCCTCACATATTGATGCCAAAGAGTTCTTTTGTGCCAATTTCATAATGTGTGTCAGCACAACAATTCTGAAGATTTGTTGGTGTCTTTCATGTACTTGACTACAAATTGCCTTGCCATTACTACTCTTCTCAAAGGATATCTGAAATTCTTTTTTTCTTTTTTTTTTTTGAGATGGAGTCTCACTGTCACCCAGGCTGGAGTGCAGTGGCGTGATCTTGGCTCACTCCATTTCCCGAGCTCAAGTGATTCTCATGCCTCAGCCTCCCAAGTAGCTGGGACTACAGGTGTGCACCACCACACCGGGCTAATTTTTTGTATTTTTAGTAGAGACAGGGTTTTGCCATGTTGGCCAGGCTCTTGAACTCCCAGGCTCAAGCGATCCACCCGCCTCAGCCTCCCAAAGTCCTGGGATTACAGGCATGAGCCACCACGCCCAGCCTGGATATCTGAAATTCTTAACTGAAATTAGTCAAATTATCTTGTACTGGGGATTTTTTTTTTAATTTCAACTTTTATTTTTGATTCAGGGGATACATGCATAGGTTTGTTACATGGGTATATCATGTGATGCTGAGGTTTGGGGTACAATTGATCCTGTCACCCAGGTAGTGAGCATAATACCCAACAGTTGTTCAACCCTTGCCCCTCTCCCCTAGTAGTCCTCAGTGTCTATTGATGCCATCTTTATGTCCACAAGTAACCCAGTGTTTAGCTCCCACTTACAAGTGAGAACATGCAGCATTTGGTTTTCTGTTCCTGGGTTATCTCACTTAGGATAATGGTCTCTGGATGCATCCATGTTGCTGCAAAGGACATTATTTCATTCTTTTTTATGGTTGCATACTGTGGATTTTATTGGGTCTTTATTTTGTATTAGCATTTTAAAACCCTAAATGTGACACAGTACGCATGAGTGATCATGCATCTCAAGAAATCTTGAAATGTTCCTGTCCATAAAGCAGAATTTTTTAAGAGACCATTTCACAGTCTCCCTTCCCCTCACTGTATCAAGTGCTCATTTGTGAATTACCAATTTCTCTTGTTTTGACAGTGGTATTATTCAGCACGACTTGATTTTCTCCCTTCAACAAACAGAATGTGTCCTTAAACCGGTTGAATCTTCAGATATGAAAATGACTCAGCTATTCACCAAAGTTGAATCAGAAGATACAAGTAGCCTCTTTGACAAACTTAAGAAGGAACCTGATGCTTTAACTTTGCTGGCCCCAGCCGCTGGAGACACAATCATATCTTTAGATTTTGGCAGCAACGGTGAGTAGTTATTTTTGTTAATCCCCTAAATTGTGTCTGTTGCTACAAGCCCCATTTCAACTAAACATTACTTTACGGTTTTTGTTGGTAATCATTTGGACATTACAAGCTAATATATGTTTATAGTTTTCTTAAATGTATTTGCTTAAATATTTTTGCCCCCGTAATTTCTTACCATTCTTGCTTTTTTATACTGTTGGAAATTGTGCTTCAAAGTGTCCTTAAGGTATTTCTTCTTCCCACATAAATTTTTCCTGGCTACTCTATTTCTGTATCCTGCTGTCAGATTTTCTCCACAGTTTAGCAGAGTTATATGGAAGTAGGCATTGTTGCATTAAAGGATAAAAAAGTAGTCATACTATAACATCAAGCATTGAAGATGAAAACTGCAATTTTAAAGTAGAGAACATTTTAATGTATAAAAAGGTTGGTATTGCCTTTTGTCTTTTATGCCATAGAGATTAAGACGCGGTATCAATAGTGGATTGTAAAGGTAACTCAGACTTATGGTTATACTATACTATTGTATGTAAACTTTCTGATGAAGGAAAATTTGGTGACATTTTGTTGTTTGATGAATTAGACAAACCTTTTGTGAAAAAGAACATAAATTTTTTATATGTGAAAATCCTTGTGGCCGGGCGCAGTGGCTCACGCCTGTAATCCCAGCACTTTGGGAGGCCGAGGCGGGTGGATCACTTGAGGTTAGGAGTTCGAGACCAGCCTGGCCACCATGGTGAAACCCCGTCTCTACCAAAAATACAAAAGTTAGCTGGGCGTGGTGGTGTGCGCCTGTAATCCCAGCTACTTGGGAGGCTGAGGCAGGGGAATTGCTTGAACCTGGGAGGCAGAGGTTGCAGTGAGCCAAGATTGCGCCATTGCACTCCAGCCTGGGCAACAGAGCAAGACTCTGTCTTGGGTAAAAAAAAAAAAAAATCCTTCTATACTTTAGATTGACTCATATTTTTTCCCCACAGACACAGAAACTGATGACCAGCAACTTGAGGAAGTACCATTATATAATGATGTAATGCTCCCCTCACCCAACGAAAAATTACAGAATATAAATTTGGCAATGTCTCCATTACCCACCGCTGAAACGCCAAAGCCACTTCGAAGTAGTGCTGACCCTGCACTCAATCAAGAAGTTGCATTAAAATTAGAACCAAATCCAGAGTCACTGGAACTTTCTTTTACCATGCCCCAGATTCAGGATCAGACACCTAGTCCTTCCGATGGAAGCACTAGACAAAGTTCACCTGAGGTAGGTGTCATGATATAATCAGAAAGGGACAACTTTCAGATTTTAACATTCAAGAATGTATTTATAAGTTTGATTCAAACACTTATTTGAACCACAAATTACATTTGTGTGTGTGTTTGAATTTTAGCACTTTAAAATTATTGCAAGAGCTACTGCCTAACCTAGACCTGAGCACATGTTTTAGGCTCAAAGATAGTCAGGAACATGGGAAGAAACTAGCTTAATATAAACCAAAAGGTGAAACGTACATTGTTTCTCTATTATTTATATCAGTAGGACAAAAACATCTTGAATTTGGACATTTAAAGAGAATAGTACTAAGTGTGCTCAAGGTAGCTACAGCCTATACCTGTTACCCCTTTTAGTTTGTTTTATTGTGTTTTGTTTTGTTTTGAGAAAGAGTCTCACTATCACCCAGGCTGGAGTGCAGTGGTGCAATCACAGCCTCAACCTCCCAGGCTCAAATGATTCTCCCACCTCAGCCTCCCAAGTAGCTGGGACTACAGGCCTGCATCACCATGCCTGGCTAATTTTTTAACCTTTTTTTGTGTGTGTGTGTGGAGTTGGGGTTCTCACTATGTTGCTCAGGCTGGTTTTAAACTCCTGGGCTCAAGCGATCCTCCTGCCTTGGCCTCCCAAAGTACTAGGATTACAGGCGTGAGCTACCATGCCTGGCCCATTACCCCTTTGAGTTGGAGAACTGTCTGGTAGCAATAGACTTACGAGGGTTTAAATGGGAAAGGACCTTATAAATTCTTTGCCCAATTTAGTCTAATTTCCATCACTATTTTGAAATTTTGGGTAAGTATAATATGAAAATAACAAGTGTTACATAAAATAAATACTTAGTAACTGGTCTTTTTTATTCTGGATCTGTCTTGATATTAATTGTCCTATGAACACAAAAATAATCTTTAAAGGCTAGGCTGGCCAAGACTTAGAGATATCACACAGGGCTCTATTTCTAAATCTAGAATGATTCCATTTTAGGGCTTCCTACATCTAAAAATATGCTCAGGAGTAGGGCAACTTAGATCTGAACATTATAACTTGATAAATGAGGCATAAATAAGCTTTAATAAGTGGTAAATAATTCTACATTAGGTATTTGTTGAATAAAACTGACAAGCTAAGAGTAGGGGATTTGACATCTCACAGCCTTGTGTTGAATGAATATATATCCTATGCTCTGGTTGCTTAATTTACCCAGAAAAAAAAATGTTTGATTCATCTTGGTTTTTATCTAACAAAAGTAAATCTAACAAAAACGTTAGAATGAGGAAAGCAAAATTTCTTGTTTAGAATACACAGCTATAGTTTTTTGTTAAACTTCTTGCCCAGAACTCTTAAAATAGTAATAATGTACATTCGTTCAGGTATATGCAGGTAAAATAACTTAGGTTTCTACTCCCACCCCCGACAGTAACAGTGAGATTTTTAGGTAGCTCAGTCACCACAGGAGTGTGCCTTCTCAGTTCAAAGGTAAATTCCAGTGAATGTAGCATCTAGTTAATTGGTCAATTAGGTACCATTGTGGGATGTGAATTACCAAATAGGTTTTATTCTTTAGAATAAGGTGTTTCTTTTCATCTCAATTTTGTAAATGATGTTATATTACATAGTCAGAAATATATATATTGGCAAAATTAGTTACCAGTATAAGCTTCAAAATGTCACTATTTTCACAAATTTTTTTTTTTTTTTTTTTTTTTGACATGGAGTCTCACTCTGTCGCCAGGCTGGAGTGCAGTGGCATGATCTTGGCTCACTGCAACCTCTGCCTCCCAGGTTCAAGTGATTCTCCTGCCTCAGCCTCCTGAGTAGCTGGGATTACAGGCGTTTGCCACCATGCCTAGCTAATTTTTGTATTTTTAGTAGAGACGAGGTTTCACCATGTTGGCCAGGATGGTCTCGATCTCTTGACCTCATTATCCCTCCACCTTGGCTTCCCAAAGTGCTGGGATTACAGGCGTGAGCCACTGAGCCCGGCCTAGTTAAATAAAATTTGATAAACACGATGGACTTGGTTGTGTGTTTTCTGGTTTTTCTGAGATCTAGTTTGAAAATTCTGACAACTAGCAAAGTATATGGAAGCTTCTTCAGGAAATAGTAAACATATTTCTTTTTACAGCCTAATAGTCCCAGTGAATATTGTTTTTATGTGGATAGTGATATGGTCAATGAATTCAAGTTGGAATTGGTAGAAAAACTTTTTGCTGAAGACACAGAAGCAAAGAACCCATTTTCTACTCAGGTATATGAACTTATTTGTTTTATATTAAATTTCATTAATTTTTAGTCTGAAGTGACTTTGAGTTTCACTTGTTTTTTATTTATAAGGTGTGGCCATTGTAAAAACTCATGTATTTGCTGTTTTAAAGGACACAGATTTAGACTTGGAGATGTTAGCTCCCTATATCCCAATGGATGATGACTTCCAGTTACGTTCCTTCGATCAGTTGTCACCATTAGAAAGCAGTTCCGCAAGCCCTGAAAGCGCAAGTCCTCAAAGCACAGTTACAGTATTCCAGCAGACTCAAATACAAGAACCTACTGCTAATGCCACCACTACCACTGCCACCACTGATGAATTAAAAACAGTGACAAAAGACCGTATGGAAGACATTAAAATATTGATTGCATCTCCATCTCCTACCCACATACATAAAGAAACTACTAGTGCCACATCATCACCATATAGAGATACTCAAAGTCGGACAGCCTCACCAAACAGAGCAGGAAAAGGAGTCATAGAACAGACAGAAAAATCTCATCCAAGAAGCCCTAACGTGTTATCTGTCGCTTTGAGTCAAAGGTATTTATATGTAACATTCAAGTTATAGTTCTTTTATTATTTTTGAGATAAATGTATGTGATAGTACATGATTTTTAAACTTATAGCAAACTTTCTGATATATATGCCCTAACGCAAATTCTTGAGAACTCAAAAAACTTTCTAAATTAACCTCATATATTTTTTCTTTTTCTTTCTTTTTTTTTTTTTTGAGACAGAGTCTCGCTTTGTCGCCCAGGCTGGAGTGCAATGGCATGGCACCATCTCAGCTCACGGCAACCTCTGCCTCCTGGGTGCAAGAGATTCTCCTGCCTCAGCCTCCCGAGTAGCTGGGATTACAGGCATGCACCACCACGCCCGGCTGATTTTTTTGGTATTTTTCATAGAGACAGGGTTTCTCCACGTTGGTCAGGCTGGTCTCAAACTCCCGACTTCAGGTGATCCGCCTGCCTCAGCCTCCGAAAGAGCTGGGATTACAGGTGTGAGCCACCATGCCCGCTCCTATTTTTTCTAAAATAATTATAAATTCTAAAATTACCTATCTAAATGGAGGAGGGTCTTCTGACACCTTTAAAATAAAATCCAGCTCAGTACTGTAAATGTGTTTACAGAACTTGTTTAAAGTTCTTACAGTTGTTTAAATCAGACTAGTTAACTACCCTCACTACTTAGATGCTTCCATTTCTTAGAGCTCTTTTTTAAGCTTATCTGAAGAAAAGCCCTTCCAATTTAAGGGTTATTTCCAATTGCACATTCCAAATTGAGCCTTCCATCTTCAGCATTCAATATAGATATTTACAGGCCCCTCTTTTAAAATTTTATTATAGTTAACTTGTATTAAAGTTGCTTTTATTTTTCATTACGTATTTGTAGAACATTAGCTATATATATATTGCAGGCTACATAGGTTTTCAAACTGTACAACAGGAATCTAAGCATGAATTGTTACTTCTATGGAGCTAGTTCAAACAAACATATGGACATGACCCAATTTTTAAGTTATACTTTCTGTATATAATTTGTAAGGGGATTTCACATATTTTAAGTTTGAGGCTATAGCTAGAAGAAATTAAGTTTTATCTAATAAGTGTGTGGAAAAGGGAAATGATTCCTTCTCTACTATGTCTAGACTAAGCCAGATATCAATAGCAATAGGAAAGAACCACTGTCGTAGCCAGAACACATAGCTTTTTTCCCTGCCTAACATTCCCACCTTGACCTAGAGTGCTGGGAGAGGTCTTTTCCCTAAGCTTGGAAAAGACATTGGGGCTTTAGATGAACTCAGAAGTACTTTACATTACTTTATTTACTGTGTCACTTACTCACTTTTGACTCTGAGCTCCACGAGGGCAATCACAGTGTCTTGGGCATTTTAGTGATACTAATACTTAGCTCATGACCTAATGTGTAGTACTTCCTCAATAAATGGTTGTTGAGGCAGGGCGCAGTGGCTCATCACTGTAATCTCAGCACTTTGGGAGGCTGAAGCGGGTGGATCACCTGAGGCCAAGAGTTTCAGACCAGCCTGGCCAACATGGTGAAACCCGGTCTACTAAAAATGCAAAAATTAGCTGGGCGTGGTGGCACGTGCCTGTAATCCCAGCTACTTTGGGAGGTTGAGGCAGGAGAATTGCTTGAACCCTGGAGGTGGAGGCTGCAGTGAGCCGAGATCGTGCCATTGCACTCCAGCCTGGGCGAGAAGAGTGAAACTCGGTTTCAAAAAAAAAAAAAAAAAAAAAAGTTGTTGGACTGACAGATGCATGAATACAGTAGTAAAAATGACAATCACTTATAAGTTACAGTTTACTATCAGCTACAGAGGATGGGATATCCAGTTTTCTGAACAACTGTTCTCTTGTACTTGTCAAAGCCAAAGTGTAACAACACATCAAGTCACTTTAGCAATTTATTTTTGAGACGGAGTTTTGCTCTTGTTGCCCAGGCTGGAGTGCAATGGCGTGATCTCGGATCTTGGCTCACCGCAACTGCCGCCTCGCTGGTTCAAGCAAATCTCGTGCCTCAGCCTCCCGAGTAGCTGGGATTACAGGCATGCACCACCACACCCAGCTAATTTTGTATTTTTAGTAGAGACAGTGTTTCTCCAGGTTGATCAGGCTGGTCTCAAACTCCCGACCTCAGGTGATCCACCTGCCTCAGCCTCCCAAAGTGCTGGGATGACAGTTGTGAGCCACTGTGCCCAGCTAGCAACTGTTTTTAAACATTAGTTCCAATGTAGTGTACACTGAAAACTTTTATGAAAGGAATTTCAAAAATTAAGATAAACCATTAAAAACGTAATTACTAAGTACTACTACTACTACAATGATATTTACATAATAGACTGAGTTACATTTCATAAAGACAATATATCTGTATAAGAATTTTTAAACTTCCCTGTCTATATAATAGAAGTTTTAGAGAAATTTTTTAAAAACCAAAGAAAACTGCAAAATAAGATCACTTACCTATTTGGCATTCTCAACTGTCTGGAACAGCAAGGAGCCATTATGATTATGCATTTGGTTTGTGGGGTGTCTTGAAAAGTCAAAATAATGTAACAAAGCTGATGTACTTTACTCATTAGAACAATTCTTCACAATTTAATATTAATTTTAGATATACATAGTTCATGTTTGATAACCAGATCAATACTGAGTGAAAAATAGCATAGTGGGAAGAGCAGGGGAGGGGAGGTAGGGATCTGGAGACCTAGAGTGTACTTCCATATTGCAACTAGTGAGCAGTAGGACTTTGAGAAAGTTACCCAATAGGCCTCAGGGTTCTAATTTATAAAATGGGTATGATATGCCTGCCTTATCTGTCTTGGGAACTTAAGTAAGGTTAAAATGAACTAATGAACTTGAAATGTTTTATAAACTGAAAATGCTATACGAATGTGAGATTGATCTTGTATTTCAATAGTCCCAACAATATCACTGCATTGTTATATTAGGTGGAATAAAAGGACAATATTTAACTGTTTTGACTCTACAATAGTGTCAATTTAGTTGTGTTCAGCTCTATTTTATAAAATAGGGATACGCATACTGTAGAAAATTTCCTGTTAAATTAAGCTTTGACGGCCAGGTGCTCACGCCTGTAATCCCAGCACTTTGGGAGGCCAAGGTGGGCAGATCACTTGCGCTCAGGAGTTTGAGACCAGCCTGAGCAACATAGTGAAATCCTGTCTCTACAAAAATATGTATATATAAATTAGTCATAATCCCAGCTACTTGAGAGGCTGAGGTGGGAGGATCACTTGATTCCAGAGGCAGGGCTTGGTTGCAGTAAGCAGAGATCACGTCTCTGCACTCCAGCCTGGCTGACAGAGTAAGACCGTGTTTCACCAAAAAAAAAAAAAAAAAATTAAGCTTTTACTTTTAAGATGATAAACTTTAGTGATCAGGAAAGTTATCTTATGTATATTATATTCCTTAATATTGGAGAACTAAAGAATTATGTATTTTCTTTAAAAGCGCTCACTGGATATTTTTTTTAAAAACGCTATATTTTCATTTAGAATTTTTTTCTTTTCAGAACTACAGTTCCTGAGGAAGAACTAAATCCAAAGATACTAGCTTTGCAGAATGCTCAGAGAAAGCGAAAAATGGAACATGATGGTTCACTTTTTCAAGCAGTAGGAATTGTAAGTATGAGTAGTAGGTTTTGCTTTTCTAGCTAATGTGCTATTTCGTGTGTGTGTGTGTGTGTGTGTGTGTGTGTGTGTTTCCACGTTTCTTCCAAATAGTAAAGTTATATTTTCAGAAGTTATACATTGGGTTTTTTTACTCTGTATGCACTGGTTTTTAAAAATACAAATGTTTAATACATACATTCTTGGTATAAAAATTCCAAACAATTCCAGTGTATTTTGAGTTAAAAAGTGAAGTTCTCCCCTTACTCCACCCTGAATATCACCACCAATCTCATTCTCTTCCCTTTAAGTTACTTTGCCTTATTAAAAGAACTGCTATTGGCCAGGCACAGTGCCTCACGCCTGTAATCCCAGCACTTTGGGAGGCCAAGATGAGGATCACTTGAGGTCAGGAGTTCGAGACCAGCCTGGCCAACTTGGTGAAACCCTGTCTCTACTAAAAATACAAAAATTAGCCAGGCGTGTTGGTGCACAACTATAATCCCAGCCACTCTGGAGGCTGAGGCAGGAGAATAGCTTGAACCCGGGAGGTGGAGGTTGCGATGAGCTGAGATCAGGCCACTGCACTCCAGCCTGGGTAAGAGAGTGAGAGTCCATCTCATATTTAAAAAAGAACTGCTATGTTTTGGGGTAAGTCAATGGTGGTATAATACATTCTGATATTTTCAAACTAAATTAACTGGAAAGTATTTATAGACAGAATGGTCATAATGGATGACAAATAACTTAAGAAAGAATTCAAAATAATTTAGGGTAGTATTTAAGAAACTGCCTATAATGTTATTAAATTTACACCAATTTCAAGGTTTTTGGTTGTTTAAAAAAAAAATTCAACAAACTAAACTTGAAATAACTTTACTGTTTATAGGGAACATTATTACAGCAGCCAGACGATCATGCAGCTACTACATCACTTTCTTGGAAACGTGTAAAAGGATGCAAATCTAGTGAACAGAATGGAATGGAGCAAAAGACAATTATTTTAATACCCTCTGGTTAGTTTATTCTTTTTGACCTTGAACATCACAAAGACAAAATACATGAAACATTTTTATTTAGGAGCTTTAATCTAAGTGAGAATGACTTTGGTTCCTTAGCAAGATTAAAAAGTAAAGTTGTGGCTGGGCGCGGTGGCTCACACCTGTAATCCCAGCACTTTGGGAGGCCGAGGCAGCCAGATCATCTGAGGTCAGGAGTTGGAGACCAGCCTGGCCACCATGGTGAAACCCCGTCTCTACTAAAAATACAAAAATTAGCTGGGCGTGGTGGCGGGCGCCTGTAATCCCAGCTACTTGGGAGGCTGAGGCATGAGAATTGCTTGAACCCGGAAGGCAGAGGTTGCAGTGAGCCAAGATGGCACCACTGCACTCCAGCCTGGGCGACAAGGGTGAGACTCTGCCTCAAAAAAAAAAAAAAAAAAAAGTACAGTTGTATTTCATGTGATGGTCTTAATACAGAGATTAACATTTCAAGGTGGAGCTTTTCATTTTTAGTAATTTTCTTTGATTTCTCTATGTCCATGTGCTGTCAATATTGATAGAAGCTGAAATTTGTGAACTTTTATGACTTCTTTTTTTTTTTTTTTTTTTTTTGAGACAGGGTCTCGCTCTGTTGCCCAGGCCTGGAGTGCAGTGGCATGATCATAGCTCACTGCAGTCTCAAACTCCTGTGCTCAAGCTCAAGCAATCATCCTACCTCAGCCTCCTGAGTAGCTCGCACTACAGACATGCCTCACCACACCCGGTTGCTTTTTGTAGAGATGGGGTCTCACTATGTTGCCTAGGCTGGTTTCAAACTCCTGGCCTCAAGTGATCCTCCTGCCTCAGCCTGTGCTAGGATTACAGGCATCAGCTTTGATGCCCACCATATTTATGCCTTTTTCCAAATTGTTATTTCTTTGTGCCTTTATTGTATCCTGTAAACATTTCTGACACAGCAACAGTATCACTGGATTATACTTACTTTTTAACATAGTTGTGGTTTTGCCAGGTAAACTAAAAACCCTTCCAGAATTTTGCTTTATTTTCTATGATACCTAACACATTGTGGGTGTTTAATAAATATTCATTGACTAGATGAATGTATACTTAGGTATCTCTTTTGTTTTTCAGATTTAGCATGTAGACTGCTGGGGCAATCAATGGATGAAAGTGGATTACCACAGCTGACCAGTTATGATTGTGAAGTTAATGCTCCTATACAAGGCAGCAGAAACCTACTGCAGGGTGAAGAATTACTCAGAGCTTTGGATCAAGTTAACTGAGCTTTTTCTTAATTTCATTCCTTTTTTTGGACACTGGTGGCTCATTACCTAAAGCAGTCTATTTATATTTTCTACATCTAATTTTAGAAGCCTGGCTACAATACTGCACAAACTTGGTTAGTTCAATTTTGATCCCCTTTCTACTTAATTTACATTAATGCTCTTTTTTAGTATGTTCTTTAATGCTGGATCACAGACAGCTCATTTTCTCAGTTTTTTGGTATTTAAACCATTGCATTGCAGTAGCATCATTTTAAAAAATGCACCTTTTTATTTATTTATTTTTGGCTAGGGAGTTTATCCCTTTTTCGAATTATTTTTAAGAAGATGCCAATATAATTTTTGTAAGAAGGCAGTAACCTTTCATCATGATCATAGGCAGTTGAAAAATTTTTACACCTTTTTTTTCACATTTTACATAAATAATAATGCTTTGCCAGCAGTACGTGGTAGCCACAATTGCACAATATATTTTCTTAAAAAATACCAGCAGTTACTCATGGAATATATTCTGCGTTTATAAAACTAGTTTTTAAGAAGAAATTTTTTTTGGCCTATGAAATTGTTAAACCTGGAACATGACATTGTTAATCATATAATAATGATTCTTAAATGCTGTATGGTTTATTATTTAAATGGGTAAAGCCATTTACATAATATAGAAAGATATGCATATATCTAGAAGGTATGTGGCATTTATTTGGATAAAATTCTCAATTCAGAGAAATCATCTGATGTTTCTATAGTCACTTTGCCAGCTCAAAAGAAAACAATACCCTATGTAGTTGTGGAAGTTTATGCTAATATTGTGTAACTGATATTAAACCTAAATGTTCTGCCTACCCTGTTGGTATAAAGATATTTTGAGCAGACTGTAAACAAGAAAAAAAAAATCATGCATTCTTAGCAAAATTGCCTAGTATGTTAATTTGCTCAAAATACAATGTTTGATTTTATGCACTTTGTCGCTATTAACATCCTTTTTTTCATGTAGATTTCAATAATTGAGTAATTTTAGAAGCATTATTTTAGGAATATATAGTTGTCACAGTAAATATCTTGTTTTTTCTATGTACATTGTACAAATTTTTCATTCCTTTTGCTCTTTGTGGTTGGATCTAACACTAACTGTATTGTTTTGTTACATCAAATAAACATCTTCTGTGGACCAGGCCCCTTTGATCAGCTTTTATGTTCAAATATTAATAATATTTGCTTCAACACCTCCAACTCATAAAATTGTTTACCAACAATTTAAGCACTTATGAAAATTACATGGTACTGGTTATTTCTACATTTATCTTAGTGCCATCACCTTAATGTATGTTGAGTCCCTAAATGTCATGTTAAATAATAACAACCATAATATCCCATTGAAAAGAGTATGTTGTTAGAAAAGAAACATCATTTTTAAGTTTCTGAGCCTATTAAAATGCTCAAACACAAAATATTAGTATTTTTAAAATATGAATGGGATGAGTGAAGCAGTTCTCAGCATTATAGTCACAATGTTACAAAGGCTAGAGCTTCTCTGAAGATTTCTAATCTGTTCCCATTAACAGATTAATAAATTTAGACTTCAAATGAATAATTTGCCCAAGCTTTAAAAGTAATAGATGGCAGACCAAAAATGTAAGCTTAAGTTTCCTGACTCTAAAGTCAAACTTAGAACAAATTTGGTTTGTTTTTGTTTTAATGATACTGCGTTTTAAAACAAAGTAGCTTTATCCTTTTTCTCCTGTATTTTTCTTTTACAAAATAGCTGTATTTCTTTTATACTGATAATCTCATTTTTAAAAATCAGACAGTGTAGAAAGATATTTTTTAAAACAGAAAAATCACTATGAATCCCTGCACCTACAGGTACAGAAAATTATTTTTATGAACAAATTATGTAGGAAGTGCCAGAGCCTTAGGTCCTTTACCCTGAGGTATATATACTGAACAAAAGGAACTGAGCCACAGATCTCTTAGGTAGCTCTTTTTATCTTACAATGGAGGACAGTGATTACAATTATATGAAAATTTTGGAACAAAAGTTAATACTAAGATTCAGTGCAAAATTTGGGGGGGGGGGGGGCACAGGTATACTTAAGCACAAACACTGTGACCCAAAGTGCTTCAACATTTAGTTACAGATAGTAGTATACTAGAAGTGGTATTTTAGAATAAAGTGGTTGCTTAGTATTCACAGGTCACAAAACAAAAAATTATTCTTGTATAGCAAATTAGCTTCAGTTGAAAACTATTTGTAAAAGCAGATTATGTAATGACCAGGAGTTCAGGAAAATGACTTCTGAAAGCATTGAGAAGGGAAAGCCACGTTAAAGGACAGTACAGCTGGAAGGAAGCAAGTACTTACCCACTGCTCAGTCACTAAGACAACAAGCTCCTTGGAGTGCTTTAAGCTACGGAATAGCAGAACTGGCCCTTCCCAATTTTATGCACCGTCACAAATTTCTTCATAATGGTTTTGTCCAAGGCTTATAACCCAACCCTGGCAACTATAATCCTTACTTTATGAAACAGCTGTATTTCTTTTATACTCATAACCCAGAAAAATGAGAATGTATGTTCTGAGTATAAAAGAAATGTAGCTATTCCATAAAAATACAGGAGAAAAAGAATAAAGCTATTTTAATTTTTTTAATGCAGTATCATTAAAAAACAAACCAAGTTTGTTCTAAGTTTGACTTTAGAGTCAGGAGACTTAAGCTTACATTTCTGGTCTGCCATCTATTACTTTTAGAGCTTGGGTAAATCTTCATTTGAGATCTAAATGCTATATATAGTTCATTCATAGCAGTACCAGATAAGGGAGGAGTATATCTATACAGTATATAGTCTTGAAGAAGTGATCTAAGGCTCGGAGCTTTTGAGGTGGCCATGAGTGACTCCAAAGTCCATGGAGCTAACCACCCTGCAGTGCTAGCCAATCCAGTTGAACATACCCTTTTCTCCATTGTTAACTGTTTGTTTAAATAGCAAACAGAAGGCGGCAATGGAGGTGTGGAAAACTGAGGATCCGATGTCACTTGAAAGTAATGAGATCACATAACATTGAGGGAATGTCCTAAGAGGAGTGGCAGGGCATAAATAGAAATGAATAAAAGTGTTTTCAAGTGCCATTTAGTGGGTTCTGAATTTGAACTAGAGATTGAGATATCCAGTTATGGAGACATTAACTCAAATTAACAAGGTAGTGAATGGGAAAGCACAAACTATAAAAGACTGTATCAATGTATGGTATTTTTTCCCAGAGCTGTTTTGACTTAATGGCATAATAGATATGTTTAAGTTTTTATAACCTCACGATTATCATTCCAAATCTTATTTTCCTCCTAGAAGCCTCTGTACAGAAAAGATGAACTTAAAATTACTCGCTTTGTAGAAACTTAATCTAAAAGTTCAAAATGTTTAAGTAGCAATACCTAAAACAAGTTGCAGAGTAAAGAATCCTCTTTTTTTCTTTTTTTCAACATTAAGATTTGGTTAAATAAAACCTTTGCAAACGTGTTGCCAGCTGGAACCAACAAAAATGTAAAGAAAAAAACTTTTACTTTTTTTTTTTTAAGTTTTCCACTAACCACTTTGCTCACATTTCGTTCCTTTAAATAGAGATGAACCTGTCGTCCCAGATTATTTTACAGAGAAATAGTGAAATTAGTGGAATTCGATACAAAAATAGTCTCCCTGTAGGATAAAAGTTATACTTTACCATAAACCTTCCTATGAACGCCTTCTGGAGCTTTGATGTGTTCACACCTTTCAGAGGTTTGGACATAATTTTTATTCTTACCTGTAGTGGATAGTTTTTCCAAGACGCTGCCCAGACACCCGATCTCCGTGTACTATTGAATTTCGTTTATTCCCTTGTCTTGGCTCCATTCTGGGACGGAGAGGAAAGACAGGTGCCTGAGAGCGGCAGCGGTCAGAGCCCCGCGGGGAGAATACCAAGCATGCGGAAGGTACCCGGCACCCTTCTGTTCCTGGTGTGGCTGGCGCTACATGATGAGGATGCGAAACCCAAGCCAAC
Source organism: Homo sapiens (assembly GCF_000001405.40). Lineage (NCBI taxonomy): Eukaryota > Metazoa > Chordata > Mammalia > Primates > Hominidae > Homo > Homo sapiens. The sequence goes on from NC_000014.9 coordinate 61,751,122, forward strand.
CCGAGAAACTTCCCGAGCCCCGCCCGGCGCGCGGCAGGCCACGCCTCAGTACGTGCTCGGGCGCAGCACCGCAGTCCCGGGCCCCGCCCGCGGCCCCGGCCGTGGGCTCCAGGGCTCCAGCCGCGCAAGGCGACTTTCGTGTACGCTGTGGGGTGGCTGCTGCCCGCTGCGCGTACGTGTGGGAGCGCATGCGGGAGGCCCTGGCCGCTCCTGGCCTGCGAACGGGCGGCGCCAGGCGTGGGGGGTCAGCCCTGGGCTTTGTCTTCTGGGACTTGTCAAAGTCGGAAGCCTAGTGCTTCCCCAAACTTTGTTTTTTAGATGGGGGGGGCGTGGGCGAATGGGACTTGATGTATTGCGGAAGAGCTGCCTCCCGAAATTCCCAAGCAAATGCTTTGGGGTATGAAGCTTTTTCTTTGTAGAATAGAAAAAGTTGAGTTCTAACAGATTGGATAGTGGTTAGTTATATAATACTTTTTTAAAAAAAATTAGACATCTAATCAAAAATAGAGGAGTTCTATGTTTATTTAAATATATTCCTCTTAAGGCACTCAAAGAGTTCGTTTATTTTAAATAAAGCACGTTGAGATATGCCTAGTTAAGGATCTCGAAACTTTATCCCACTTGGTGCCGTTTTTATTTTGGTGGTTTTGTGGGGGGTGGTTTTTTGGGCTTTTTACTGTTTTGATTTTATTGTATGCCAGCTATTGAGAATCCTTTGGGAGAAGATAATCTTGTTGGACAGAAGGGAGATGAGTGTATAGAGTACGGAAAAAGCTTGGAGCCTTAATCTCTGTAATAATTGGTATGTTCAGATTGCACAATGTATTATAAAGTACAAAGCCAGGTATTTAGAATAAATAACTTCGCCTCTGCATATCCACAGCTCACTACATTTTACATTTTATTTTCATTTGTTTCCTTCAGGAAAATTCATTGTTTGTGGTTTCCTCAAATAGCATTTTATAGAAAGCAAAGGTACACTTTTCAAAAGTAGTTGAGGTGTTTTAGATACTTTTTTACTAATAAAAACTGATCTGTAGCCTCACTTATCATATGTGTGTGTGTTCGTGTCTAATCAGGGAGGTGCCCTTTAATGAGAGTGCCATAATTCTTTTGGTCCTACGGATGCATAATCATTATAGATGGACAATTTTCCATAGAAGAGAGCAGGCTGGTGGGGCTGTAATATTTATCACAAAGGGTCATGCTTTTTACAAAGTAGAGAAACACTGTGTAAAGTCAGACAAGTAGATTAGGATTCTGTGAAGTAAAATCTAATTTTAAAGATCTTTGAAATATTAACATTAAAAACCCTGTTTTATGTAGAGATCCTTTCCAAATATGACTGGATAATATTATTTCCTCTGAAATGGATTTTTAAAAACGGTTCTACATACAACTGCTATGACAAAATCTTTCATAGGCGTACAGAAACAAGCTGGACAGAAGTCATAAACTGTTGCCTGACTCCCTAATCTGCTGGTAGAATATTAAAGCAAAAACCTAAAGAAAGTGAGCTACAAATACGGAAAATTAGAAAGGAGCCAATACAGCCTGGGAGGTACTTTGCATCAGCCTTTGCCTCTTACTTAGAGTTTTCCCAACTGCAAATATTTATCATTCCTGTGAATTTCCTTATCACTTCCTCTTTAGCTTTCTCACTTCTCTTTTTTTAACCTTATAATTTTTGCATGTCTTATCCCTCGTACTAAACTCTTAGTTTCTTCAGAGCATGGTTCCCATCTGACTCATCTTTGATCCGTCCTAAAGCCTTCCACTCTGCATGCGCAAAAACAACTCACACATGATCCAAGGTGGAGAGGATTTCAGGTGTGTCAGAGACTAGAGAAGAATTATGATCAGAGGAACAAAGTGGGGAACAGAACCATTTTCTAGCTCTTCCAGGGAGATCCATTCAATCAATGAGTAGTGTTGAGTGAGTACAAGATATTATTCTAAGACCTCTAGGTGATATAAATATTCTAGAATATGGTGCCTGCTATCAAGGGTGCAGTTAATTCCCATTCTGTGAGGTATTCACAAATTCAACTGTACTTGTGCAAACACAGTTGAAATCTAAATAGAGTTTTTATTGGCCCTTTGAGATGTTCCAAGCCACCGTTACCTTTCCTTTTCATGGACTGTCTCCAGCTTGATAATCACCGTCTCCAGCCCAGGGTGCTCCCCGCAGGCGCCCCAAATTTGGCATGTCAAAAATTAACTCCTTATTTGTCTTCCAAATGGCTTCTCCTCTTGCATCTCCTGCTCAAGGAATGGCACCATTCAGTCTGAAACCAGAACCCTAGAGGTCACTTGTCACTACTCCCTTATCTACCATATATAGTCTGACACAGTCCTTTGCTTTTCTTAAATTATAATTATGGAAACTTGAACATGTACAAAAGTAAAGAGACTATAATGATGCCAAAGTGTCTTTGCAATTTGTGTTCTCTGGGAAGTAGACTCTGAGATGGAGATTTCAGGTGATTTATTGGGGAGTGCTTTTCAACACATGTGGAAGAGAAAGAACAGAAGTAGGCAGAGGGAGAAACAGCTGAGGAGCAGTCCCAACAAAGCCTTTAGCAGCCACATGGGGAGCTCTGGAACTGCAATAGCCCTTGAGACTTGTCCCAAGTTACAGGGAGTATGGAGGCCTTTACACCCCTACACTGATCAGTCCCTTGATGTGGGCTGCCCCCAGGAGACATGACCTTTAGTAAGGCAGGTTTCTTCACCTGAGACAATCCCCAGAAAGGGCTGACAGCTGAAGACCATCTTCTGCTGCACTTCCAGCAGCTTGGAGAGTAAGTGGTTCATTCCTGAGACATCTGTGTGTCATCACAATATCACCCACAGTGCAAGCTTTAACAGGGGTCAACTCATGGATGATCTTTTTTTCAGCTGTACCTCTACATACACGCACACACACACAAGTGTACCCATTATTTTGGTTTTTGGGTTTTTGTGGGTTTTTTTGAAATTGAGTCTCACTGTGTCGCCCAGGATGGAGTACTGTGGCACGATCTCGGCTCACTGCACCCTCTGTCTCCTGTGTTCAAGCGATTCTCCTGCCTCAAATTTTTGTATTTTTAGTAGAGATGGGGTTTCACTATGTTGGCCAGGCTGGTCTCAAACTCCTGACCTCTGCTGAGCCACCTGCCTTGGCCTCCCAAAGTGCTGGGATTATAGGCGAGAGTGAGCCACTGTGCCCGGCCAATAGCTACTAAATTTTAAAATTACTTTTTTCCTGTTAACAAAAGTAATCATATTCCTTGTAAAATGTTATAAAGATACAGAAATGAATTATGTAAGAAGTAAAGTCCTTTGGCACTCCACCTCCAAGGACAACTACTGTTTTACATTCATTATACTGTTCCCATTGAGAACATTTGAAATATAGAAATAACATAATCATAGTGAGAGAGAAAGGGCAGGTCTTTAATTTTCCTTTACCACCTTGGAATGTAAATAAATGGTTCCAAGTGAGAGAAGTCTCTAGATCTCTTCCGAATTTTCTTCTTTAAGATTGATATCTAGTTATCCTTTACTCAAACGGTTCAGGAGCACTGAGAAATCCAGGGAGAAAAATCTTCCAACTCAAGGCATTCCAGGCCTTGAGACCTCTTGCCTATTTGTCCAAATTCTGCTAACTTCTTTCCCTTGCGTCCTGTGTCCCAGTGATGTAACCTTCTAACACGCTCTCTGACCTCTTTGTCCTTTGTAGTTGCTTTCTCTCTGTGTCTGCAACACCCTTCTTATTTCATCTTCATCTCCTTAATTTCCTGCATTTTTCACAACTCATTTCTACTTTAGAAAGCCTATCCTCTCAGGGACTGGATTAGGAGATTCTCCTCAGTGTTCCCATTTTGTGTGGTGTTTAACTCTTGCACGGTATTAATCACACTAAAATTGTACTTATGTACTTGAAGTGAATTGTTCTGTACTAAATGATGAGCAACCTGAAGATAGGAGTTATGCCTTTAAATGCATACCTAGCAGAATGGCAGCTTAAAGAGCTCTGTGGCCTCACTCCCCATGAAACAACTGTAACTGGTGAAGCACTTTAAAAACAACCATTTAAAGTTTATTGAAACTGCCCAAAGGTTATACAGCAAATGAAGAACTGTTTATTCAAGAAAATCTACTACATCTTGGTAAGAACAGCAATAGTTAGTCAGAGGTACTCTCAAGTACCATGCCTCACATGCCACTCCTCACATGCCACTCATGCCTCACATGCCACTCATGCCTCACATGCCACTCATGCCTCACATGCCACTCATGCCTCACATGCCACTCATGCCTCACATGCCACTCATGCCTCACATGCCACTCATGCCTCACATGCCACTCATGCCTCACATGCCACTCATGCCTCACATGCCACTCATGCCTCACATGACTTGCTGCTTCTACCACCTTGCCCACCTTGAGGAAAGTTCCACACAGGTGGGTATGGCCAAGAAGATGGGGCTCCTTCTTCTCCCAAATCCCAGTAGAGGACTATGAGCATTTTGGTCACAACCATTTAACCAGTCTTTAGGAAATTCCAAACTTTCCCTCATCTTCCTGTCTTCTGAGCCCTTCAAACTCTTCCAGCCTCTGCTCATTACTCCTGTGCTCATTACTCTATGAAAGGAAAATAAATCTCAGAACCACAAAATCACTAAACCAAGGGAAAAGTCAAGCTGAGAACAATGTCTTATTTAGGAATAAAACTTCTAAATGAAGTTGTCCTGCCTAATCGGACCAAACCAATGTATATCTTACACATATTGATTGATGTTTCATGTCTCCTTAAAATGTACAAAAGCAACCCAATCACCTTCAGCACATGTCTTCAGGACCTCCTGAGGCTGTGTCACCAGTGTGTCCTTAACCTTGGCAAAATAAACTTTCTAAATTGATTGAGATTTGTTCTAGATACCTTTTGGTTTACAGTTTGAAAGCCACTTCCACATCTTTGTAGCAATGCCTCAATCCTGGTACCAATTTTCTGTGTTAGTCCACTCGTGTGTTGCTATAAAGAAGGACCTGAGGCTTGGTAATTTATAAAGAAAAGAGGTTTAATTGGCTCATGGTTCTGCAGCCTGTATAGGAAGCATGGCACCAGCATCTGCTTGGCTTCTAGTGAGGCCTCAGGAGCTTCCAATTATGGCAGAAGGTGAAGGGGGAGCCAGCACATCTCATGGTGAGAGAGGGAGCAAGAGAGAGAAAGAGGACGTCCCAGACTCTTTTAAACAACCAGATCTTGTGTGAACTAACTGAACAAGAACTCACTTAGCACCAAAAGGATGGTGCTAAACCATTCGTGAGGGATCCACCTCCATGATCCAATCACCTCCCACCAGGCCCTACCTCCAACATTGGGAATCACATTTTATCATGAGATTTGGAGGGGACAAACATCCAAACCATATTGTGTATCTCCCTGGAGGGACAAGCTGCCAGCATTTCTACCCGCTCTCATGTTCTGTTGCAAAGGCTAAATTCCAGATGAGTGTGGCCTGGAGAATGGAAAGACTGGGGACTCCTTTCCTCCTTTCAGACTGCATTCACAGAGCAGTGGCTCTATCCCAGGTGTAGCAGACTGAGAGTAGTGGAGCCCCAGTTGCCCTTATTGCAGCTCACATATAGGGTGCGAGTTCCAAGCAAGGACAGGCAAGCTGAGAAGAATGAATGGAAGCTACTTCCCCCTTGCAGAGCCTTGCTTATAAAGCAGGAGAGTCAGCCAGGCGTGGTGGCTCACGCCTGTAATCTCAGCACTTTGGGAGGCCGAGGTGGGCGGATCACTTGAAGTCAGGAGTTCAAGACCAGCCTGGCCAACATGGTGAAACCCCGTCTCTACTAAAAACACAAAAAGTTAGCTGGGCATGGTGGCGTGTGCCTGTAATCCCAGCTACTTGGGAGGCTGAGGCAGGACAATCACTTGAATCCGGGAGGTGGAGGTTGCAGTGAGCCGAGATCGTGCCACTGCACTCCAGCCTGGGGAGCAAGAGTGAAACTCCATCTCAAAAAAAAAAAAAAAAAAAAATGAAGGAGAGTTACTCTGAGAGAAGAAAGTGACTGTCCCCATCCTCAGCTCTGGCTGGAGCAGTGGCTCAGAGATTTTGCTCAGGGGGAGAAACATCCATAAGAAAAGAAAATTCTGAAGCTCTTCCCAGAAGAAATTAGTTTATTTGGAACGGAGTAGGGGAAAACTTGAACCTAAAGGTGCTCTTAAAAACAATGGATATTTTGGTTGTAAGCAATTAAGAGGAGGCTAGTACCTTCTAAAAGCAACAAGCTAAACTGCAGACCACTAGTTTACCAGAAAAAGCTAGGGAAGAAATGGCTAAGAAGAGCCTTCCTGGGATCAGAGCAAACCTCAAGATTGAACTCAAAAACTACCTCTGCAAAGGAGCCTAAATTTAATCAGATTAGACAATGGAGTAATTTATTCCCCCAGGGCATTGTCAAAAACAACAGAGCAATCAGCTAGCAATTAGTGGACTCTAACAGCTGGGTGGATACTAAAAGGCAGACAGTTTGACAGAGAGATGGGGAAAGACAAAGATTACTGGTAAAACCACTATCATCCCAGGGTGAAGGGTCTAAGGAAGGTCAAGGCTGCAGTCTCTGAGGAGCAACATCAGAAGCTTCACACTGAGCTGGGGAACTGGACTTCACTAAAGCACTCCAGTCAAGTCAGTAAACAAATAAATAAGTAAACAAAATCAATAAGCTTCAGAAGGGGAAGCAATCAATACCCAGATTTATATAATAAATTGTCTAAAGTATCAAATCTTTAATAAAAAATGCATGAGATATGAAAAGAAACAGGAAAATTTGATCCATACACAGGAAAAAAGGATGCAAGAGAAATTACATAACAGAGGGCTCGATGGCTGACTTTTTAATAAAGACTTTAGAGCAGTCATTAAAAGTATATTCAAAGAATCAAAGGAAACTCTGCGTAAAGATGTAAAGGAATGTATGGTGACAATAATTCATCAAATACAGAACACAAATAGCTAGAAATTATTTTTAAAAGAGCCAAATAGAAATTCTGGAGCTAAAAAGTAAAATAACAAATAAAAACATCACTTCATTGAGCACCTACTGTGTATCAAGTACTTATAGGTGCTGATGGTACATTAGTGAACAAACACACACCCATTCTCCCAGGTTTATCTTTAACAGTATGGGAAGTCTTAGCCTGGGAAATGAAGTAAGAGGGAAAGAAATAAAAGCGATAAGGACTGGAAAGGAAAAAGCAAACTATTATTACTACTGTTATTCACAGCTGCAGATATCATCTATATAGAAAGCCTAAAAGAATCAATAGAAAAATTATTATAAGAGTTTAAACAAGGGGACTGGATACTAAATAAATATATATAATTCAATTGCATTTTTATATATTGGAATCAAGCAGTTAGAAAATGTAAGGCAAAGATACTAAATACAATAGCCACACAAAAACATAAGACATATAAGAAAAATCTAACAAAAGACAAGTAAAAAGTTCAGGGAGAAAAATTATGAAACTTCAGTAAAGATGCTACAGGTGACTTAAAGAAATGTTTGTGGATAGAAATAATACAATAAAGATATTATTTTGGCCAGGCGCAGTGACTCATGCCTGTAATCCCACCACTTTGGGAGGCAGAAGCGGGTGGATCATTTGAGGTCAGGAGTTTGAGACTAGCCTGACCAACATGGTGAAACCTCAATCTCTACCAAAACTACAAAATTAGCTGGGTATGGTGGCACATGCCTGTGATCCAAGCTACTTGGGAGGCTGAGGTAGGAGAATCACTTGAACCCTGGAGGTGGAGGTTGCAGTGAGCTGAGATCGCGCCATTGCACTCCAGCCTGGGCAACAAGAATGAAACTCCATCTCAAAAAAAAAAAAAAAAAAAAAAAGATGTTATTCCTTCCCAAATTGACTTACAGATTTAATGTAATTCAATTGAAATCCCAATGGCGCTATCAGAGAAATTTGACAAGTCAAATTTAAAATTTATATGAAAAAGTGAAAATTCAAGAATAGTCAAGATACTCTGTAGTAATTAGTGTGGTGTTAGAGAAGTGAAATCTAAATGGAGCCTTGAAAGTAGATAACAACCCTAGGAGTAGACTGAAGCTGGAGCCGGCACTGAAGGTTCCTTCCTGTGCCAGGCTTAACCACTTCAGTTTTAGAGGCTGGGAGGTTGAGGGATTTGTGGCCTGGGGGGCCCAAGTGTTTGGGATGAGGGTAGTAAGGAGGCTTAGAGTGGTAACTGTTATACTAACAGTAATGGAAATACTGCACTATGGTTTGGTATTTTAATAACAGGTACAAAGCCATAGTTGTGTACTGTTTGCAATTAGCCATGCAACTTGACATATAACAGAAGTGAATTTTGGGAAAGGATGGACTTTTCAATAACAGATGCTGGAAAATTATACATACGGGAAATACATATACATACATATGGTTATACATATGGAAAAAAGTGAAATAGGATCCTTATACCATACATAGAAATAAATTTTTAGATGGATGACAGTAAATTAAAAGTGAAAGGTAATACTTTCAGAGTTTCTGAATAAAATTGCAGCAGACATGTTGGCAGTCTGTTCTGGTCTGAATGTCTCCCAAAATCAATGTGTTGAAACTTAATTAACAATGTGATAGCATTAAGAGGTAGGGCCTTAGCAGGTAATTAAGTCATGAGGACTCATGAATGGGATTAGTGATTTTATAAAAGGGCTGGAGGGAACTAGCTAGGCCTCTTTTGTCCTTCCGCTATTATGCCATGTGAGGACACGGCAACAAGGTGCCATCTTGAAAGCAGAGAGCAGCCCTCACCAGGCACGGAATCTGCCAGCACCTTGATCTTAGATTTCCCAGCCTCCCAGAACTGTGAGAAATAAATTTCTGTTGTTTGTAAGCTACCTATTCTATGGTATTTTGTTATAGCAGCAGAAATGAGCTAATACGTGGTCCAACAAAGACGTGTGCACCTCTTCCAGCGATTGAAACTATTGTTGGGGAGAGGTTGCCTAATTAGTGATGACGTTTCTCAGCCACCTTTGCACCTGAATGGGTCCATGTGACTGAGTTCTGGCCAATGGAATGTGGACTGAAATGGTGTATAACAGTGCTTCTCAAATTATCTGTTGTAATGAACCATTTCCCAAATGGTTCCCCCACTCTATCATGGGGGAAATAATGCATTTTGGCTCACTGCAACCTCTGCCTCCCAGGTTCAAGTGGTTCTCCTGCCCCAGCCTCCCAAGTAGCTGGGATTACAGGCACACGCCACTACGCCTAGCTAATTTTTGTGTTTTTATTAGAGACGGGGTTTCACTATTTTGGTCACGCTGGTCTCGAACTCTTGACCTGGTGATCCACCCACCTCAGCCTCCCAAATTGCTGGGATTACAGGCGTGAGCCACTGCGCCCAGCCAGTTGCAATACCATTTTCATAAAACTCAAAACCAACCACAACTAAAAAATATACCGTTTAAATATACATACATATGTGATAAAATATATACATGAGAAAGAGAAACAAAATTCAAGGTAGTTATTTATTTATTTTTTGAGATTCGGTCTCACTCCGTAGCCCAGGATGGAGTGCAGTGGCACGATCTCGGCTCACCACTGCAACCTCTGTCTCCTGTAACCACCATCTCCCAGGCTCAAATGATCCTCCCACCTCAGCCTCCCGAGTAGCTGGGACTACAGGTGTGCACCACCATGCCCGGCTAATTTTCACCATGTTTCCCAGGCTGGTCTCCAACTCTTGTGCTTAAGCAATCCTCTTGCTTTTGTCTCCCAAAGTGTTGGGATTTCAGGCGTGAGCCACCGTGCCCAACCAGTAGCTGTGATTAAAGTAGGGTACAGTCAAAGGAATAGGTCAGAGGAGGAAATCGCAGATTGATGTGAAGGCGTTGGTAATGTTCTGGTTCCTACACAGGTGAAAGGTGTACAGGTGTTTAACTGCTATGCTTTTTATCTCACACATCGCATAAATTTTTCTGTGACATAAAATATTACATAACATTTAAAAAACAGGTCAAGAGGGCAGGGTGCAGTGGCTCACGTCTGTAATCCCAACACTTTGGGAGGCCGAGGGGAGCGGATCACCTGAGGTTAGCAGTTCGAGACCAGCCTGGCCAACATGGTGAAACCCTGTCTCTACTAAAAATACAAACAAAACAAAACAAAACAAAATCCGGTTGGAGTGGTGCATGCCTGTAATCCCAGCTACTCGGGAGGCTGAGGCAGGAGAATCGCTTGAACTCGGGAGGCGGAAGTTGCAGTGAACCGAGACCGCGCCACTGAACTCCGGCCTGGGCAACAAGAGCGAAACTCCGTCTCAAAACAAAAAACAAACAAATCCAAACAAACAAACAAACAAACAAAAACAGGTCAAGGATCAGAAAAGTAAAGTGAGTTGACACTCCATTTACACACAGAAAGCCCAATGTTTTTCTATTATATCAGGATACCTCTTCTAAAGAATGATAGCTTACCTTTCAATCAGAGAAATGATCTAAAGTTCAAAATGTTACTCCATAGCTAGCTCCTGGAGGAAGGAAGCTAGGTGGCAGCGTGTACACAAAAAGGCAATTCATCCAAATAATAATATAACAAGAATATAACAAGTAGGTATTTTCTGCTAAGTGCTATGTAGCACAGGGGTGAATGCGTGGCAGGGCAGGAGGAGGGCTGTTTACAAGAGGGTATGAAATGCAGCTCTTCTTTTCAAGAGTGGTTGCAGAATGCCAGGGCTACAAAGAGAGGGCCGCACATTAAGCATCGTATTATGTGGGTACAGAGTATTAGGGTTCTCGATGACCAGAAGGAGAATGAGTGCAGTTTGTTTCCTAGCAAGCCTTCTTTAGCTTCTCTTCCCAAGTGGGAGTGGGGTTGGGGTTGGGACTGTTCTTTCCTAGCTCAAAAGTTCACTTATGTCACACTAGGGTCAGTTTAAAGGAGAGTGCTAGTAAGGGTAAAGTCAAGTTACATAACCTAGCGGAAAATGAAGACCTAAAACCGCTCGTGAGCAAACACAACACTTTAGACGTAAACCTCTTCCAAAGAAGGGTGGATCTCAGCACTCTGGGTGAAAGCAATCTCAGCCAGTAAAACATCAGAACGCTTTCACGCACGCGCAGTAAGCACACGACCGGTGGCAAGAGCCCGGATAAAGGCGGAGCTAAAGGTGCCGGATAATGCATCACGGAGCGCGTGTGCGCACGCCGTAGGGGGCGGGCCGTTCGGGCTTGGTTTCCTGGGCGACCACCGCTGGCTAGTCCGTTAGAGGCGTGCGGGCTTCGGAGGCGTGCGGGCTTCGGGTGCCATGGGGACTCCTCCCGGCCTGCAGACCGACTGCGAGGCGCTGCTCAGCCGCTTCCAGGAGACGGACAGTGTACGCTTCGAGGACTTCACGGAGCTCTGGAGAAACATGAAGTTCGGGACTATCTTCTGGTGGGTGTTTCTTGTCCACCACCCGCCTCTCCCTGCCCGCAGGTGGTGTAGAAAGTTGCCTCCTTCCCGGCGATATTGCACTTGTGAAGGGCTGAGAAGAGCGGCAGTCACCGAAGGTTGCCTCCATGACTCCTGGACCTTCCCCTGTGCTCAGGCAACGCGCTTTCCCTGCTCTATTTCATTGTGCCCTGATGGTTGTTGCGGCCTCCTCCCAAATATGCGTCTCTGCCTGGCCTCCCTTCTAAACTCCTCTCTCCCATCTCCACCCTGAGCCAGGCCACTATCATTTGCCCTTCCCCAGTCTTGTTCTAGGACCTGATGTTTAAAAACACACAAGCAAAGACAAAACCCTTCAAGATTGAATTAATTTTTCCTCCAACAACCAAAGTTGTCTTTTTTTTTTTTTTTTTTTTTTTTTTTGAGACGGAGTCTCCTTTTGTCGCCCAGGCTGGAGTGCAATGGCGCGTTCGCGGCTCAGTGCAACCCTTCGCCTCTCAGGTTCAAGTGATTCTCTTGCCTCAACCTCCGGAGTAGCTGGGATTACAGGTGCCCGGCACCACGCCCGGTTAATTTTTTGTATTTTTAGTAGAGACGGGGTTTTACTATGTTGGCCAGACTGGCCTCGAACTCCTGATCTCGTGACCCGCCCGCCTCGGCCTCCCAAAGCGCTAGGATTACAGGAGTGAGCCACCGCGCCCGGCCCAAAAGTTGTTTTTCAAAAGTGCAAATTTGATTATGTCACTCCCCGACTTATTACTCTGTAGTGGTGCCCATTGCCTTTGGGATAACGCTTGAATTCTCTGACTTGCCAAGACCATTCCTCACTGGCCTTTGCCTATCTCTCCAGCTTCGCCTGCCAGTCCCCTCCATGCACTCACTTTCTTGCTCCAGCAGCTGCTTTTTTTTTTTTTTTTTTTTCTTTGGGCCCTCTACAGGCTTTTCCTAATCCTGGAGTTTCCACCGCAACTCTCTTGTTTTGTCCACCTTATTCTTCACTCAGGGTTAAGCTCAAATGACATCCTCGGGGGAAGTCTTTTTTGCTCTTCTAGACTGAGTACGCTGTTCATGTTTTTTCCCCGCATAGCACCCTGTTTTTATTTTATGTCACCGCTTTCCACATTTTGTTGTAATGGTATAGTTGAAAAGGCAGTGTGGGATTGTTAAGGGCATAGGTTATGGAACCCAATTGGCTGCATTTGATTGCAGGGTCCGCTATGACTTGGGGCAAGTTACTTGAGTTTCCATATCTGTAAAATAGAGGCAATGATAAACCTCATAGTAGTTGTGAAGATTAAATGAGCTGATATATCAGAAATACATTCTAAGTGCTCAATAAATGTTCATTATTATTATTTTTTTTTCTTGAGACATAGTCTTGCTCTGTCACCCAGGCTGGAGTGTAATGGTGCGATCTCCTATCACTGCAACCTCCACCTCCCGGGTTCAAGAGATTCTCCTGCCTCAGCCTCCCGAGTAGCTGGGACTACGGCTTGTGCCACCAAGCCTGGCTAATTTTTGTATTTTTAGTAGAGACGGGATTTCACCATGTTGGCCAGGCTGGTCAAATGTTCATTATTACTACCGTTTTAAAATTTTCCTTTGACTAGACTGACCTCTGTGAGGACAGTGACTGGATGAATCTATTTTTATTACCATAGTACATATAATATTAAAAAGGCGAAATAACTGATTTTCTGAATGAGTTAAACCTTATGATTAAAACTTTTTCTGAACAAAATGTAAAAACTCATTTTCTCTCTGTCAGTGTAAGCAAATTACCTTTGTAGTTTTTTAAATTGCAAGGAATGGAGGATGAAGAGCTGTTTGTTGTACAGTTAATAAAAGGAGAGAGACTTTTTTTTTTAAATGGCTACTACATGCCATTTATTTATAGCTTTATTTATTGCATAAGACAGTTATAAAAAGCAGGTATAATTATCCTTGTTTTATAGATGAGGAAATTAAGGCTTAAAGAGGTTAAGTAATTTCTCCACCATTACAAAGATAGTGGATTGTAGAGCAGATGTTGGAAACTATGTATCTGCCTGTTTCTAAAATCCGTTAATATTCCACTGTACCACTTCTTGGGGGGAAAAATGCATTTAAGGAAAAAGCTAAAAATGTAACATTTACATTTTCTAGTAGGGAGAACCTAAAATGATAAAAGAAGCAGGAATCACTAGAGTGGTGGATTTTCTTGAGAAATTACTTTGGTTACCGTAACTAGAGTAGGCATTTTGTATTCTTTTCCTATATTTATTATTTGAAGACCCAAAATGTCCTCCTACTACCCCCTTCCCTTCCACCCCTGCATTGTAATCAGATATAATAGAGCCCGTGTTTATGGCTGCAGGGCAAATGTCTTTATTGTTTGTTGCTGGTTTTAAAGTAAAAGTTCTACATATTTATATTTGTATAGCGTATTAGTCACTCGCATCAACACTTTGAGACATTTATTTTAGCTAATGTTTTATTTAAAATCTGGCATTTTTTATCTACTAATTTCAGGTCTTACATAGAAACCTATAATATGCACAAATGTGGCTTCATTGTTTTATCCAAAGTGGTAAGAAGACTGTTACATTGACTTTTTTAAGGCCTTGTTTTTTAAAATTTTTTGTTAACTTAGCACAGCAGAACAGTTTCAGATAGTTTATTCATTATGCTGTTTATATCCACAGAAAATATATGTGAACCTCGAAAATTTGAGACACGTCTCAGTTAATTTAGAAAGGTTATTTTGCCAAGGTTGAGGACGCACCCGTGACACAGCCTCAGGAAGTCGTGTTGACATGCGCCCAAGGTGGTCAGGGCACAGCTTGGTTTTGTACATTTAGGGAGACATGAGACATCAATCAATATATGCAAGAAGTACGTTGGTTCGTTCTGGAAAGGCGGGACAACTTGAAGCAAAGGCAGGAAGACTGGAAGTGGGGAGGGAGCTTTCAGGTCACAGATTGGTGATACACAAATGCTTGCGTTCTTTTGAGTTTCTGATTAGCTTTTCCAAAGGAGGCAAATCAGATATGCATCTATCTCAGTGAGCCGAGAAGTCACTTTGAATAGAATGGGAGAGGTTTGCCCTAAGCAGTTTCCAGCTTGAGTTTTCCTTAGTGATCTTGGGTGCCCAAGATACTTTCCTTTCATGTACATTTCCTATGTTATTTCATTGATTGATTGCCAACAAAGCCTTGTTGCTCTCTTGGATGTTTGGACAAAGCTTTTGGTTGTATGCTGGAGTATGCTCTTCTCCCTTCCTCCTCCTTTCTTCTGATGAGCTTGCAGTGCTCTGGACAATTAGGAGTGCGGGTTACTTTGTGCTGTTTCTCTATCTTTTTCGCCTCGGCTTCGCAAGGACAGAGGAGATTTAGTGCAAATCCCTGAGAGTATTGGAGAAAATGTTCGTTAGGTAAAAAGTAAAGTAGAGGTTCTGCTTCAAAGAGTTTCCTCCCCATCTAATTAAGACTAAATAGTAACTTATCTTAGAAGCAAAATTTATTCAAAGACCTATGCTAACATTCTTAAATATCTGCTAGCTGTAATAAAGAAATCAGTGTATTTTATGTTCTTAGCTCCCACAATTTAGCCTAAATATTTGCCCTGGCGTGCTTATACTGGTCCAAGCAAGCATTAAGTCATAGCCTGTTCTTCTTCCTTATTTAAAAGTGTTTTTACCTTTCTCAGCATTCCACAAGTTACTTCAAGTTCTAAGTTGCTAGTCAATGAAGACAGATACAGAATGTGAAGTCCCGTTCCAGCCAATAGAAACCGGACACAGCAGTAAAGTAGATGTGTCAAGTTATAAATGACCCTGTCTCCTTTGTTCAGTGTAGCAAAACTGCTGGCGACTGTACCCTTTTGTGCAGAAAGTAAAAAAATGGCCTTGCTGAAGAAATAAAATTTACGTTCAAGTGATACTTCTTTATAGCACCAAAGAACAAGCATTTTTGGCAATTGTATATTAAAATGCACATAGTTCTGTAACATAACCATGATTATTTTAACATTATGGGTTTTAAATATTTAACCAATAGTAATTTGAAACCCCTTCCTTCTTGCTCTTCAATTTGGCAAGTAAAGTTGATGCTTTTGGAAGCTGCGTCATGTTTACCTAGTAGTTGCCTTTGCCTTGGTGTAAAATTATCTCTTTGTGCTTGAATCATGAAAGAATCAGGTATGGAATCCTCATCAAATTATAACTACCGTTTAAACAAGTATATACTTTTGGCTTTTGTTCATTACTTATTCACTTAATGAGTCGTAATATATTTTCTCTCTGTTTATTAGTGGCAGAATGAGAAATTTAGAAAAGAACATGTTTACAAAAGAAGCTTTAGCTTTGGCTTGGCGATATTTTTTACCTCCATACACCTTCCAGATCAGAGTTGGTGCTTTGTATCTGCTATATGGATTATATAATACCCAACTGTGTCAACCAAAACAAAAGGTAATACTTAGTGAGTTATTTTTCCTTAGCAGAAATGTAAAACAAGTACCATATTTTTATAATAAATATTATATGATTAAATATGATTTAAATAAAATGCCAGTATTTTAAAATTATAATATGTTTGTGAAAAAATATTTACATTTAGTACAACTTTTTTTTCTTCCTGGTTGCAGATCAGAGTTGCCCTGAAGGATTGGGATGAAGTTTTAAAATTTCAGCAAGATTTAGTAAATGCACAGCATTTTGATGCAGCTTATATTTTTAGGAAGCTACGACTAGACAGAGCATTTCACTTTACAGCAATGCCCAAATTGGTATGTTGCCTAAAATAATTTGGTTTTTTCAAAATGAGCAATTATACTTTATTGTCCATAAAACCTCTCAATCTCCAGAAAATGGAATAAGTATTGATAGTGTTCAAGACTTTTAGCTTTTTTTTTTTTTAGACAGAGTCTTGCTCTGTCGCCCAGGCTGGAGTGCAGTGGCACCATCTCGGCTGACTGCAACCTCCGCCTCCCGGGTTCGAGGGATTTTCCTGCCTCAGCCTTCTGAGTAGCTGGGACTACAGGCATGCGCCACCACACCAAGCTAATTTTTGTATTTTTAGTAGAGACAAGGTTTCACCATGTTGTCCAGGATGGTCTTGATCTCTTGACCTCGTGATCCACTCACCTTGGCCTACCAAAGTGTTGGGATTACAGGCGTGAGCCACTGCGCCCGGCCTGGCTTGTAACTTTTTTTGTGTGTGTGTGCCTTTTTGATACAGAGTCTTGCCCTGTCGCCCAGGCTGGAGTACAGTGGTGCTATCTCAGCTCACTGCAACCTCCGCCTCCAGGGTTCAGGCAATTCTCCTGTCTCAGTCTCCTGAGTAGCTGGGACTACAGGCGCCCTCCACCACGCCTAGCTAATTTTTGTATTTTTAGTAGAGATGGGGTTTCACCATATTGGTCAGGCTGGTCTTGAACTCCTGACCTCAGGTGATCCACCCGCCTCAGCCTCCCAAAGTGCTGCTCACCTCAGGTGAGCCACCATGCCCGGCCTTGTAGCTTTTTTAAAATAGGAGAAGGTATTTTCTAATTACTACTTTTTTTTCTGCAAGCAAAAATTTAGCCTTTGCTTTTTAAATGCAGTGTATCTGGGTGCCACATATTAAGCGAACTGTTTTGAGAACAAATTAGATTTGGCATCTGCATTTGCTCATGTCTCAAACATCAGAGGAGGTTACTGAAAGACGTACAAAATTGTTAAAAATTCTTTGGTGAAAAGTTGAAACTTCTAATAGCATTTGTTTTTTTTTAATCTAGTGGTAATTGAGACACTAGGTTGAAGAGCACTAGTTCTGGTTCTGCCATTAGCTGGCAAATTATGTAATTTCTGTCTTATCTGAATTTGTAGGCATGTGGCATGGCATGTGAGAGGATACTTCACAAGTCTAACAGTCTTTGGAACGTGGATATTTAACAGATGTACCCTTACAGCTGGTTTTGTTTTATCTGTGTTTACTTATAGACAATTTTTAGTGCTGGCTTATATTTCAATACTTTTAACAATACTGTTTAAAAGATACTCATTTAAAAAGACACGTATTATCACATAGCTGTCATATAGGATGAAGAAAAAAATTCACCGAGCTGAAGTTACAGAAGAATTTAAGGACCCAAGTGATCGTGTGATGAAACTTATCACTTCTGATGTATTAGAGGTAAATTTTCTTTTATGCTCTTGAAAATTTTTAAAAATTGTTTTATTGCCAACTACATATTGAGGTTATACCTTCATCTACTGGATACTGATTTTTCTAATGATTTTAACCACTCTAGGATGCTATTTCTCTAGAGTATCAGACATAAAATAGCCTAAATATATCAAGGCTTACAAATCTTGAAATAGCGTGAGAAAAAAAGATGTAGAAGACTGGACCTGGACTGAAGATGTGTGGATTCTGTTACTAAAACTATTGTTTGTATTTGACTTTAGTTAGGTCATAAAACAAGAGTTTAAAGTGACTTTACTTACTTTTTTAAAAAAACAATATACATGACCAGGCATGGTGGCTCACACCTGTAATCTCAGCACTTTGGGAGGCCGAGGTGGGTGGATCACGAAGTCAGGAGTTTGAGACTAGCCTGGCCAATATGGTGAAATCCCGTCTCTACTAAAAATACAAAAGTTAGCTGGGCATGGTGGCGCACGTCTGTGGTCCCAGCTACTGGGGAGGCTGAGGCTGGAGAATCACAAACCCCAGAGGTAGAGGTTGCAGTGAGCTGAGATCGCACCGCTGCACTCCAGCCTGGGCAACAGAGCAAGATTCCGTTTTGAAAAACAAAAAAACCAATGTGCATTTATTTCCTGAGGTTTTTTTTTTTTTTTTTTTTCTCACACGGAGTCTTGCTCTGTCACCCAGGCTGGAGTGCAGTGGTGCAATCTCAGCTCATTGTAACCTCCGCCTCCCAGGTTCAAGCAATTCTCCTGCCTCAGCCTCCCGAGTAGCTGGGACCACAGGCGTGTGCCACCATGCCCGGCTGATTTTTTGTATTTTTGGTAGAAACAGGGTTTTGCCGTGTTAGCCAGGATGGTCTCGATCTCCTGACCTGGTGATCTGCCCACCTCTGTCTCCCAAAGTGCTGGGATTACAGGCGTGAGCCACTGCACCCAGCCTACTTCCTGAGTTTTAACATTTATTTTAAAACCTACCATTGAAAACAGTGAGTCTATTTTGATAATATATTTTCGTATTTTGTTTGAGTGTACAGTATTGGGAAAAATCTTATGCATGGATAAGTAGTGTTACAAATCTTTTTAAGCATGAGTAGAAAAGCATTGCTTTGAGGTTGAAACAAAATCTCAGTACAGGGTTACAGTATTCCAAATCAATGATATTTCAAAAGAACATATAGAGAGGAGACGAGAGGGTAAGGGGACACTTTGGTCGTGCTTTTAAATTTTCTTTAAGCCTAAATGTCTCCCTCATTACTATTAGGATTATAATATTTTATTTCATTCGGTTGTTCTGCAAATTGAAATGAGGTGATGCCTAAATAGTGCTGAGTGTGGTATATTACACACAGTATATACCCTTAATAAATGTTAATTCCCTTTTTCTCCAGCCCTACTCAGTCTTTTCTTGTATTACAATTGAAAGACAGGGATCAGATCTTAGATTTACTCAAATGTTTGTTTAGATGCCCCCATGTTCTTTTTTTTTTTTTTTTTCTTGTCCCTGACACAGGATCTTCCTCTGTCACCCAGGCTGGAATGTAGTGGCACGATCTTGGCTTGCAGCAACCTCTGCCTCCTAGTTTCAAGTGATTCTTGTGTCTCAACCCACTGAGTAGCTGGGATTACAGTTGTGCACCACCATGCCCAACTAATTTTTTCTATTTTTAATAGAGGTGAGGTTTCACTGTGTTGACCAGGTTGGTCTTGAACTCCTGGCCTCAAGCGATCTGCCTGCATTGGCCTCCTAAAGTGGTGAGTTTACAGGTGTGAGCCACTGTGCCCGGTCGCCCCCACGTTGCAATAACATCAGCCTGTCAGGTTGTTTGTAATTCAGGTAGCAAATTGATTTTTGGGAGCACTCTGGGTCTGTTCTGTAAAGTAACTTTATTTTTGAGCAAGGATCCTTAATCTCTGGCCTGGAGATGGTCCATGTCCCTCTCCCCCACCACATTGTATGAAAAATTGATGTCATACATATGGATCCTTTTTTTTTGAGATAGATTCTCTCACTCTGTAGCCCAAGTTGGAGTGCAGTGGCGCAATTTTGGCTCACTGCAACCTGCAACCTCTGCCTCCAGGGCTCAAGTGATACTCATGCCTCAGCCTCTCGAGTAGCTGGGACTACAGGTACGCACCACCACACTCGGCTAATTTTTTGTATTTTAGTAGAGATGGGGTTTCACCATGTTGCCCAGGGTGGTCTCAAACTCCTGAGCTCAGGCGATCCGCCCGCCTCAGCCTCCCAAAGTACTGCAATTACAGACATGAGCCACCCCACCCAGCTCATATGGATACATTTTTAGGGTGAGGTACTGTAATTATCCTCAGATTCTCAAAGGTGTTCATGTCCCCCAAAAAGGTTAAGAATTACTGTATTACAAGGAACTGAATATTCCTCAATATCTGAAGACATAGTATAATGCAGGAACTCTGGGAAAATATTTTGTGTAGATTGTTTTACTTCTACAACATTTCTGCAAAATAAGTGTTTTTAAACATTTTTAATTATTATTTTTAAAAATAGGGGTTTTTATCCGTGATTTAAAGTTGAGGAAACTGAGTTACAGAGACTAGGTTAGGAAGTAATGGAGCTAAGCTTCATACTCAGTTTTGTATGGCTGTGGTGCCTGTTTGTTGGACAGCAAAGGACTGGTCTGAGGTGGGACTGGGGTTAGAAATTTGTCATTCAACAAACAAATGAAGTGTAACAAGAACTAGGATTTTTTTTTCCCTCTAGCAGCTTAGTGAGAAAGAGGTAGGAGAGAGTTTATGTAGAAAACTAAATAAGATAAAAGTACTTTGTGTAATAGAAGGAATTTGTATTTTGTCTTTTTGGCAGAGGGGAGTCGTAAAGTTTTAGAGATTGGAGAGACATAATGTTTATGTTTGGAGTTGAGGTAAGGAGCTAGTTAGAGGGAATGGTTGTATATAGGAGAGGTAGCGAGCAAGGTTCCTGCTATGGAGGAGGTGGGTGTGTCTGCGATTGAGAGTCCATGGAGGGAGTAGCCTTGAGCAGAAGGCATACTTTTTCCTTTGAAACTTGAGGAAAGAAGGTGAGAATGGATTTTTATAAATCTTTGTGTAGAGGAGAAATAGAAGGCAAACAGACCTGATTGCCTGAACTTTAAGAGAGCATCATGGGGATCAGGGAACTGAGAGTTGAAAATGTTTGGAATAGCGGTTGTGGAGAATGGAAGAAAGATTTCGGGATACCAGAAAGTTGAGAAATGCTGATGTGAATCATGAAGAGAGAGGCATAGGACATTTTCAAACAGCAAGACATTATTCTTATCAATATTCTAATGAAAAAAGATGATCTGAACCCAGTTGGTTACAATTTCTTTTTTTTTAATTTTTGAGACAGGATCTTGCTTCATCACCGTGGCTGGAGCGCAGTAGGGTGATCGTAGCTCACTGCACCCTCAGTCTCCTGGGCTTAAGTGATCCTCCCACCTCAGCCTCCTGAGTAGCTAGGCCCTCACCACCATGCTGGCTAATTTTTTTTTCCGAGACGGTGTCTTGCTCTGTGTCCCAGGCTGGAGTGCAGTGGTATGATCTTGGCTCACTGCAACTGCCACCCGGGTTCAAGCGATTCTCCTGCCTTAGCCTCCTGAATACCTGGGATTACAGGCACGTGCCACCACGCTGGGCTAATCTTTGTATTTTTAGCAGAGGCAGGGTTTCGGCATCTTGGCCAGGCTGGTCTTGAACTCCTGACCTTGTGATCCACCCACCTTGGCCTCCCAAAGTGCTGGGATTATAGGCGTGAATCACTACGCCTGGCCCATGCTGGCTAATTTTAAAACATTTCTTGTAGAGACAAGGTCTTGCTATGTTGCCCAGGCAGGTCTTGAACTCCTGAGCTTGGGTGATCTTCCTACCTTGGCCTCCCACAGTGCTGGGATTATAGGCATGAGCCACCATGGTTGTCCGGTTTTAATTTTTCTGACTGTTGACCAATTTGGTGGTAGAATGTAAATATTTTTTCAACATATCTTTTTCAACATGCTTTTTCATTCTAAGCTCTTTTAAGTTGGGGTTGATGAACAAAGGTCTACTCTTTTAGAGTGAATAGAGAAGAGTATCAGAAGGGTCAAGCTATGAAATGCCTATACCTGGAAGCTTTTAGGAATGGAATAGTCTGTGAAGTTATCCTGGCTCTGTCGGATCTCTGGCTTGTGACATAATTGCTTTGAGAGCCTTGTCCCTTGATACTTCTGCTGGCTCTATATCTTTTGTCCTAGCATAGCCTGTAATCCATTCTCACTGATAATTCTTAAATTTAATACTTTTAAATTTTCCTTCTACTGCCTGCAACTGCTATTAAGTCTTCATTTCAGAAGATCTGAATTCTGGTCATGATTCTGCCACTTGTTCTAGTTTTGTGGTTAAGAGGCATAATAAAATGAAAAGAGAACAGGATACTGAATCAAAACATTTGACTTCTAATTCTAGCCCGCTGCTATGTAAGTAGGACCTTGAGCAAATTATTTCATTTCTGTTTCTTCATTTATACAGTTATAATAATGGACATCGTGTGCTGAGTACTCACCATATACCTGGAACTATGCTAGATGTTTTATGTATGTTATCTCACTAATTATCATAGTAACCCTGCAGAGAAGGTGGTATTTCCTTAGTTTTTTTTTTTTTTTTTTTTTTTGAGATGGAGTCTCCCTCTGTCGCCCAGGCTGGAGTGCGATCTTGGCTCACTGCAAGCTCTGCTTCCTGGGTTCATGCCATTCTCCTGCCTCGGCCTGCTGAGTAGATGGGACCACAGGCGCCTGCCACCATGCCCAGCTAATTTTTTGTATTTTTTTAGTAGAGACAAGGTTTCACCGTGTTAGTCAGGATGGTCTTGATCTCCTGACCTCATGATCCGCCCGCCTCGGCCTCCCAAAGTGCTGGGATTGCAGGCGCGGGCCACCATGCCTGGCCTTTTTTTTTTTTTTATTTTTTAAGGCAGAGTTTCCCTTTTATTGCCCAGGCTGGAATGCAGTGGCACGATCTCGGCTCACTGCAGCCTCCACCTCCCCACCTCCCAGGTTCAAGCGATTCTCCTTCCTCCGCCTCCCGAGTAGCTCGGACAACAGGCACCCGCCACCATGCCTGGCTAATTTTTTGTATTTTTAGTAGAAATGGGGTTTCACCATGTTGGCCAGGGTGGTCTCGAACTCCTGACCTCAGGTGATCCGCCTACCTCGGCCTTCCAAAGTGCTGGGATTACAGGCATGAGCCATCGTGCACGGCCCCCAGTTTTAAAAATAAGGAAACTGAGGTTTAGAGAAGTTAAGTAGTTTGTATAAGGTGAGGCACAATAAGGTACAGACACTATGTTTGAATGTCCAAGTCTATAAGGCTCCAAAGTCCATGCACTGTCTTTTATTTCTTATTTAATTTTCTTCTTCTTTTTTTTTTTTTTTTTTAAAGGTGGGGGTCTTGCTGTGTTGCCTGAGTTGGCCTTGAATTCCTGGGCTCAAGCCATCCTCATGCCTCAGGCTTCTGAGTAGCTGGGACTACAGGTGCACACTACTGTGCCTGGCTTCTTTAATCTTCTATAGTGCTTTACATTCTACTGAATACTTTCACCTGTATAAGCTTGTTTAATACTTAACAATGGTGGGTTTGTTCATTTTGTACAAATGCGAAACATGAACATGATTCTTAGGTTGAGGGACTTCCCCATTGTCATCCATTGAGCAAATGACAGAGCTCAGACTCAAAAATTAGATCTGACTGGTGGTCTTTCTCTATCACATGAAGTAAAAATAATGAGAGTATAGCCAATGTAAACTGTAAAGAGTTAGGGGCTCTCCATGTCTGGACACTGTTCTCCCATTGCAGATCCTGCATATATGAGCACTCACTCACCACTATTGATCAGTTTCTCATTTTTTTTTTTTTTTTTTTTTTTTTTTTTTGAGAGGCAGAGTTTCACTCTTGTTGCGCAGGCTGGAGTGCAATGGTGCGATCCTGGCTTACCGCAACCTCTGCCTCCCAGGTTCCAGTGATTCTCCTGCCTCAGCCTCCCGAGTAGCTGGGATTACAAGCATGTGCCACCACACCCGGCTAACTTTGTATTTTTAGTAGAGACGGGGTTTCTCCATGTTGGTCTGGCTGGTCTCGAACTCCAGACCTCAGGTGATCTGCCCACCTTGGCCTCCAAGAGTGCTGGGATTACAGGAGTCAGCCACTGTGCCTGGCCTAGTTTCTCATTTCTTGAACAGGTGTTGATTCTACCAAAATCTGGAAATGAATTGAGTGGTCTGAGTTAGGGATGACTCAGATGTTGCAATGTCCATCTGTGATGGAAGTGTCAGTAGTTCTCTCTTGATCTTAGAGCCAAGTCCCTATGCCAGGTTTTCTTAAGTCCACTCTGTGGTATGCTGTCTTTTTCCTTACCCCACAGATCTGCCCATTTGGCTGGAGATTTTTGGAGGAAGAAGATCTAATAAATAATGCCACAAATGGTGTCATAAATCACCCTCTATTTCTTTCTTTTTTTTTTTTCTTGAGATGGAGTCTTGCTCTGTTACCCCTGCTGGAGTGCGGTGGTGGTTCAATCTTGGCTCACTGCAACCTCCGCCTCCCGGGTTCAAGCAATTCTCCTACCTCAGCCTCCCAGGTAGCTGGGATTACAGGCGCCCACCCCCATACCCGGCTAATTTTTGTATTTTTAGTAGAGACGGGGTTTCACCATGTTGGCCAGTCTGGTCTTGAACTCCTGATCTGGTGATTCTCCCACCTTGGCCTCCCAAAGTGCTGGGATTATAGGTGTGAGCCACCACACCTGGCCTACCCTCTATATCTTTAATCCTGAATGTTATCGCTGAAGCAATGGGGAAGCTTATGGGAACAGGCACATACGTTTTGGGATTTCTGTGGCAGGTTGGATGAGAGTCGTTACATAGGAATTTCCAGCAGAGCATAAAGGACTATGTAAATATTCTTGATGTGACAATATGATATAAAAATATCTTAGTTATCAGTAGTGATATTTAATGATATGTCATGCTACAAATAATTGTGATATTCTAGAATGGAATTTTATGTTAACTGATTTGTCTTTCCCCAATGTCTTCCCCATAAGTGTATCTTATATCTTAGTTAATGTTTGTTGAGGTAAGTCAGTAAATCCATACCTCTGGAATCCACACCTCTATGTTAATGAAGTTGTACTATTTTGCTTACATGATTATGTTATTTTTAATATACTATAGCATGTTATTACCTATCAACTGGAAGTCACTTTGGAAGGTGACTATTTTGTGTTGGTTTTGCCTTTTAGTTTCTCCTCAAAAAGTGAAGAAATAAAGGACTCATCTTTTTGCTTTTAGGAAATGCTGAATGTTCATGATCATTATCAGAACATGAAACATGTAATTTCAGTTGATAAGTCCAAGCCAGATAAAGCCCTCAGCTTGATAAAGGATGATTTTTTTGACAATATTAAGAACATAGTTTTGGAGCATCAGCAGTGGCACAAAGACAGAAAGGTATGCAATCACTTGTTTGGTGCCTCACCATTGTATTTTACACGAATGTTTATCCGTGGATGATAATGTTGGGAGGCAGCCTAGTTTTAGAGGCTGTAATCCTGTGGAGCTAAGATTTATAGGGCTTGGCTTTTCTAGTTCCACTTTTGCCACTTATTAGGTATGTGATGTTATTTAACCTGATAAATGGAGTATATATGTATTTTCTTTTTTTTTTGGTAGAAGAGTAAATAATCTTGTTATACCTCAGATTTATTACAGACTTTATAATTTGGCATTTTTTAGGGGTTGCACACTCAGTCTTTGGGCTAAATCCTGCACACAGATGTGTTTTGTTTGGCATAGTGTTGATTCTAACACTGTTTAAAATTTTTGAGTTAATTACCAAATTTAAGTATTTGTGAACTTCACCTAAAATTCTAGACATACAACTTCTCTTAAAATTCAGAAGGTCTGGTAACACTGATTCCACTTTGCTGCATGACAGCAGACAGTGGGACCTGAGTGGGGGCTTTTCCTACTGTGATAGGGCAGGTGTTTCTCTGTTTACACATTGTCTACCTGGTATGGTTTATCTTTTTGCAAGTCTCATCAACACAGATCTTCAACTTAGTTTATTTAACCAAAAGTATTGATGCTAGAGCTACCCATATTTCACATTAGCCTTTTCCAGCTAGAGAAACTTTTTTTACCCTGGAAACCTAAAGGCTAGCCTTGTGAAATTTACTTTTGAAACTATTACTCCATCTTATTTTAGTAAATCTAGGAAAAAAAATTTTTTTAAAGTAAGCAATTTCTGATTACTTACTATGTGTCTTGATAATGTGTTGGTGTTTTCACAAATGCCACACAGATACTGTTATCTATATATTGTCCTTCAGAAAGATTTCTTGCTACTTTTTCACTTTCTGTTATATAAAGGAAGCTGGCTCAAAACTTAATTTTAGAAAAGATAAACAAGGAAACTGATAAGATGATAGTCTCGGGAAGAAGAAAATAACTTTATTCCTCTGCATTTATTTTAATGAGAGATAGCAAGTTCTAGAATGTTTGGATACTTTAAGTCCTACAAATAGGTTACACAAATGACTTAGGCATTTAATGTAAAAATTTGTTAGTATTCTTTATGTATATGTATATAGACAGGGTCTTCTTGCTCTGTCACCCTGGCTGGAATGCAGTGGCATGACTGCAGCTCACTGCAGCCTCAACCTCCCAGGCTTAAGTGATCCACCCACCTCAGCCTTCAGTGTAACTGGGTTTGCAGACACGTGCCACCATGCCCAACTAATTTTTTTTGTTTTTTGTAGAGACAGGGTCTTGCTATGTTGCCAGGGATAGAACCAGTTTAGTTTTAATTTTTTTTTTTTTTTTAGAGATGGGGTCTTGCTATGTTGCCCAGGCTGGTTTGGAACTCCTGGCCTCAAGCGATCCTCCCACCTCAGCCTCCCAAAGTATTAGGATTACAGGATTAGCCACCATGCATAGCTAGTATGCTCTTTTAATAGATAAACTCTCTTCAAAGAGCATTACTCCAAGCTCTGAAAACCTGAAGGAAAGGAGAATAAGCCCATTTTCTTACTACCACATAAAGACTACCACATGAGTTAGGAGGATTTAAGCATTTTGTTGATGAATTGTAGAACATTTTGATGTAATCTGATGTAATCTTAATGTTAGGTGGTATATAATGTGAATGATCTTTTAGTTTTTCATTTATTAAAAATGATTTCTCACCATTCTAAAATTGATTTGCAGTTAATTGAATTGTAAATTTGTATGTGTGTATGTGTGTATGTATCTTTTTTGCTCTTTTAGAATCCATCCTTAAAGTCAAAAACTAATGATGGAGAAGAAAAAATGGAAGGAAATTCACAAGAAACGGAGGTCAGAAAACTTTGCAATTCATATTATGTGTGGCTGTGATTCTGTATACTGAGCATTGTGACCCATGGTCAGTATTATAAGACATATAAGAGAAAATTCTGAATCATGCTTCTGTGAAAAGGTAGTTTGTTCTTTACTGGAAGCCTTGTGGAGGCCACATCAGGTGTAGATTGGGAGAGAGGATGATAATAATTTTCCGCAGGGAAAGGAAAGCTTGACTATGGAAAGTGCCCTCAGTTCGTAGAGGATCAGGATCAGGCTTTTGTAATATATCTTTTCTCACTTGTCAGCCTTTCAACCAGTGTAGAGCCCAAGCTATTATACTATATACTGCTTCCTGCCTCCAGAGTTTTCATCCATCTTAGTGGATGAGACAAGGAGCCATCTTTGAGTATAGGCAGATGAGGAGGGAATGGCAGTTCAGGGCTCTGCCTGATCACCCAGGCTTTCATTCATACTGTCCTCCTTGAATCCTGAATGAAAATGATCTCTAACTATGGGGATGGTGTTATGGCACCTGCTACATCTGTGAGAGAATATGATGTATGTTTATGTGTGTGTACTCAATGTATACCCAATGTATGTTAGTTTCTTTTACCCTACATTGTGTCTGAAATCTTATTTCTGATAATAAATACTTGGGTATTCAGTTTTTCACCTAATGTTTGTGTGTTTTAACTTTTTTTTCCTTCTTATTTTACATCCAGAGATGTGAAAGGGCAGAATCATTAGCGAAAATAAAATCAAAGGCCTTTTCAGTTGTCATACAGGTAAGTTATTCTTTAATAAGGTAATTTGGAAATTGACTGCTTTTTAAATTATATTTCAATTTTTCATCAAAGTAGTAATACATGTACTTAGTTTTAAAAGTCAAATAATGCTAGAGAGATTATATAGCACAACAGTCCCCTTCTCTGCCACTTCCCACCCTTGTATTCCTAACCTTCAGAGACAGCATCTTTCACTTCTTCTCTTTTAGCAGTTTCTTCTAATATTTACCTGGAATTTTGATGCCATTTCCTTTATTGTCTTCCAGCTTCTAGTATTCCTGATTTTGGAAGGTTTTAGGTTTTGCTTTGTCCCTGGAGTTCTGAAATTTCATTTAATACATATAATGTAACTTGGTGTACATCTTTTTTGTTTATTGCCCTTGGCACTCATGGTGACCTCCTTTCAATCTGATATCCTTCAGTTCTGAAGAAGTTTCTGTATTGTTTCTTTGATACAAATATTCTTTCCTGCATCTTTTCTCTTCTTCAGCTTTTCTTATTTTTCTCTTCTATTTCCAGTCTCTGTCTCATTTTCTGTTTTCAGGGAGATTTCTTAGGCTTTTATCTTCTGAACCATTATATTGATTTAAAAAAATTTCCCCTGATATTTTTTCATTACCAGTAATTTTTTTTGTTCTCTGAATGTTTGTTTTATTTTTTTAAATGTATTTTTCTTTTTCACAGGATGCAATAACTTTTTCTCTTTAAGGATATTAACTACAGTTTTTTTTTGATGGTTCCTCCCATTTCCTTTGAGTTCTTTTTTTTCTATTTGTTTGAACTCTTTCACTTTGTTGGTTTTTTTTTTTTTTTTTGAGACAGAGTTTTGCTCTTGTTGCCCAGGCTGGAGTGCAATGGTGCAATTTTGGCTCACTGCAACCTCCGCTTCCCAGGTTCAAGTGATTCTCCTGCCTCAGCCTCTCGAGTAGCTGGGATTACAGGCATGCATCACCACGCATGGCTAATTTTGTATTTTTAGTAGAGTTGGGGGTTTCTCCATGTTCACCAGGCTGGTCTTGAACTCCCGATCTCAGGTGATCCACCTGCCTTGGCCTCCCAAAGTGCTGGGATTACAGGTGTGAGCCAGTGCACCTGGCCCATTTTGTTGGCTTTTTAAAAATGATTGAAGATCCTCAGATGTCTTTTCATAT
Source organism: Homo sapiens (assembly GCF_000001405.40). NCBI lineage: Eukaryota > Metazoa > Chordata > Mammalia > Primates > Hominidae > Homo > Homo sapiens. The sequence continues at coordinate 61,780,062 of NC_000014.9, forward strand.
TTAAGGGTAGTCAAGAGGAGATCAGGAGCTTATCTAACCTCTAGATTTCTTTGTCTTGGAGCTAGTTATTTAGAGAGCAATCTTTCACTCCCTTGTCTAGGGGAGGAGGGTGGGAAATAAGCCCAGCTGCCAATGTTTTGGGAGCCTACAGAGAGAATCAGCCACGAGGCTCACCATTCCTTATGCAGGTTTCACTCAGCCCCTCTATTTTCAATAAGAGGCCTCATCTCCTTCCTCACCTACACCAGTTTCCTTTGAGCCCACATCCTTTCTCGTTTAGCCTCTTCAGAGAGCAGGCCTTCTGTTTTGTACAGGAGATCAGTTGCCTAGCTCTGAGGTTGAGGAATGAGACACTATTCTCTATAGATTTTCAATGCACCTGCCTGTTTTTTCAGTCCCACCTCAGCCTTCCAAAGTGCTAGGATTACAGATGTGAGCCACTGTGCCCAGCCCTTTGCCCGTTTTTTAACGGGGTGGTTTTTTGTTTGTTGAATTAATTTTCTTATAGATTATGAATATTAGACCTTTATCGAATGCAAAGTTTGTGACTATTTTCTCTCATTCTGTAGGGTTGTCTGTTTACTCTGTTGTTTCTTTTGTTGTACAGAAGCTCTGTAGTTTAATTAGGTCTCACTTTTCAATTTTTGTTGTCAACTTTGTCAACCATCAGGTGGTCGTAGGTGTGTGGCTTTATTTCTGAGTTCTCTGTCCTGTTCCATTGGTCTATGTGTCTGTTTTTGTACCAGTACCATTCTGTTTTGGTTACTGTAGTGTGTCTGTGGTTTCTGCATCCATGGATTGAACCAATTGTGGATTGAAAATATTTGAAAAAAAAAATGCATCTGTACCAAATATGTGTGGACTTTTTTCCTTGCCATTATTCCTTGAATAATATGACAATCATTTACATAGTATTAGGTATTATAAGTAATCTAGAGATGATTGAAAGTATATGGGAGGAAGTGCATAGGTTATATGCAAATACTACACAATTTTATATCAGGAATTTGAGCTTCTCTGGATTTTGGTATACGAAGGAAGTCCTGGAACTAATCCTCCATGGATACTGAGAGACAGCTATACGTGGTTGCTTTTTAAGAATTGTTGGCCGGGTGCGGTGGCTCATGCCTGTAATCCCAGCACTTTGGGAGGCCGAGGTGGGCGGATCATGAGGTCAGGAGATCGAAACCATCCTGGCTAACACGGTGAAACGCTATCTCTACTAAAAATACAAAAAATTAGCCGGGCGTGGTGGTGGGCGCCAGTAGTCCCAGCTACTCGGGAGGCTAAGGCAGGAGAATGGCGTGAACCCCGGGAGGTAGAGGTTGCAGCGAGCTGAGGTCGTGCCACTGCACTCCAGCCTGGGTGACAAAGCAAGACTCCATCTCCAAAAAAAAAAAAAAAAAAAGGACAGAAAAAAGAATTGTTAATACCTGTATTGCATATACAGCATTAACTGAAAATTCTTTGCTTAAGCAAGTAAGGGAATTCACCTACTGATGTAACAAAACAAATCCTTAGCCAGGATTGGCTAAAGATATCTGTGTCGCAGACAAAGCTATCATTAAGACTGGCCCTCCATTTTCACTGCCGTCAAGTGCTGTTTTCCTGACAGCTCCAGCCTTGCATGTTCCCAGCTTTAGCTTCCAAGGCAAGAAAGAATTTTTCCTTCTTAATAGTTAGACAATTCCAAAATAGCATTTCATTAGCCATGATACATACCACATACCCCGCCTGCTTGCCTCCCCACTCCCAACAAATTACCCTGGCCATGGGGATGTTAAACTCATTGTGGCCAGATCTGGGCCACATGGCCAAACCTGGAGCCAAGCGTGAAGTACTTCTACTTGGAATGCGTGGTAGTGCCTAAGGGAAATAAATTTATTAGAAGATGCCTCTACACCTTTGTTGCCTAACCATGCCAGATAATAGAACAACTTCATTTTAAGCCCATGTGAGTAGATGATGATGACAGCTGCAGGAAACTTCATGTTATAAAAATAAGAGACTATTTACATGACACAGGTAGTTATAGTAAGCCAGCCAGGGGTAATAGTAAAGTACTTTATGACAGATATTTCTGTAAATCTTTCCTCATCTTTGATTGTACATTTTGTCTTCCTCTCAATTTTATCATTTGGATTCATTTTATAATTTATTGGTTAATTGGATTGTAACTCTTAAGGCATCCAAATCAAGAAGGCATCGTCAAGTCAAACTCGACTCTTCTGACTCTGATTCTGCATCTGGTCAAGGGCAAGTCAAAGCAACTAGGAAAAAAGAGAAGAAAGAAAGATTGAAACCAGCAGGAAGGAAGATGTCTCTCAGAAACAAAGGTAACTTTTTAAAGTCTTACTAAGATTCAACAAAGGAGAATGGGTTTTATTTACAACTTTGCCTCATGTTTATTTCCTTGTTAAGAAGGATTAGATACTTGTTTGAGAACATTTTTGTGAGATTTAATATTAAAAATAAATTCTGTTAGATTCTTGGAATCTTATTGCTTGAAAGGGATCCTAGGAATCATATCAAATGTATCGTTTTATAGATGATGAAATTTTGGCCTGGCCGGGTGCTATGGCTCATGCCTGTAATCCCAGCACTTTGAGAGGCCTAGGTGGGCGGATCACTTGAGGTCAGGAGTTCAAGTCCAGCCTGGCCAACATGGTGAAACCCTGTTTCTACTAAAAATATAAAAGTCGGGCATGGTAGCGCATGCCTGTAATCCCAGCTACTTGGGAGGCTGAGGCACGAGAATTGCTTGAACCTGGAAGGCAGAGGTTGCAGTGAGCTGAGATCATGTCACTTCACTCCAGCATAGGTGACAGAGCAAGACTCTCAAAACAAACAAACAAAAAAAGAAATTTAGGCCTATACAGATTAAATAACTTGTCTAAAGTGATATATCAATTAATAGCTAGATAGTTATGAAATCAGTCTAGAATTTTCCAGTGCATTTTTTTTTTTTTTTTTTTTTTGAGAGGGAGTTTTGCTGTTGTTGCCCAGGCCGGAGTGCAATGGCACGATCTTGGCTCACTGCAACCTCCGCCTCCCAGGTCCAAGCAATTCTCCTGCCTCAGCCTCCTGAGTAGCTGGGACTACAGGCACCTGCCACCATACCCAGCTAATTTTTTTTTGTATTTTTTTTTAGTAGAGATGGGGTTTCACCATGTTGGCCAGGCCGGTCTTGGACTCCTGACCTCAGGTGATCCACCTGCCTTGGCTTCCCAAAGTGCTGAGATTACAGGTATGAGCCACCGCACGCGGCCTCCAGTGCATATTTTAGTAGTAATTTTTGTGTGCGAATCAAACTTATTTGTAGAATGAGATATAAATAATGCATTCTATAAACCATGTTTCTTTTTAGCTGTATTAAGATGTCCTTTTTCTTTGACACGGTGTATCTGTAAAATTACCTTTCTTCTTAAGGAAATTACTTTCGTATATATTTCAATAGTTTGGTTTGGTTTTTTTTTTTTTTTTTTTTTTCTTGAGACAGAGTCTTGCTGTGTTGCCCAGGCTGAAGTGCAGTGGCGCGATCTCGGCTCACTGCAACCTCTGCCTCCCGGGTTCAAGTGATTCTCCTGTCTGAGCCTCCCAAGTAGCTGGGACTACAGGCGCCCACCACCATGCCTGGGTAATTTGTTTTTGTATTTTTAGTAGAGACGGGGTTTCACTATGTTGGCCAGGCTGGTCTTGAACTCCTGACTTCGTGATTCGCCCGCCTTGACCTCCCAAAGTGCTGGGATTACGGGCGTGAGCCACCGCACCTGGCAATAGTTTGGTTTTTTAAAAATTGTCTGAATAATGTATATGCACCCTACATAAATTTGGAATTTGATTAACAGGTTTACTTAAGGTGAGAAAAAAAGGAGCGTTAGAAACAGTAAATATTTAATGACTAATAATGAAATTCACTCTCAACTACTGCAGGTATATATGAAGATAAGTTAACAGCCTTTTAGCATTTTTTCCCCTATATTGAAGCAGTGGAGGGAGAACTGAAGTTAAATACCTTTAATATGTCCCAGATATGATTAAGTCGTGTAACAGTAGCTTGAAGTGCACTGAGAATTCAGAGGAGATACCATATTTGTTAAGTATGATCAAGAAATAGTTCAAAAGGAGATTTTTCTACTTCCTTTCACAATGCTAAAGGATATTGTGAAGAAAATTGTTAGACTAAACTCACTTATGAGTATTACTGAAAAAATCCTAAGTCACATGTATCAAAAATAATCCTAGACACAAAAATACCTTGACTGAGTACACTTATTTCAGGATGCATTCAGAATCTATTAATATGATTTACCACATCAATAGGTTAAAGGGGAAAATGTGAATTTATTTTAATAGTTACCAAAGAAGACATTTGATAATATCCACCATCCATTCTTGATTTAAAAAAAAAAAATCCTCTAGATCAAGGAGTCAGCAAACAGTTTCTGTAAAGGGCCAGGTAGTAAATAGTTTAGGTTTTGTGAGCCGTGTTTCTGTCACAACTACTCAGCTCTACCATCGTAATGTGAAAGTAGCTATAGATAATACCAACACACACTAGTGTGGTTGTAGTCCAGTAAAACTGTATAAAAGCAGGTGGTTGGTCACATTTGGTCCAGGGGCCATAGTTTGTTAACTCCTGCCCTAGGTAAAATAGAAGATTATTTCTTTAATCTTTAAAGTGTGTGTGTGCACTTGTGTATTAGATTACAAAGTGCCTCATGTTCAATGGTAATATGCAAGAAGTATCACAGTTTTATTTAACGTTGCTCTTAAAGAGCTAGTCAGTGTAATTAGATAAGAGAGTGAAGGGAGATATGACATCAGAAAGAGAGACTAGAAAATTATCATGATATGTGAATGATTTTATGCCTAAAAAAATTCTAAAGAGAATTTGCTGAAAAATAATTAAGAACAAAAATTTAGGGAGGTAAGGGTGACCACTGTAAACCTTACAAAGATTAAAAGGTGACCAAGGCAAAATTATAAATAATTTTATGCCAGTAAGTTAGGTAGCTTAAATAAAATGAATAAATTTATTAAGAGACACAAGTTTCCAGGCCGGGCGCGGTGGCCCATGCTTGTAATCACAGCACTTTGGGAGGCTGAGGCAGGTGGGTCACCTGAGGTTGGGAGTTCAAGACCAGCCTGGCCAACATGGAGAAACCCCGTCTCTACTGAAAATACAAAACTAGCTGGGCTTGGTGGCACATGCATGTAATCCCAGCTACTTGGGAGACTGAGGCAGAATTGCTTGAACCCGGGAGGCGGAGGTTGCGGTGAGCCAAGATCGCGCCAAGATGGAGCCTTTGCGCTCCAACCTGGGCAACAAGAGCGAAATTCTGTCTCAAAAAAAAAAGAGAGAGACACAAGTTTCCAAAACTGATGGAGGAAATCTGAATAGTCTAATGTCTACTGAGACCCCAGAATATCTGAGACAGGTCTCAGTTGATTTAGAAAGTTTATTTTGCCTGGGTTAAGGATGTGCCTGTGATACAACCTCAGGAAGTCCTGAGACATGTGCCCAGTGTGGTCGGGATACAGTTTGCTTTTATACATTTTAGGGAGACATGACACATCATCAATATGTGTAAGTCGTACATTGGTTTGGTCTGGTAAGGCAACAAGTGGGGGCTTCCAGGTTAGAAGTAGGTAAGACAAAAAGTTGGATTTTTTGAGTCTTTGATGGCCTTCCACCTAATACAAATAATACGCAATTTACTCTGGCTCAATGAATCTGCATTTTCACATAAGCAATAGGGGAGAGGAAGCAATCAGATATGCATTTGTCTTAGGTGAGCCTCAGAGGGATCACTTTGAATAGAATGGGAGGCTGGTTTGCCCTAAGCAGTTCCAGCTTGACTTTTCCCTTTAGCTTAGTGATTTTGGGGTCCGAAGATTTATTTTCCTCTCACACTGCTAAAGAAATTAAATTCCCAGGCTTCTCTGGAAATTTTAGCAAACATTTAAGAAAGGAGTGATCTAGATTCTTTCAGAAAATGCAAGAGGGAACACTTTGCAGCTTACTGACATTGCAAGAAAGAACTAAAGACCAATATCCCTTATCTTATCCAAAAAAAAATTCAAAATGGATTATGGACCTAAATTTGAAACCTAAATTATAAAACTTGTGAAAAAATATGTAGGAGAAAAATGTTTGTGTTCTTGGGTTGGGCAAGATTTTTAAATACATGACACAATAACACGAGCAAATCATGAAACAAAAAAAAACTGATAAATTGGCATTCTCAAAGTTACAATTTTTGTCTTCAAAAGACACTGTTAAGAAGATGAGAAGATAAGCCACAGACTGGGAGAAAATTTTTGCAAACTACTACGCTGATAAAGGTCTTGTATCCAAAATAGTAATATTTAAAGAAGTCTAACTCAATAAATATACAGCCCACCCAATGAAGAAATGGCTAAAACATTTCACCAAAGAAAAGATATGGATGGCAAATAATCATATGAAAAGATGCTCTGCATCTTTAGTTACTAGAGAAATGTAAATTAAAACCACAGTGACACTCCACTAAACCCTGAATGGCAACAACAAAAAGACCCCACAAAGCAAAACAAAAATTGTGATGAAAAAAGCTGTTGAGGATTTGGAACAAGTGGAACCTGCATACTTTTCTGGTGTGAATCCAGAATGATGTGGTTACTTTAGAAAACCTGTAGTTTTTAAAAGGTAAACGTGTACTTACCATCCGACCCAGAAATACTATTCCTTGGTATTTACTCAAGAGAAATGAACACTTAATGTTCACACAGAAATGTGTATGCAAAAGTTTATGTGGCTTTATTCATAATTGCAAGAACTGCAAACAGCCTAAAAATCCTTCCACTGCTGATTGGATAAACTGTGGCATATCCATGCAATGAAATACAACCCAGCAATAAAAGAGCTATCATACATCTAACAACATAGATGAATCTGAATTCAGTGTGCTCTGTGAAAGAAGACAGACACAAAAGGCTATATACTCTGTGATTCTATTTATATGACATTCTGGAAGAGGCAAATCTGTAGGGACAGAAAACATATATTTGGTTGCTACGGACTTAGGGGTAGGGGAAGGTATTAAATGCCCAGTGGCACAGAGAAACTTTTGGGGTGATGGAAATCTATATTTTCGTTGCAGTGGTAGATTGCACAGCCGTGCATTTGTCCAAACTTCTCTGTATAGCAAAAATGGGTGAATTTTATTGTATGTTAATAATACTTCAATAAACCTGACTGATGGCCAAACACGAACAAAAAGAGAGGACATAAGGAAAAGATTGTTTAGTTTGATTATATTTCAAAAATTAACTTCTGGTAGATTAAAATGTTTTTTTTTTTTAAAGAAAATGTTCAGCTGAATTAAATTTAAAGGAGTTTAATTGAGCAGTGAACATTTCCAGTATCGCACAGCCCCTAGAATCACGGCAGATTCAGAGACTCCAGTGCAGCCACGTGGTGGAAGATGTATAGCCAATAAAAAGGAAATGAGGTACAGAAATCGGAAGTGAGGTACAGAACAGCTGGATTGGTTACAGCTCGGCATTTGCCTTATTTGAACACAGTTTGAAGACTCAGCAGTGTATGAATGGTTGAAGTACTGCCGCTGGGATTGGCCAAGTCTCAGCTATTGTTAAGGCACATACTCCTAAATTTGGTTTTCAGTCTTGTCTACCTATTAAGCTAGATTGCAGTTGGTCCACAAGGACTCAAATATAGAAGTACGGAGTCCTTCTCAGGCCATATTTAGTTCACTTTAACATAAGTACCAAAGATAGTTAGGTTTAGAAACCCTCACAAGCACTTTTTATTAATTGCCTTCATATAGGCACAGCAACGTGATGAGCTGGCCAAGCTGCTTTCTTGAAGACCTGAAAAAAAAATTTTTTAATGTGGTTGGGGAACAAAGGAGGAACAAGAACAAAATAGGAAAAGAAAGAAGTTAAATGAAATTAACTTTCATCTTGAATGTGTGACAGTTATAATTTATGATCACCAATCATAATTAGTTGCTGAAAACAACTGTTTTGTAAATTCTGAAACTAACTGAAGGACAGGCTCTATAGTACATCTGAGATTTGTTAATGAATTTTCTCAGGGTGTTAGGGAGGATTTACCCATGAGAAAGAATAAAGTATTATAAAATGTGATCTGAATTCAGATCTCCATCATGGCTTAACTAATCCAGCTAAGGTATTGTAAATACTCTGAAGCAGAAGTAGTTACCTGAATAATAAAGACCCAAATGCTTACTTTGTAGTTTCTCATTAATCAAACGTTCATTTCCATACAGTGGAAAGGTGTTTTTGATTTTACAGTTTTTCAAACAGAGGAGCCTTCAGTTCCATAAAAGGCAAAAGATCTTACAAATCCATTTGCACATATGATACTATTAAAATTTCTAATTGTAAAAGAGCTTTTATAAATGAATAAGAAAAGGGCCACCACCCAGTAGAAAAATAGCTTAGGACATGAACAGGCAATAACAAATGCAGGCAGACAGTCAGTGCATATAGGAAATAATTGAATTTCATTTATAATTAAAGATATATAAATTAAAACATGATTTTTATATTATTTGATAAAGATTAAAGATAATACCCATTGATAATGAAAGTGTGAGGAAATAAAATCTCAGTTTAAGTGGGAGAGTAAATTGGCACATTCTTTTCATAGAGCAATTTAGAATCAGGTCAAAATTTTAAATGTACATGCTTTTTAGAATTGCTAGGAATTTATTCTGTACAAATCATAAATATAAAAGGAAATTCATTGCAGGATTATTTGAAATGGCAAACTGTAAACAACTCAAATGTATAATGGGTAAATAAAATTATTGTCAGTCCATACAAAGGAATACTTTGCAGTTACTAAAAAGCTAGGGAGGCTGGGCACGGTGGCTGACGCCTGTAGTCCCAGCACTTTGGGAGGCCGAGGCAGGCAGATCACAAGGTCAGGAGTTCAAAACCAGCCTGGCCAATATGGTGAAACCCCACCTCTACTGAAAATACAAAAATTAGCTGGGTGTGGTGGCGGGTGCCTGTAGTCCCAGCTACTTGGGAGTCTGAGGCAGGAGAATCACTTGAACCCAGGAGACGGAGGTTGCAGTGAGCCAAGATAGCGCCACCGCTCTTCAGCCTGGGTGACAGAGCAAGACTCCATCTCAAAAAAAAAAAAAAAAGGCTAGGGAAAGCTCTGTATTATGAAAGTATATCCAAAATATATCGACTAAAAATAAAACACAACATTATCTATACATTTCATAGTGAAAAGGCTTTTTAAAAAAGTATGATCTCGTTTCTATTAATAAAAAAATATACATACATACACACATGAACATAATATATAGCACTGAAGAAATCTAGATGTGTATGAAGTATTACCAGTGGTTAATTTTCAAGGATAGTATAATGAGAAACTACCCATAAATGTCTGTAACGTTTGGATTTTGTATAACCAAGTGTTACTTTAGTAATCAGTAGAAATCCAAAGACCTTTTTACAAATAAGGTAAACATAATTTCATAGACTCAGACAAGTAGAGGGGCTGGTGTGAAAAAGGCAAAGTAGCTGGGAAGTATAGAGTGAGGGGTCCATTTAGGCTGGATTGTAAAGGGGATATGTTGGGGAGTTAAATGTTAAAAGTGCTGGAAAAATATGTTGAGGATTGTATTGTGACCAGGCCTTAAATGTGGAATCAAGAAGTTTACACTTCAATTGGTAGGCAGAGGGGGAGTCAGCTGAAACTTTTGAGCAAGAAAGTGGCATGCCCAAAGTTTTCCTTGAAGAAAATCAGTCTGGGAGTAGAATGGTAGGTAGCTGGGAACAAACTGAAAATAGGAACACTAAGTAGAGGGCTGTTGCGGTAGTTCAGATTTAGGAGTAACGAGCGTGTGCCACATGGTTGTAGGAATTAGAGAAGCAAGGCTAACAGACATAAGAGCAAATACGGAGACTAGTGGAGAGGGGTGAGACAAGAATGCTTAATGTCTGAGCACCTGGGAGGATATTTGTGTCCTTGCTGGAGAAATACAATGACACAATAAAGATTTCATTGGGGGGAGAATTCGCTCCAGTCCGCCTTGCCAGACTGATTTCTGTAATAATTGCTTGGTGTATTAATGGGTGCTCAGTATATTGATGGAATTTACTTAAGCTTATGTTATTTAAGCTTTAATTATGTGCTCACCATTCCTCGAATATAACATGCATGTTGACAGGACATCAGTAATACCAGTGCTATGATGGATGAAGATGATAGCAACTACTATTTATTAACACTTTTTTTTGAGATGGAGTGTTGCTCTGTCACCCAGGCTGGAGTGCAGTGGCACGATCTCGGCTCACTGCAACCTCCACCTCCTGGGTTCAAGCGATTCTTCTGCCTCAGCCTCCCCACTAGCTGTGATTACAGGCGCTCGCCACCACGCCTGGCTGATTTTTGTATTTTTAGTAGAGACGGAGTCTTAACCATGTTGGCCAGGTTGGTCTCGAACTCCTGACGTTAAATAATCCACCCACCTCAGCCTCCTAAAGTGCTGAGATTACAGGCGCAAGCCACCGCACCCGGCTATGTAACACTTTTTATCTGACCAACTTTTTCTCACATGTCCAAGACCTTCTAGATAATACATAGCAGAACTGAGACTGGAACGAGTCTGTCTGAATCCAAGCCTGATTCTTTAACTGTCATACTGTGCTACCTCCCAGGTCACTGGAGGTGTGGATCTGGAGCTCAGATTAGACATACACTTAAGTAAATTTGTTGTTAGTTGCATTCTAGCTGCCTGACTAGTAATCATTTGTTTGGATAATCAGTAGTGGTCTATTACTGATCATTGCACCCCACACATTTAGCTTTGAGCATAGTAAAACTGCCCACCTGAGACCTTCTAGGGAGTTAGTTTTATGGATAATTGAGGTTAATGATTACAATGTTGAAATTTACTTTTTTGTTCCCTCCCGAGATGGAGTCTTGCTCTGTCGCCCAGAGCTGGAGTGCAGTGGCGCGATCTCGGCTCACTGCAACCTCCGCCTCCTGGGTTCAAGCAATTCTCCTGCCTCAGTCTCCCGGGTAGCTGGGATTACAGGCACCCACCACCATGCCCAGCTAATTTTTGTATTTTTAGTAGAAGCAGGGTTTCACCATGTTGGCCAGACTGGTCTCGAACTCCTGACCTTGTGATCCACCCACCTCAGCCTCCTAAAGTGCTGGGATTACAGGCATGAGCCACCACCCCCAGCCAAAATTTACTTTTTAAAAATTTAATTATTTTTTGCTATCTTTCTCAAATATATTGCATTCTCTTTTATATGTTTCCTTTTTTCTACATTTATCATTTTTGTAATTATAAATACATTAAAGTCAAATATATTTTATGCTCTTATTTTCTGGAACACTGTATCCTTAACATAATTTAATTTTCTCCTGACAAGTCATGGTCACCATCATGAGGATTATGTTACTGGGTTTTATAATGTAATGATTCTATCAAGAAATAGGCCGGGCACGGTGGCTCACGCCTGTAATCCCAGCAGTTTGGGAGGTTGAGGCAGGTGGATCACTTGAGGTCAGGAGTTTGAAACCAGCCTGGCCAGCATGGTGGAACCCCCATCTCTACTACAAATACAGAAATTAGCTGAGCGTGATGGCATTCACCTGTAGTCCCAGCTACTCAGGAGGCTGAGGCATGAGAATCATTTAAGCCTGGGAGGCGGAGGTTGCAGTGAGCTGGGATTACGCCACTGTACTCCAGCCTGGGCTACAGAGAGACTCTGTCTCAAAAAAAAAAATAGCTTAAGTGTGCGGCAGTTTATATTAAATGGCTTCATGCCACAATGCTTTGTTCTTATGTCTTTTTAAAAAAAGAAAATAGTGTTTCTGTTACACTTATTGTAGTGAACATCTTTCTGTTCTCAGTGTGCAGGCTCAGGAGGCAGAGGCAGGAGAATTGCTTGAACCCAGGAGGCAGAGGTTGCAATGAGCCAAGATCGCGCCACTGCACTGCAGCCTGGGTGACAGAGTGAGACTCCATTAAAAAAGAAAAAAAAAAAAAAGCAAGATATAACATATCAAATGATAAAAGTGTTGGGGCAAAGAAAAACAGCATAAAAAATAGTCACTGTTTATGGGGGTTGCTTTTGGGACATGGAAATTGTGTGCTAAATGGTACTTGATATGACAATGGTATCTGATAAATTTGGTTGGGATACTTCTTCAGGTAACAGAAGGTTGATGTAGAGAACCTCTAGTGTTTTTGAAAATGGAAAGTCAATCGCAAATTATGACTAGAGGAATATATCTTGTAGAGCATATGTGGTGAGAAAAGAAAGTATGTTCACATCCAAAAGTAAGGCTGTTAAACTCAAAAATTACATTTGTAATTAATTTAATAAAGTTGAAGTAACATATGTGATTATTCTTTGATGGCTGCAGATATAACCCCTGTCATGTGTGGTAAAGATTAAATATGGTATTTGTGTTTGGCTAATTTTGTTTATTCCTTTTTTCTCTGTTTTCTCTAGTGGAAGAACTAGAGACTATTTTCAAAGTATAAATACAAATATGTTAGTATTTGAAAAAATATAGGTATTCTAGAATGCGTATTTCTGTTACCATTACAGTTTCAGTTTTTACATGTCTAATTTTTATGCTGTAATAATGACAGTTTTTGTAAAATGTTTTCTCAAAGATTATAATATTCTTTGCTTTCATATAAAATCATTTTCTAAATATTTCTAGGCAATGTGCAGAATATACACAAGGAAGATAAACCTTTAAGTCTGAGTATGCCTGTAATTACAGAAGAAGAAGAGAATGAAAGTTTGAGTGGAACAGGTACAGATAAAATTTGGTCAAACTAGTCAAGTAAACTAACTTATACTCGTAGAGCATCAAGGTTTAGAACCCTTGAGGAACATGACAGTTTGCTGTGTGTTCTTGTGATCCTTTCATCTTTGACCCATTGGAGAATTTCAGTATTAGTCATATCATTAATGACATCTCAAAGTCAGGGATAATACAATAAATGAATGGTATGGATACCCATTAGGTATCCTATCAGTTTCATCTTTGTAGAGATGTCTCTGTCAGACCTCTGACCTGCTTTCATCTGGACAGTGTTCCAGTACTTCTAATCCTGACTGCTGCTCTCTTCCAGGAATTTGTTTTCTTTATTTTTTTTTCATGAGACAGGGTCTTGCTGGGTTGCCCAGGCTGGAGTGCGGTGACTTGATCACAGTGACTTACTACAGCTTCGACCTCCCCGGCTCAGGCTATCCTCCCCTCCCGCCTCAGCCTCTTGAGTCACTGGGACTGAAGGCACATGCCACCATGCCTGGCTAATTTTTGTATTTTTTGTAGAGACAGGGTCTCACTGTGTTGCCTAGGCTGGTCTCAAACTCCTGGGCTCAAGTGATCCACTTGCCTCAGCCTTCCAAAGTACTGGGATTACAGGCATGAGCCACCGTGCCTGGCCTAGGAATTTGTTTTCATCTTAATTTGTTTTTTTTACTTGTCTTTTCTCTTTTTCTTTTTCTGCCATTTCCCTTTTGTTTTTCACTGGTGGGGAATATTTTTTTTTCTTTTCTTTTTTTCTTTTTTTTTTTTTGAGACAGAGTCTTGCTCTGTCACCCAGGCTGGAGTGCAATGGCGTGATCTCAGCTCACTGCAAACACCATCTCCCAGGTTCACGCGATTCTCCTGCCTCAGCCTCCCAAGTAGCTGGGATTACAGGCACTCACCATCATGCCCGGCTCATTTTTGTATTTTTGTAGAGATGGGGTTTCACCGTGTTGGGCAGGCTGGTCTTGAACTCCTGACCTTAAGTGATCCGCTTGCCTTGGCTTCCCAAAGTGCTGGGATTACAGGTGGGAGCCACTGCACCCGGCCGGAATATTTCTTTTTGCCACATCTTTTGTAATTTTCATGTTTTTGTGTTTTCTATTACTTTCTTTGCTTTTAATGATCAGTAAACTTTAGGTTCGTGCTGTTTCTAGATGGACAATTATTCGAGTGTTGGTTCTGGCATCTCCTGTGGTAGCCAGAATGATGTGTGGTACTGGTGTTTTGGGTTACATTTCTAGGTTTAATTGAAATGAAATTGAAATCTTAGTCATTTTCTTCTTCTTAGTACTGGCCTAAATACCTTTGAGATCTAGTACCCTGGGTTCATATAATTATAGGGAGGGTGTACCCATATGAAACAACTTCACAGTAACTTATTATTAATTAGGATTTAGAATGACTAAGGGCCACTATCTCAATAGATTGATATTGCAATAGGATTGAGATCTTACTACCTTAATGGAGGTAGTATTTTTTGTTGTTATGTGTTTTTTTTGTTTGTTTGTTTGTTTTGAGATGGAGTCTCGCTCTGTCGTCCAGGCTGGAGTGCAGTGGCACGATCTTGGCTCACTGCAACCTCCACCTCCTGGGTTCAAGCAATTCTCCTGCTTCAGCCTCCTGAGTAGCTGGTACTATAGACATGTACCACCACGCCCGGCTAATTTTTTGTATTTATTTTAGTAGAGATGGGGTTTCACCATGTTAGCCAGGATGGTCTCGATCCCCTGACCTCATGATTCGCCCACCTTAGCCTCCCAGAGTGCTGGGATTATAGGCGTGAGCCACTGCACCTGGCCGATAGTATGTTTTAAACTGCTGTATCATTTTGAAGAAAAAATTCTTGAATATGTCAGGTTTAAGATTTTTTTGTTGTGTCTTTGCTGTGAGGGCATTCTTATTGTGTTGTACCAGTTAGACGTCTATGTAGTTGAAATGTGTATTATCAATTAGGTATTATCATGTAAGTGTCAGTTGTTTTTTTTGTTTGTTTTTTTTTTGTTTTTAGATCTGACTGACTTTTAAACTTTATGTCTTTAGAGTTCACTGCATCCAAGAAGAGGAGAAAACACTGAACAAAGAGCCTGGTGTAGTTTTTAATTTTGAGTTTTCTGACAGAAGAAAAGATTGATATTTTGTGTATTGAACAGGAAGACTGCCAGTATTAAAAAAATCCTTCTGGGAATCTGTAGGTTATTTCTTGGAAATTGCAATACGTAGTTCTAGAATAAAAGTACAAAAAATTAGAATAAGAATTCTTTAACATTTTCTTTAATGATTTGCATAAATGGAGATAAAACTTGTATTTAGTATGTAATAGAAAAAATTCTGTTATTCGCAGATTGTTACTATTTCCTATAAGGTTTTGTGATACTATACTGTCCTAATACAGTCTGGTAATACTATTCTATTTTATTTAAAATATTTTTTATTGAAATATTAATGTTTATTACATGCAAATAACTATTTTGTATCTACAGTCGGATAATGGATTTTTTATTTTGTATATTTATTCTATTTTGTATATTGTTAAGTGCAATAAAGTTTTTGCCTTGCTTTATTTTTTAATACATAAAACTTACATTCTCATAACGTGATTGATAACTTAGGAAGTTCACAATGTATTTTCTACTTCTGCAATTAAATATTCTTTAGTGCTTGTTTATTATTACTAAATACTAATTAAGTACTAACAAGTACTTAAATACTAATGTATTAAGTATTTAAGTACTTTCTAATAAAATCTTTAACAATAATAATGTAAATTTCAGAATGTGTCTCTGGTACAGAATAGTTGATATTAACAGAAAAAAAAAAATCTGTAGCTTCATGAATATGCCACTCTGTTAATTTCTTGTTCCAGACATTTTAATAGAGATTGCTTGAGCCATGTTGTTTGAATTGCTGCCAATAGCAGACCATATCCCTATCATGTTGTTGGCTCAACTGTTTTTTTTTTTTCCCTAATAGAGATGGAGTATCGCTATGTTGCTCAGGCTGGTCTTGAACTCCTGGGCTCAAGCTATCCTCCTGCCTCAGCCTCCCAAAGTACTGGGATTATAGGTGTGAGCTACTGTACCCAGCCTTAACCTGTTTCACAGTTGATTATACTTCATGCTGTTTTCCAGCATGGTATTATTAAGGGATTTAAAGTTTGGGTTGCATGCCTGTAATCCCAGCATTTTGGGAGGCCGAGGTGGGCGGATCACGAGGTCAGGAGATCGAGACCATCGTGACTAACACAGTGAAACCCCGTCTCTAATAAAAATACGAAAAATTAGCCAGGCGTGGTGGCGGGCGCCTGTAATCCCAGCTACTCGGGAAGCTGAGGCAGGAGAATGGTGTGAACCCAGTGAGCCGAGATCGTGCCACTGCACTCCAGCCTGGGCAACAGAGTGAGACTTCGTCTCAAAAAAAAAAAAAAGTTTGGGTTGAAGATCAAATTCGTGATATCTCTATATCTAATCTTTAAAAATCAGAATGCTAATGCTGACGCAAATAAAATTTTCATTTATTAGCATTCATGCAGTCACAATTGTTTCCTTTGATTCCTTTGACTTCAAATATATTTGGTCATAGAGGGGGCAGTTTTCATAATGTAGACATTAGGTGGAGCATCTTGGATTTAAACATTCTAGGGTTGGGGTGTAGATCCATTATTGGCCCCACTTGATATACTAGGTTGTTTGCCAGAACTTGTCTGACTGTTAAAAGTTTATAGACATTGTACAGCTAACACACTGAGTTGCCCTCTCTTTTTTCATAACTGTACTTATAAAATACATGCTATTGTTTCACTTGTACCTCAAGATGGTTAGTGCCCTGCCCCCATTCACAAAGTTAGTAAGTCATGCTTCTGAGTTATAAACACAGGGCTCAGTCTTATAATTTCAGTTTTTTTAAATAAGCCAACACGTGGAAATCCAGAAAGATACTTTTTTAACTATAAGCAGTAAAACTCCACTTCAAAATGGCTTAAACGAGAAGGAAAATTTATTAAAATCAGGTGAGTTCCAACAAAGGCTGGCTCTGGCTTATATAGTACATCAGTTCCGTGATGGCTTCATATACCTAGGTTTCCGTTTTTTCCTTTTTTTTTTTTTTTTTTTTTTTTTTTTTTGAGACGGTTTTGCTCTGTCACCCAGGCTGGAGAGCAGTGATGTGATCCTGGTTCACTGCAGCCTCAATCTCCTGAGATCAAGCTATCTTGCCACCTCAGCCTCTTGAGTAGCTGAGTCTACAGGTGTGTGACCACATGCTTGGCTAATTTTTTTTTTTTTTTTTTTTGATACAGAGTCTCCCTCTGTCACCCAGGATGGAGTGCAGTGACATGATCCTGGCTCACTGCAACCTCCGCCTCCCGGGTTCAAGCGATTCTTCTGTCTCAGCCTCCCGAGTAGCTGGGATTACAGGCATGCATTACCATGCCCGGCTTTTATATTTTTAGTAGAGATGGGGTTTCACTATGTTGGCCAGGCTGGTCTCAAACTCCTGACTTCAAGCGATCTACCTGCCTTGGCCTCCCAAAGTGCTGGGATTACAGGAGTGCACCACCGCACCCGGCCGCAATAGTGAGTTTTTCATGAGTATATGTTGAAGATAAGGTATGAATCAGTTGATAGACTTGCTTTAAATATGAAATTGAAGTTCATTGAACAGAGTTCAATCTGTGTTTTACAGTGAGTTTTCAAAATTAAAGTATGAAGTCCAAATACTAGTTATCTATTAAGCTACTTATATTGCCAACTTAATTATAATAGCTGTACCAAGTGATAAAGGCATGATTTCAGTATTAAATATTTGCTGAATTAATATTTTGTGGGAGAAGAAGGGTCGTGGCAGTGTATATAAACATACACTGTGTTTTAAAATCATACCACTCCCAGAAATCCCCGTATATGAAAGTGTTGTTCAAAGTAGATAATTAGAATTAGAGTAGTATTAATGTTATATACCAGGTTTATTTGGGGTATCTTAAAACCCATGAATAAAAAGTGGAGTCATAAGGAAAATGCAGCTTGTATGGATGCTTAATTAGGGGAATATTTTTCACTTTGGAAGTAAAGTATCCTAATTTCTTCAGAAGAAAACTACCCTGGGAATATGCAGTTCTCTATGAGAAATCATAGTGTCATCTTTGTTTTTTTTTTGTAGTACTATTATGAGTTTATGTTGTAAGCACATCCAAGATCCCATCTGGGTTTATAACCCCTTTGTCTTAATAACTCAAAGTTTTCCTAACTGTGAGTGGATATATTCAATGAGGAGAAACATTCCCAGTCTCTTTAATACCCAATTAAAGTGATTGTTCCCTGAGACAGACACAGTTGTACCATTTGCAAGCAAAAGGAAAGACAATGAACAAACTTTTGAGCAAAGGCTTTGTCTTATATAGGGATTTTTCAGAACAGCGATTTATTAGGGAACTACGTTAAAAACTTTAAAGTGCTACAAAACTATTTTACTGACTTGTTCAAAAATATTAAGAACTGCAGAGTGCTTTGGAAATGGAAATGCAAAGATATAAACGCTAAACTTCAAAATAATTACAGCTAAAAAGTAAGCTTTTAAAAAGTACTTGGATGCCAAGGAAACCAAAGTAATTGTGTGGTGACTTTTGAAGCGGCTTTTTAAAGTTATAATAATTGAAAGCTTATGTGTTTACACAGATCTTCAGATTGATATGAGACCAAGCTCTCATGGCTTGACAACTGAAGGAGACCCAGGTTTCTTTTTTTTAACTTGAATTGGCTACAATACATATTTTATTTCCAATAACCTATTTTGGTTATGACAAAAGATTTACACATGTATATAGAGATAAAATATCTTTAATTGCGGTATCTTTAAAAATGAGCTTTATGGGCTGGAAATTACTTTCATTTTGATGTAAAGAGCCCAGGAAAATAAGCATAATTACTAATGCCTTCCTAACTTACCCTTGATTCTTGAATTCTAGTTTAAAGAATGCTTGCTTTTTAAATGCCATTGAGCAAACTCTGTGGGTGCTTAAGTATTCACGTTTTCATTTTGAACACGTTTTCATTTCATCTTTTGAACAACTATAGAGTAATTTTCATTGCACATTTTTCTTATTCCCTTTATGAAAGTAAATGTCAAAGCCTCGACTTCGGGTTGTATAATTTTTTTTATGTGGTATTTTTTATGCCTGACTTATTTATTTTAATGTGCTGTATATTGCAGGTCTGAATTTTTCTTTTTATGATGAATTCGGGCTGCGTCCTTTAAGTTACAAGGAACAAAGTCACATTGACATTATCTTAAATGCTGGAGGCTTATTTTAATACTTGATCAGAGGCACAACTTCTTGGAGAGCTGGAAAAAAAATGTAGTGAACACCAGCAGCTTAGACGGCTGGGCTGAGTCCTTGCTTTTGAAGTGGATGTCTATTGCCCTGTAGTTACAATGTGCATCCTCTTATTCATGTGCTCTCCAGCTTCCCTGCCCACTTTCCCCTTTGCTACTTCTCTTGTTCTCTATAGTCCCTGAAAGAGGATCAGATTGATTCTATTAGTTATAATCCAAAATAGAGCTCCCTGATAGGGTGCAGATTATTCTGGCTACTGGCCTCCTTTTTTTTTTTTTTTTTTTTTTTTGAGATGGAGTTTCGTTCTTTCACCCAGTCTGGAGTGAAGAGCCGCAATCTTGGATCACTGCAACCTCCACCCCCCAGGTTCAAGTGATTCTCCTGCCTCAGCCTCCCAAGTAGCTGGGACTACAGGTATGTGCCACCACGCCCGGCTAATTTTTTTTTTTGTATTTTTAATAGAGACGGGGTTTCACCATGTTGGCCAGGCTGGTCCCAAACTCTTGACCTCAGGATCTACTCCTCTTGGCCTCCCCAAGTGCTAGGATTACAGGTGTGAGCCACCACACCCAGCCCCGCCTCCCTCCCCCACTTTTTTTGAGACAGAGTCTTGCTCTGTGGCCCAGGCTGGAGTGCAGTGGTGCCATCTCGGCTCACTGCAACCTCCACCTCCTGTGCTCAAGCAATTCTCCTGCCTCAACCTCCTGAATAGCTAGGATTACAGATGCGCACCACCACACCTGGCTAATTTTTGTATTTTTAGTAGAGATGGGGTTTCACCATGTTAGCCAGGCTGGTCTTGAACTCCTGACCTCAAGTGATCCGCCTGCCTTGGCCTCCCAAAGTGCTGGGATTACAGGTGTGAGCCACCACACCCGGCCTGGCCTCCCTTATGTCCAACTGAAAGGATGATGCCCCTTAACTAGGACATAGATCCCTGATACAATCAATTGTGGACAGTATAGAAGGGTCGTATACCTCAGGACAGGGCAAATTATGGGGAAGGACCCAACTCTGTCAGCTTTCTGCAGAAGGGGTTGTGAGTAGGGCAAGCCTGTAACATTTCATGGATTTGTCATTCTATTCATGGATTTGATGGAAATGATAATGATGGCAAACACAGTCGTAAATATTTTAACTTCATAATGTAAACAAGTAATGGCAAAAATGTTCACTTGGCTGGACATGGTGGCTAATGCCTGTAATCCCAGCACTTTGGGAGTCTGAGGCAGGTGGATCACCTGAGGTCCGGAGTTCAAGACCAGCCTGGCCAACATGGTGAAACCCTATCTGTACTAAAAACACAAAAATTAGCCGTGTGTGATGGCACGTGCATGTAGTCCCAGCTACTTGGGAGGCTGAAGTGGGAGAATCACTTGAACCAGGAGGTGGAGGCTGCAGTGAGCCAAGATTGCACCACTGCACTCCAGCCTGGGGGACAGAGTGAGACTTTATCTCAAAAAAAAAAAGAGAAAAGAAAAAAAAAAGTTCAGTTGATGCAGCATTGCACAGTGGAAGAGTATCAGACAGCGTGGATTTGCTCTGAGATTACAATCTGCATATGAGACGTAATAAAATCTACCTGTAAGTTAGGGATGGATATATCCCATTTTATCCTCTTCCATCCTTTGAGATATTGTCATCATATTTTACTGCTATGATATAAACCCCATCATACAGTTATATTCTTACTTTAAATAAAGGAAAAAATAGGAGAAAAAGCTGTTACATTTACCCACATGGGAACCTTATCCACTGCTCTTCATTCCTTCATGCAAATCTATGCTTTCACCTGGGACAATTTTCCCTCAGCCTGGAGACATTCTTTTAATTTATTGAAGCTTAGTTCTGTTGGAGATCAATTCTATCAGATTTTGTTTTTCTGAGTCTTTATTTAACCATTTTTGAAGGATATTTTTCCTGGATTTGAATTCTAGGTAGACACCTCTTTTCTTTCATCACGTTAAGGATTGTTGCATGTCTTCAGCCTTCATTGTTTCTGATGAGAAGTTTTCATTCTTACCCATTTTTTGGTATATAACACGCCCTTTTTCTCTGGCCACTTTTAAGTTTTTTTTTTTTTTTTTTTTTACTTTATTTTCAGCCATTTGCATGATGTGCCTAGTGCAGTTAATTTTTCCAGTATATTGTATATGTTTTTCTGTACTGGTCTCACTTGCTTCTCTTTCTAGGACTCCAATTACATGTCTGTTAACTGCTTAATACTGTCCCAAATGTTATTGTGGCTTCCTCCCACACCCCCAGTAATTTTTCTCTCCGTGCTTCAGATTGAATGATTTGACTTGTCTTCAAGTTCATGAATTATTTCTTCTTTTGTATTCAATCTGCTGTTAATCCCATTCAATAACTTTAATTTTAGATGTAGTATTTTTCAGTTCTAACATTTCTCCTTGGTTCTTCTTCATGGTTTTCATATCTGCACTGAAATGTCCCATTTCTTCACCAATTATAACATTTTTTGCTGTAGGTTTATACTATTTTATAGATACTATAAATTTATACTGTAGGTGCTATAAGTTTAGCAAATTTAGCTACCTTGAAGTGTTTGCTAGTTTCAACATTGGGGGCATCAGTATGTCTGTTTCCCCCAAAGAGTATATCTGTTTTTATTGACCGATTTATTTTTTTATTGACTGTGGTTTACATTTTCATGTTTCTTTCCCTGTCTACTAATATTTTATTGTATGATAATACATGTTAGGGACTCTGAATTCTATCACCTTCCTCTAAAGAGTGTTGAGTTTTGTTCTATAAGGCAGTTAAGTTATGACAGAGCATCTTATACTTAAAGGGGCTTGATTGTAGGCTTTGTCAGGGTGGATCTATTCAGCTTGATCCTTAGTTTTAGGGCAAATCCCTTAGTCCTGGAAGTGGTCCCTAAATCTAAGGTGTGGGCTTTTTGAAGTTTAATGGAAACCGTGAAGTGTTTGCCACATCACTCTATTCTTGCAAGACTTGAACTTTGAACTCAGGAGACCTTTGGGTGGTCAGCTGCTGAAATACCCACTCGGGACTTTCAGATTTCTAGCTCTTTGCCCTAGAATCATGGGGGTTTTTGCCTTGCTTGCAGCCAAAGATCTGAGGGGATTTTATACACAGATTTTGGAGTTTCTATGATTGCTCCTTTTAGGGATTTCCCATCTTGACTTCTAACCACTCTGACAGCCCAAACTCCATTCTCTGACTCCTCAGATAGGTAAGACTATGACATTCTGCCTGAGTCCTACCTGCCCAGTGCCATGGACAGGGGAGTGCACTCAGGTAAAGTTGTATAAACATGCATATCTCCTTTACAGCATTGAATCCCTTACAGTTGCTATCACGGAAAGTAATCATTAGGTGACATCCCCCTATTTACCCTGAAGTTACTGAACCATCTTCCCTGGATTTGTGCAGGGTGTCTCCTAATTTACGAAGATTCCAATTAGATTGGGAGTATGACTTAACTCATTTAAGTCACCCAAATGCTATTTGATCATAATTTAGTGTCTTGTTAACCTAATGGCTTGAAATAAATTGACGCACTTCTGAAAATAGGGTAAAAATCCCTGATTTTTCAAGGAGGCTAATCTTCCGTAAATGCTAAGCACTATAGAATCAATTATGTTATTAATTTGCTCTTGGTTGCAAGCTACAAAGCTTGATCAGGCTAATTACAGATTATGCTCTGAGGAAAATATTTTTATATGCACTATTTTTTTCTTGCAGGCACTTTAATATGAGGTTTTAAAAAACCTTACTTAAGACAAATAAAAAAGAAAACCTTCATGTAATTACTTTACCTGCAGGCTAATTTTTAAATACTTCAACACCGTAACAATTAAATGGGCTATGTTAGCTTCAGTTGACAACATTTATTTATTTATTTATTTGCAATGAGACCTCATAATATCCACCAGGCTGGTCTCGAACTCCTGGGCTCAAGAGATCCTCTTGTCTTAGCCTCCCAAATAGCTGGGCCTACAGGTGCCAGCCATTCTGCCTAGCTAGTTGATCACTTTTAGGGAAGGCAACACCCACAAGATTTGTTGGACCTGAACTTCTTATGGTGTGTCTGATTTTAAATGAAATGAATTTTGCTAAAGTCTCACAAATGGTTAACTCTTCTGCCTTTATTACATGTTTTAAATAGTTGATTTATCTCTTAGTTTCTTGCAGCATAATTGGTATATTGCTTCTCTTGCTAACATGTCATTTTACTGTAGGTGGTTAACTGAATGTATTCTCTCTGTAAATTTCAACAAGTTGCTCATAAAATTTTCCCAGCAGAAACTTTTTGTTTCGTATTTAAAAACTGAATACACTGTCCTTTATTTAGAGAGTGTATGTTTGGAAAATCATCCTGTTTATTTGTAAATAAAGATGAACCAGCCAGTCACAAGATATAGTTTGTCTTGTTACCACTTAAAAAAATCCCTTATATTTACAAATATAATTCATTCACAAAACTACCCTTGATAGAATTAGGACTAAATTGCTTTATAATGTTTCTGGATCTCCATAATTGAGACTGAATTTCCTCAGAAAAGAAAATGAAGAATATAGAGTGACTCCTCAGGGTTGTCAAGTCAGAATCACCTTGTTCTTTGGTGGATTTAAATATGTTTTCTGATATAAAGTTTTAACAAAATGAGGAGACTATCTCTAGCAATTTGTACAGGCTAGATGACTACAGGAAATGAAACCAGGCAGGTGTAGCCTACTAGGAAGGCCTCGTTTGGCCTGAAACTTGTGGTGCCAAGAGGAGATAAGTCCTGGCCTGGTCAATAGCTCCATCCATTTAGTTTTTAATTTTTACTTTTTTTGTTCTGTATCTGAGAGTTTATTTATATCTGTCTAGATACGTTTTATATTTTCTTGTTCTTTGATTAGCTTTTCAGTTTCATATTTTATTTCTTCAAATATTTCAAGCATAATTAATTTACATCCTGTATATTAATTTCAGTATCTGCAATTCAACCAGTCAGTCTATTATTTGTTGTTTTGCTGATTCTCACTCTTGGTGATTTGTATCCTTGTTGTATTTGGTGGTGATCTTTATTTGGAGCTCAAATTTTCTTATACTGAATCCTGTGGATTTAATTTGGGATGCTCTCCTTTAGAGAGGATTTATGTTTGATTCTGCTATGAGCCAAGAATACTATTGTTCTGATACCTCTAAAGTCCTTTGAGTCCTTGGAATCTTAGGTTACACTCCAAGTTTGATCTTTTGATTTCAGGAATTATTAGATGAACTCTGCTTCATTGGTTTCTACTCCACTTGCTTAATATCCTACTGCCTCTTGCTCTGGTTTCAGCTAATTGTTTTGTTTTTCTCCTTGGAGATTCTGCTACTTTCTGGTGAGCACAGGAATGCATTAACCTTTTTCTTTAGTAGTATATTCAGGAGGGATGAGAAGGCCCTTTGAAAATATCTGTCTGTCATCCTGCCAGAAGTGGAAAGTCCTAGTGGGTATTAATTTATCAGAAGAAGAAACAAAGGCACAAAGATGGCATGTAGTATGCTTAAGATCACAGAGCTGGTGAGTAGTGAGGCTGTTATTGGAAGCCATGTGGTCTGGCTCCAGAGCCTACGATTTTAACCACCACACACGAGTCTGAACCTCAGTGGATATTGTATAAGTATTGCAAAGAATACATTCATGTAGAGCCCTCATGAATGTGATTAGTGCCCTTATAAAAGAGGCCCCAGAGAGACCCCTTACCCCTTCCACCGTGTGAGGTGACAGGGAGGAATGGACCCTTGCTGGGCACTGAATCTGCCAGCTACTTGATCTTGGACTTCCCAGCCTCCAGAACTGTGAGAAATAAATTTATGTTGCTTACCAGCACCCAGTTTACTGCGTTTTATTATAGCAGCCCAAAGAGACTAAGACAGTTAGTAAATGAGGACTTAATTATAGAGAACTGTGACCAGTTCACTATCTTCATGGAGGATAAAAAGAAGGATAAGAAGACTTTCAAAATAGATATCTTTAATTAGATATGAGTAAGATATTTTAAAAGTTTGTTAACACTAAATTTGTTTCCTAGTGGCTACTTGTCAGCATTTAGTGGCTCTTCATTGTAGATAGAGAAAACTGAAGCAGAAACTCCTAGGTGTGAAATTCCAGGTCTCCAGGCAGTTTTATTATTCTGTAACCAGCTGCTGCTACCTGAGCTAGGTAAGTATTAGATGTATTAGGATGTATTAGAAACACCCGGCTAGCTCATGTGCGGATTACAGTGTCCCATTGCTGGCTTCAGATCCAGTAAGTGTTGGTTAGGGGCTAAAAATCTGCATTTTTAACAATTTTCCAGGTGATTCTGGGCTGGGTAATCTGAGGCTTATACTTGGTGAAAGCTGGCCTAGGCTTGTCTTTGGCAAAAATGGAGATTTATGATAATGCATTCCTGGGTCCCTGTTCTCTCTCTCGTCCAAGCATACTTAACCCCAGGGTGAGTGTGTCTTGCTTGAGACTGTTAGTGTTATTTCCATAACTGTGTACTTTTTGGGCTATTTTTTGAATGACTGCTAAAAAGTCCTTTTTTTTTTCTTTCCCCCAAGACAGAGTCTTGCTCTGTCACCCACACTGGACTGCAGTGGCGCAATCTTGGTTCACTGCAACCTCCACCTTCTGGGTTCCAGCAATTCTCCTGCCTCAGCCTCCCATGTAGCTGGGACTACAGGCACACACCACAATGCCTGGCTAATTTTTGTATTTTTAGTAGAGATGGGGTTTCCCCATGTTGACCAAGCTGTCTCGAACTCCTGACCCTCAAGTGATCCTCCCGCCTTGGCCTCCCAAAGTGCTGGGATTACAGGCGTGATCCACTGTGCTCAGCCTAAAAAGTACTTTTTAAAAATAGGCTTTATTTAGTGACAATAAAAATATCAATAGAGTATTCACACATATGGCTTTGAACAGTACAGCCATCCGTTTGACCTACTTGTCTGCCTAGTCTACAGACTCTTATTTTTCCCTGAAACTGGTTATTCCCACACTTAATTCTACTTGTAAATTTCTACCTCATAGATTCCTTAACTACTCGCCTTGCCTGTACGTGTTCAGACAGCATAGGGACAACTTGGAGTGGGAGACAGGCAACCATAAGCCAGTGGTTTTCTGGGTTTAGGTCACTGAATTTCTCCAGTCATTGTTGGAAATTTAACCATCAAACCTAGGCCCTGCCTTCCACCTTCCAGACCAGAATTCTACCTGAGTGGCCCTGTCTTACTTCTGTTCATTCTCCATATGACTTGCAAGGATTAAATCAGAACGTAATCCTATTTATTATCTAATGGCTATTTTTAAGATCCTATAATTTTTATTACCATATTCTATGTCATATTTGAATGTTCTGAAGTTCTTGAGTTCAGAGGCTTAGGAAATATACAGAGATACTATTGCAAAGAGATATAGACACCTAATGAAACTCAAAGATAAGTTCTATAAAAACAATTAAAAAATGCCTCTCCTTTGGTGTCAGATAAAATGCTCAGTAGCTTGCAGGCCACACGCACAGCTAAAATAATTTTTCCATTTCCACCTACGGCAACAAAGAAAAAGCAATAGCTATTTCAACCAGAAATAGTCTCCACGGTGACACAGACCCACTCAGCATGTGGCTGCAGCCCTTCACCCTGCCTTGCTCTCATTTCTTGTTTATAGCCGGAGTGTTGATATAGTCAGCAGGATGCGGTCATCAGCCAAGGGTCAGAGGGCCTATACAGTAACTTCTGTGCAGTTGTATAAAAGGTCTTTGTCCTACCTTATTCTGGAAATTAACTTAAGCAATGTGAATGGTGACATCTGAATTACAATTATGGCAAATAAGTCAGAAGAGCCCTGCAAGAATCATAAATTATCTTTGCTGAAGTTTTTTTTTTTTTGTTTGTTTGTTTTGGTTTTTTTTTTTGAGAGGGAGTCTTGCTCTGTCACCAGGCTGGAGTGCAGTGGCATGATCTCAGCTCACTGCAATCTCTGACTCCCTGGTTCGAACAATTCTCCTGCCTGCCTCAGCTTCCCGAGTAGCTGCGATTACAGGCACGTGCCACCACGCCCAGCTAATTTTTGTATTTTTAGTACAGACAAGGTTTCACCATGTTGGCAAGGCTGGTCTTGAACTCCTGACCTCGTGATCCGCCTGCCTCGGCCTCCCAAAGTGCTGGGATTATAGGCTTGAGCCACCGTGCCTGGCCAGCTAAAACATTTTTAATGCAATTGTTCAGTCTTGCCCTTTCTCTGTCCCAATCTCTATTATGTATATACAGTCCCAAGAGCTAACATTCACCCAGACCACCTGAGCCTGTCCTCCTACCCTTCATCTTCAAGGTTTCCAGGCCCTGGGCATTCTCCTCAGCATTCTCCCTCTTCACTCCTGCTGTGGCTTCACTCATTTCTTCCAACCCCCTGAGCCCTATGGCTGGCTATTTTGGGGACACAGTAACCCAGAATTCAATTTCCATTTGCTTCCACTACCTGCTTCCAAATGGCTGCCTTGCCTTCTGCACTTCTGAGGTCTAATTCCAGGAGGGCCCCCACTGCTGGCCGGAAGTCCTTCTCTTCTATTCATCCCTTTCATTTCCTCTTCCTAATAGAGACATCTTAAAACCTCTTCCATGCTCCTAAATCCTCAAATCCACCTCTTCCACTTCCTTCTTGGCAACTAAGCTCAGGTCCTATATTGTAGAGAAACTTGAGACCACATCGCATGCCTGAGCTCCCTCAACCTCCCTCTTCATAAAATCCTTTTGCATCATAACATTCTCTTTCTCTACTTATGTTTCTGAGACTGAAAATGGTTCGTTTATCAAAGATGAAATTCTCTGCCTGTCCTGGCCATGCTGCCACTAACACCTGTTCCTACCTTTCTTTGCATTTTATTTTTGAGACAGAGTTTCCCTCTGTTACCCAGGCTGGAGTGCAATGGTGTGATCTCGGCTCACTGTAACCTCCGCCTCCCAGGTTCAAGCGATTCTCCTGCCTCAGCCTCCCAAGTAGCTGGGATTACAGGCTCCTGCCACCACGCCTGGCTAATTTTTGTAGTTTTAGTAGAGATGAGGTTTCACCATGTTGGCCAGGGTGGTCTCGAACTCCTGATCTCAGGTGATCTGCCCTCCTTGGCCTCCCAAATTGCTGGGATCACAGGTGTGAGCCACCACGCCTGGCCTTTTCTTTGCATTTTAGATCTTTCCTCTCTAGTGGCTCTTTCCTCTTGCTTCATAAGTGTACTGAAGAAATCCTAGCTTGCTATGGAGTTATGCATTTTTCATTCCTGTTACATAATTTCACGTATCATATGGGTCTCCCCATCTCTAACTAAACTTTACTATCTCCGGCCTTAGGTGTGGAGGCAACCAAAAGATCCAAAATCTTGGCTTTTGAATTTCAAAGGTGAAGGTCCAAATGTAAGACACAGAGATTTGCAAGAAAGCAGGATGTTTCAAGAGTGAGTTTTCCAGCCTGTTAGGAGATAGGTTTCCTTAGCCATGGAGAGGGGAAGGGACATAAAGGACAGCAGTGAGGCAAGAGTCTGCCGAGGGTATACGAAGACGATGGCAGACACTGACGGTGGGCCAGGCAGTCATTCCCACCCCCTTCTTCCTTGTTGGCAGAATCCACTTTGTGCCATAAACGCTGAAAATAACAGATGCTTGCGTTCCCAGCCTCCAGTGCCACCAGAATGGTGGAGAAGGCCTTTGAGGGCTTTTACAAAGATTTCTTTCTCTGATAAAAAGAAAGAGACGAGGCTGGGCGCGGTGGCTCACGCCTGTAACCCCAGCACTTTGGGAGGCTGAGGTGGGTGGATTACTTGAGGTCAGGAGATTGAGACCGTCCTGGCCAACATGGTGAAACCCTGTCTCTACTAAAAATACAAAAATTAGCTGGGCATGGTGGTGGAAGCCTGTAATCCCAGCTACTCGGGAGGCTGAGGCAGGAGAATCACTTAAACCCGGGAGGCTGAGGTTACAGTGAGCCAAGATCACACCACTGCACTCCAGCCTGGGAGACAGAGTGAGACTCTGTCTCAAATTAAAAAAAAAAAGAAAAAAGAAAAAAAAAGAGTGAGAATGACAAGGAGGAATATCCCCCTCTCCTACCAGATTTGGGAGATTTTGTGCTGCAGCAGCCTTACTGCCGAGGAGGAAAGTGGGGAGTCCAAGTTCTTATGGGCGTTGTGGAGATGCTAAATCAACCACGGGTGGATCCCTTGATATATAACAAGGTGTGTTATTGTTTAAGCCACCTTATGCAGTTACATGGGGCTGAAAACATCCAATACCCCTTCTTAGAAAAGCATCCCATTGTCATGCATTGGCTGGGAGGTGGTAGAACTTCCAGATAGGCTGGGGAAATTGAGCCATAAGGGGACCTTTGTCTCATGTCACATTAAATGTCTTGCTTGGTGGTCCATCATGCAGAGCTCCCCTCCACCACATAGTAAGGGAATGGTAAGAAAGAAATGGTTGTTTGGCTTGTTAGAAAAGGCCTGAGACTCCACAGATCTCACTGTTTTCTTAGAATGGAATGGGTGAGTAGCCAAACTTGTCCTCTCCAGAGCAACAGGAAAGTCAAGGAGAAAAAGTCAGACCTGAAGGGGCTTTGGTGTGGAGGAGAAGACAGAGTGGTGGCTGCCACCCACACTCATGGCTGTGGAGGTCTGACGAGCTCTGAGGTCCAGACAGAAGAGGTACCTCCCAAAAGGGACAGATGGGGCCTGATACCTCTTACCATCCCTGATGCTACCCAACCTGTCCTTCCAAACATGGATGCAACCCCAAGAAAAAATGGGGAAGGAAAACTCTGAATTGCCTGAGAAAAGCCTGAATCGATGTTTACCTTGAACTGAGTAAAATCAAACTCCCTAACAATGGGTCTAATAGGGGCTTGGGCCAGAAAGTTAATTTGGTTATAGAAAAGTGAAAATTTATTCTTTTATATATTAAATACTTGAATATGTGTACAGAAATCTATCTTAAAGCAAAACAAAACAAAAAACCCATCTTATCTTGATCCTGCTCTCTTCCAAAGCTCTCCATCCTCTTTCATTCCTTCACCATTAAACTTTTTAAGAGAATTATCTATGCTTGGGGCCTCCGCCTCTATGAAATCTACTTGTTCATTAACCCCTTCTCATCTGACATCTGGTGCTATGCAAACCTGCTATCCAACAGGTCCATTATTCAGAAATCATTTATTGAACATATCCTTTGAATTGTCATTTTTTTTCCTTTTTCTCATTTGGAAAAGCCAGTTTGATTAATGCATAAGGAGCCTCACACATGTTCCACTGACCCTTCAATTGAATCCAAGCCCAACCCACCCTTTTTGCCCTCACACCAGCTTAACCTCCTGGTTTGTGAGCTCCAAACAGGTTGAAGACTCCAGGGTCATGTTTAATTCTTTTTTCCTTTAACCTCCTGGTTTGTGAGCTCCAAACAGGTTAAAGACTCCAGGGTCATGTTTAATTCTTTTTTCCTTTTCCCCATCCAACCCACTTCCAGAGTGTTGGCTTTTGGGTCTACTGCAGATGGTTGTTGTGAAAGACAAATGAACCAGGTCTCTGTGGTTCTTAACTAGAAGTCTGCTTCAGAATCACCTGTGTTAAAACAAATAAAGGCTAAACACAATTTAAAAAAAGGACACCCCTAAGTGCTACTCTAGGTGGACTGAATCAGAATGTGGAGCCTGATCAGAATATTCTCTCCCTCATCGTGCTCTGTGAACTGACCAGAGAGGACTCCTGTGTTGTTCTCTGGCAGTTTTCTGTCTGCCTAGCCACGTGGGAGCTAGTGGATAGGCAGACGGGAGCCTTGCTCCTGAGTCTTCTCAGCATCCAGCCCGGGGCTGATTGGGTTGAATGTGCATCTCCAAATGCATCAAATGGATTGTATCTTTGTATTTTTATTTTATTTTATTTTTAAGACAGGGTCTCATTCTGTCACCCAGGCTGGAGTGCAGTAGTATGATCTCAGCTCACTGCGGCCTTCACCTCCCAGCCTCAAGTGATCTTCCCCCTCAGCCTACTGAGTAGCTGGGACCACAGGCATGCACCACCAGCCTGGCTAATTTTTGTTTTATTTTTTCTAGAGACAGGGTCTCACTATGTTGCCCAGGCTTGTCTCAAACTCTTGGGCTCAAGCTATCCACCTGCCTAGACCTCTCAAAGTGCTAGGATTACAGGCGTGAACCCGGCCCTTTTTTCTTCTTTTAAAAACTAGGGACAGGGTCTTGCTCTTTCACCCAGGCTGGAGTGCAGTGGTGCAATCATAGTTTACTGCAGACTTGAACTCCCGGGCTAAAGTGATTCTCCTACTTTGGCCTCCCAAAGTGTTGGGATTACAGGCTTAAGCCACCATGCCTGGGCGAAATGTATTGTATCTTTAAGAAGTATCTAGCCTGCCATGTAATTTAGGGGATGTGTTTGAGCCATTTGATCCTTCACATGATGGATCTGGTGGTGGAGACGGGGGTTTCTAATGTACAACTGTCCCCTAATATATTAGGTTGGTGCAAAAGTAATGGCAGAATAATCCAATAATCCATCAGAAATTGGTTTTTGGACTTCAAGAAGATGTATACAACATCATTCTGAACTGACAGCCTCAGTTCAGAGCCCTCCTGAACCACAATGGCCTGTGAGGCACAAGACTCCGGCTCACTCATTCGGCCTGGTCCACTTACTTACTCTAGCGTCCATCCCTAGTCAGTGGCAGGGCTGTAGTTGGCTATGATCATGTATCAGTTGCTCATCCAGTGGACGTCCAATCAGTTAGTTGGCCATTCATTCATTCATTCATGCAGGCATCCAGTTATAAAGACATCCATTCACCCACTCAACAGAAATCTGCTGAGAGCCTACTACGTGCTGGGAACTATTTTCACATCGGAGACAAAACAGAGGGTGACATGAAGAGCACGGCCCACTTGGAGCCTACGGAGATGGCGTTGAGCGGTTTCGCAGGAGAGCTCCTGCCCCGGAGGATTAATGCCCAGCACCTGGCTCATCCTCCCCACACCCCTAGCTCTTCTCCCGCTTTGCTCCTTCCAGCTGGGGCTGAGCATGGGGTCCCAACCCCGCTGGTGAGAAGCTCGAGGTAGGGATGAAGCGGAGAATGGAAAAGGTGACTCGAAAACAAGGATATAGCGGGAACGTTGTAGGAAAGGTGGCGTGGAGAGGCGACCCTAGCGTGGCCGGGAGCGTGTTTCCAAGTTGCGGCGAGCATCCTCTTTGGGGGAGGGGCGGGAAAGGAAAGGAGGGGAGGGGGACGGACGCGGCGAGGCGAGGAGGGGGAGATCCAGCCTCTAGGCGCCGCAGCTCGGCCGTTCTGCCCGGGAGGCTGGGCTCTCAGGACGCCGGCGGCGGCCGCAGGGCTGGCGGCTGCTGGGCGCGGGGCGGCGCGGGGCGGCGCGGCGCGGCGGGGGCGCGCGGCAGGAGGGGCTGTGCGCGGCGCGGCCCCCGAGCGCACCGGGCCTGCCGAGGAGCGCGCGCCCGGCCGGGCTCGGCGCCGGTTTCCCGAACCTGGGCGGCCGTCGGGCAGCCCCCTCGTCCGACCATGGCGACTGACAGTGAGTGCGCTCCGGCCGCGGAGGCCAGGGGTGGGGGGAGGCCGCGGTGCCCAGGGTGGGAAGTTCGATTTCAGACGCTGCCTTTGTGCTGGCTCGCGGCAGCAGCGGCCGGGTCCCTCTCCGCTCCTCACCCTTGGCTGCCTGGCGGGGCTTGAAAGGGCAGGTGGCCCTGGCGGCGCGCCCCGCGAGGGATGTGGCAGAAGGGCGTGCGCCTGGCGCCGAGGCGGAGGGACCCTCGATGCCGTGTGGCAGCGGGGCCTGCCATCGCAGCCCTTCGCGGGCACTGCCCCCAGGCCCAGAGCCAGCCTTCAGCGAGCCGGGCAAACGAAGGCACTGCGCGTTTTTGGCGCTGTGAGTTCAAGGTTCGCCTCGAGTTCTGGGTCGGGTTTGTGCGTCTGCCTTTTGGGGATCAGGGTGGCTTGCATGGCTCGGCTGCCCGGTGGCCCACGGGCTGTATTCGCAGCGGGCAGCACAAGGCCGGCTGGAGACCGCATCTGGTTACCATGGTCAGTGGGTGGGAGGAGTGCCTGGAGACATCAGGTTGAAACTCTGAATGGAAGCGTTGGAAGGCGCTGGGTTGGCCTGCTTTTGGCATCTTGGCACCGCTGCTCTTATGGCTCAGTGCCTTTGGAAATTGGAATCCCGTCTGTGAAAACTGGTTAAGTTAGTTGCGTTTGAAGCCAGATACGTATTAGTGAAGCTTCAAAGGGAGTTCAGAGTAAAACCAAGTCACACCTGCGTACCTAGCATCCAAAGTCCCTAGCACAGGTGTGGCGCATGTTAGGGACTTCATTAGATGAGTGAATGGGGCTGGATGTGCTGGCTCAGGCCTGTAATCCCAGCACTTTGGGAGGCCGAGGCGGGAGGATCACTTGAGCCCAGGAGTGCGAGGCTGCTGTGAGCTATGACCCTGCCATTGCACTCCAGTCTGGGCCACAGAGGAAAAAAACAAAAATCAAATGGTGTGCTGGCTACAGAGGCCCTTTGGAAGGTATTTTTTTTTTTTTTTTTTTGAGAGGTGAGGAGGAAAAGAGATGGGAAAATGAGATGTCAAAATTTCTGCAATAATTTATTATTTTTCTTGTAAACAATCATCCCAGCCAAGAACACAGCTTTAGGATAGTGTGGAGAGCTTGAGTTTTTGTAGTCAAACAGACCTGTATTTTATCTCTCTAGAATTCCCTAGCAGTGGGACCATGGCACTGTCCTCAGTTTCTCTAAATTAGGACAAGGCTGTCATTCATAGCTCTTACAAGCGATGGGCACACAGGTGGCCTTCAGTAAATGGTGGTTGTCCTCTCCCTGCTGTTTTGCCATCATCTGATATGTGTGGGGATACCAACATGCTTTCCTCCTTTTTAAAGAGAAAAATGTTGATCAGGTGTTTCCAGTAAAATCAGCTAATTTGGGCCAAATTTCCCTTTCCTCAGCTCTGTTCATTTATACAAAGTGTGATTCCATTCGTGTGTGTGTGTGTTTAGAAAAAAAATTATGGTTGAAGCTTTACTTAACAAAGTAAGACTCAACAAAGAAGGAGATCATGAGATTTGGCCTTATTGTGTTATTAATGAAAAACAAAGGCAAAGGGGTTCAAAGTATCTACCAGCAACTGTGCATCACACACATGCAGTGAGACACTGTTCTGCTATTTACTTTCTTATGTTTTGGTTAAGATGATACATTTAGTACCCTAGAAAAATAAACTGAGATGCTTCCATACCAATTTATTTAGATTGATGTTTCTTCTACTTCCTTATATGGTATACTCAACTGTACTGAAGAATCAAACTTTTGCCCATTGATTTTGTTTATGAAAAAATTATGATGATATCTGACCATCTCAGCTCTTGACCAGTTTTTTAGGCTCAATCTTATGTTCTTTCTTAGCTGAGATGGAGCTAGAAATCTGAAAGGTTTCCAAACTGTGGAGAAACATTATTTTGTCTTTTTTCTTATTCAAAACTAATGTGAGAGGCTTACTATGTGTCCCTACTATCAAAAGGGAGAGAAGGAAAGTATTCTCAGTCAGTGTCTTGAAAAATTTCCCGCAAAGCTTGACCATGTTTGCAGCCCGAAGTCCTACAACCTTCTGTTAGCATGGAGATGATTTTGAAAACGTAGAGCCCAGGGCTTCTCCCAGATACAGAATTCTTTAGTTAGCTCTGGTTCTTAGTCCTAGTTGCATATTAGAATTACTCCAGAGAGCTTTAAAAAAGACCCTGACATCAGTATTTTTAAAAAGGAGGTCTTAAACTTTAACATGCATCAGAGTTACTCAGAGGACTTATTCAAACAGATCGCTGGACTTCACTCCCAGAGTTCCTGATTCAGTAAGTCTGGGGTGCATCCTGAGAATTCACATTTCTAACAAGTTCCAGTGATACAGGAACTACTGTTCCTCTGTCCTTCTCCTTACCTCTGCAGGTGAGGAAGTGACAGGTGAGAGGGAGGTAGGAACAGAGTGATGATCACTTCTTTAGCAGTCCTGTCTTGTCACCATGCAGTGACTACATGACCTCGATAAGATAAATCAAACCTGGGCACAATATTGCCTTAGGGCTATAGCTGAGTGCTTCCCTCAACCCCCATTTTTCTCCCCCACAAAATTTCCCCTTGAGGGAAAAATTGGTTCTAAAACCAGGCGAAATCCAAGTATTCTATTCCAGTCATTTCTGGAGAGAATCCAGAAAGACCTTCTATATGAATGTAGCATGTAAATTATATAAAATATGGAGATATTTTTAAAATATTTGCCTGGAAACTTATAATGTTCACAAAAAAGAACATAGCCAATAGAAAATGTTCTTATATCTAGATAGCATGCTGTCTAAGGGCAGATTCCAGAGGAGAAAAGGGGAACTCGAGAGCTTCAACTAGGTTTTCAGTAAGTTATCATGAAATCGTGAGGAACTTTGAGATCCCAGTCTGTTATATAAAGTGGTGGTACTTGGGTACTGAACTATTTCATGATTTCCTCAGTGACAAGTATTCCAGATAATATTTTGTTTCCAGAACACAAAAGTAGTGAAGCGCTATTTTATTTTTTTATTCCATTTATGGCATATGTTGCATTATTAGTACTTCCTTTTATAGGTGTTTAGTTTTGAAGTCACTTTAATCTGTTTGTAAGAATAATTTCTTAGGATCAGCCAGGCATGTTTAGGTAATGTTGGAAACATCTAACTCTATTATACCCCAGAAATCTTGGGCAGTTTTCAGGTGGATGTGTCTTTGGGGCTGTGACAGATGAACATTTGGTATTGTAAAAGGAGACATCTGTCCCCGTTTGGGTGCTCCTGGTTTCCTGGCTGATCTTGTGTCATTTTTGCCTGTTGCATCCCAGGCTGATGTTCCTGCCCTGCAGTCAGTCTCCACCAGCAGCCACTTTTTCCCTCCTTCTTTCTTGTTGGCAACCTGCAGTTTCCTTTCTCCCCATCCTGTCTACTCCATCAGCAATTTCCACTCAGTGCTCAGTCCTGGAAGAGGGTGGGTGGGGGTCGGGGATCAAATATAAGCCCTCAACAAGTCCACGTTAGAAACTAGTGCTAAACAGTGACTTGAGATATTCAGGATTTCAGATGCCTAGACTTTAAAAGAAAATTGCTTCACTTTGGCTGAAAATGGATGGAAAATCTTGAGTTAAATGATTTCTAACCCTAGTCATTATTAAAAAGTTTACAAATGATGCCAACTAAAAAATATAGACAAAGAGAGTTAGAAAATTACTACTTTGAAACCATCATAGCAATAATTAATTCAAGCAAGATTCATCCATGGATGCTGAACTGTTATGTGAAAATTTTAAGAGGAACAGAATTATTTACATTGTTAAAGAATTTCCCCCAGGACAACCCATTTCTTTAGGATCCCTCTCTGCTGCAGAGAGCTCTTTCTTTCTTAGTTAAGAACTTCCACTCTTGGCCGGGCGCGGTGGCTCACGCCTGTAATCCCAGCACTTTGGGAGGCCGAGGCGGACGGATCACGAGGTCAGGAGATGAAGACCATCCTGGCTAACATGGTGAAACCCCGTCTCCACTAAAAATACAAAAAATTAGCCGGGCGTGGTGGCGGGCGCTTGTAGTCCCATCTACTCGGGAGGCTGAGGCAGGAGAATGGCGTGAACCCGGAAGGTGGAGCTTGCAGTGAGCCGAGATCCTGCCACTGCACTCCAGCCTGGGCGACAGAGTGAGGCTCCGTCACACACACACACACACACACAAAAAAAGCATTTTCCCCAAAGATTATTTATTAATTGGAAAATGGGGGGAAAACCTGGAGTATACGAACTTAACCAAATAATCAAAGTTAACATTAACAATAATGGGGCTAGTTGCGGTGGCTCATGCCTGTAATCCGAGCACTTTGGGAGGCCGAGGCGGGTGGATCGCCTGAGGTCAGGAGTTTGCGACCAGCCTGGCCAACATGGTGAAATCCTGTCTCTACTAAAAATACAAAAAATTAGCCGGGTGTGGTGACAGGCGCCTGTAATCCCAGCTACTTGGGAGGCGGAGGCAGGAGAATCTCTTGAACCCAGAAGGTAGAGGTTGCAGTGAGCTGAGATCACGCCATTGCACTGCAGCCTGGGCAACAAGAGCAAAACTCCATCTCCAAAAAAAAAAAAAAAAAGAATAATGGGACAAACTGATATCCTGTACTTCCTGATAGGAAGCACCGGGAAGGACACAATGCCACTTACTGTGCCACAAATGTATAACCTGGTTCTGATCACGAGGAAACATCAGACAAAGGCAAATCAAGAGACATTCTGTAAGTCAGTGTCATGAAAGATGGCTGAGGCACTGTTCAGATTGAAGAAGACTAAAGAGACCACTAAATGCAATGGATGATTTCAGGTTATATCCTAGATGAGGGAAAAAATGCGACAAAGGACAGTGTTGTGATAATTGGTGAGATTTGAATATGGCTTGTATATTGGATAATAGCATTGTATCAGTGTTAAATTTCTTAAATTTGATATTTTTATTGTGGTTGACATGGGACATGATATCTGTACCTAAATGTCAAAGGCTTTAGGAAAAAAGGATATATGCATGTATGTGTGCATTTATATGTATATGTGTATCATATGAGAGAGAAAGCAAAGGTGGCCGAAGGTTAGCATTTGGTAAATTTAGGAGTTCCTTGTGCTGTTCTTGCAGCTTTTCTGCGAATTTGGGGGAGGGAGTTTATAAATGAAAGCACTGAGCTATTAATCTGTATTCTAGGCTTTATGGTCTAATACTATTGAGTTTACTTTTTGAAATAAATAACGTTGGACTCCTAATTCTGTTGTGAAGTGATAATGTTAACAAAACTTTTTATTAGGGAAAATTTCATATACACAAGAAGAGAGAATAGTATAGTGAACCCCCATGTATCCAGGTCACATAGCTTTAATGAGCGTTGGTATTTCACCAGGCTTGTTGCATCCATCTCCACCTCCACCCCCACTTTTCTGGGAGAGGCATTTTGAAGGCAAATCCAAGACATCATGATGCTTCACTGCCCCTCTGTGCATACTTCCCTCCTCATAATCCCCAAGCTTTTATCAGACTTCAGTAGCAATTCTGCAATAATAGATGACAGCAGCCAGGCGCGGTGGCTCACGCCTGTAATCCCAGCACTTTGGGAGGCCGAGGCGGGTGGATCATGAGGTCAGGAGTTTGAGACCAGCCTGATCAACATGGTGAAACCCCATCTCTACTAAAATTACAAAAATTAGCAGGGCGTGGTGGCACTCATCTGTAATCCCAGCTACTTGGGAGGCTGAGGCAGGAGAATCGCTTGAACCTGGGAGGCGGAGGTTGCAGTGAGCCGAGATTGCTTCACCGCACTCCAGCCTGGGAGACACAGTGAGACTCTGTCTCAAAAAAAAAAAAAAAAAACAGCATTTAGATATTATTAATGTTATAGAATAGCAGAGTTCTGAGGAATGTACTGATTTGACATATATGGGCTGTGCACTTGTTTTAAGTTTGAAAAGCTGACTAAGCCTGGGTAATTATAAACAGTGTAGAAGAAAAGGTCTGTGAACCTGCTTGTTCTTGTTTTGTTTGCTAAACTGCTCCTCCTGTTTTTAAACCAAGAATTAAATTCTAGAAGAAAACATAAATATGGTTATGGTGGCAATATTCTCAACTGATTTACCCAGTTGATGTTATCTTATTGAAACATTCTAAGAGTAAATCAGCATAAATAATTTCATACTGTTTGAATAGAATTCCTATGTTTTCATTTCACCATGGCATCTTTGAATTGGTAAACCCAGTAAAGCTTTTTCTTGACCAACCTGAGTTTCTAAATGAATCTAAAATTTGGTCTATATGTTTTATAAAAGAAATGGGACAGACATCTTGGGAGGAATAAACCTTCCCTTCTCCTGAGTATAGTAGATTTGGATGACATTTGTCCTTTTAGATCACTAGGGTATTATTTAGTCATTAACTATTATTTAGCATTATGAATGATAAGATGGCTATTATGCCATTTAACAATTGTCTGTATATTAAGATGATAATCAAACTCACTGACAGTGCTTTCTAGTAGATTGGAGAGGTATCTGAAGTGCATATTACAAAAAAAATTTTATGCACAGCTGTCATCCTTCCATTAAGGATTATACATATCTGATTTTAGGTAGTTTACATTTATGGATGGATATTACCCCTTTAGAATAAAATTTTCTTATTGTGAGAATATAATATTCTTCTGGCGTCTAATTTTAGGAATATAATAAGTCACATTCTATAATTTTACTCACAATGGAGCAAAGATTAAGAGACATAAAATGATTTTACCCACCCTGCATGAAAATGCCCCTGGTTTATATACTTAATTCAAAAGAGCACCATACAGATAACCTACCAATTACAAGGAGGTTTTCAATTGGCTTAGCTCAATAGAAATTGCAAAAGATTGAAGAACTGAGTGTGGTATGGTGGAAGAGAGCACAGGCCTGGTTCCAGAGGTGCCTGAGTCGTGAACTCTGGTCCTGCCACTCAAAGGCTGGGTAAGAGGTAAATTGTTTAACTTCCCGGAGGCTTTGTCTTATTCCACTCTGAGGAATTACAAGGAGTAAAAGAGATGGAACAGAGTTGCTGGCACAACATATGCATTAATAAATGTCTGTCCCTTTACCTGCTACAAGATCCTTCCAATGGCGTGTACCTCCCCATAGGGTGTACCTCATATTATGAGAACAATCTGACTCAGAAACAGGGTGCCTAGTCATTGATTCCATTTTTTGTGTGTGAGGAATATAAAATTAAGAACAAATGATCTGTGTACAAATGTAAGACTAGGGAAGAGAATCTAGGACAAGCACCCAAAGGTGCAGAACTCAGATTTTAAATAGAAGTAATAATCATGTTTTCTTCCCCAATGTTTATTGTTTTGTGCAAGTGTACTTGTACCATGAGCATGTGGATTTGTGAAATGTGCACACACACAACTTGTAGAAACCTTGGGAGAATTCACTGATGGGCTGTGAAAAGGGCTACAACAGCTACCTCTTTGATTTAAGAGGCAAGAGGGTTTTGAGCACTTCTCCGCTGATGTGCATTTGGCGATCTCTCTGGGCTTCGTGGCCTACCCCTCTCAGGAATGACTGATGGATGGCTATAGCACTGGGCGGATATGCTTCAGGGCACCTCTTCAGAGTTTTTTTTTTTTTTTTTTTTTTTTTTTTTTGAGACGTAGTCTCGCTCTGTCGCCCAGGTTGGAGTGCAGTGGCACGATCTCGGCTCACTGCAACCTCCGCCTCCTGGGTTCAAGCGATTCTCCTGCCTCAGCCTCCTGAGTAGCTGGGATTACAAGTGCCTGCCACCATGCCCAGCTAACTTTTGTATTTTTAGAAGAGACAGGGTTTCAGCCTGTTGGCCAGGCTGGTCATGAACTCCTGACCCCAAGTGATCAGCCCGCCTCAGTTTTCAGAGTTGAATGCCCTCCTGGCTCTGAAGTTTTATAAAAGCCCCTTCAATGATGTTGATAAGCCTGAAAAATTTCTGGCTGTTCCATTATTGAGCTTTAAAAAAGCTTAATATGCTAGTAATACTCATACATAAATGACCTTGTCTCCACTGGTGCTGACCTTAGCCATCCAGCCCTTCCTTCTGGGAGTAGCCTTTCTCTGTCTCAGACATCTGCTCTGGGATCCTCCCACTGCCCATGTTGACATTCCCTGTCTCTCTTGCTTCCCAGCTCTTGCTCTAACTCCCCATACCTGCCAATATGCTTTTCCCTTTGGTTTCACTATTCTTGGTATTTTGGCTGAGACACACCAGCTCTATTAGTGTCAGGTTTGCAGAGCCCTCAGCCGCTGGGCTGCCTTCAACAGCCCTCCCCTTCTTCTCCACAAGAAAAAGGTAGAGGATGACCCCTCTCCCTTAACCCCTATCATCCTATTTCTTAGACTTTTTAGAAGTGCATTACAATATCTTTCCTAACTAGCCCAAATCAATTGTTAGATTTTAGTGGTGATAATTAGAATCACAGTCATATTTTCTACAGTGTTTTTTAAATACTCCCCTATATTTGTTATCTATTGCTGCATAACAAATTACCACAAAGCTAGTGGCTTAAAAAAACACTTATCTGTCATTCCACAGCTCTGTAGGTCAGGAGTTTGCTGGCTGCAATCAAGGTGTCAGCTATGGCTGGGCTTTCATCTGAAGGCTTGAGTGGGGCAGATCCACTACTGAGCTCATGGGCATTGACAGGATTCAGACTCTTGCAGGCTGATGGACTGAGGGCCTCAATTTCTTACTGGCTTTAGCTAGAGGCTACCCTCAATTTCCTTCTATGTGAACCTCCCAGTATGGCCT
The DNA here is from genome assembly GCF_000001405.40 of Homo sapiens. Taxonomy (NCBI): domain Eukaryota; kingdom Metazoa; phylum Chordata; class Mammalia; order Primates; family Hominidae; genus Homo; species Homo sapiens. The sequence continues at coordinate 61,821,633 of NC_000014.9, forward strand.
CTTGCTTCATCAAAGCCAGCAAGGGAGAAAGTCTGCTAGTAATAGAATCATGCAAGTGACATTCCATCACCTTTGCTGTATTCTCTTGGCTAGTAGCAAGTCATAGGTTCCTTCTTAACTCAAAAGGAAGGGATTAAACAAGGATGTGAGTACTAGGAGATGAGGATAATCATAAACCATCTTAGAGTCTGTCTGCTATACTCCCCATGAAACTTTTATATCTACTTCTTCAATTAGATTTTTATTTGGAGTATTACATTTCCTCTTTAAGACTTTAGATATCATTGGGATGGTGTACTAGTCAGGGTTCTCCAGAGGGACAGAGCCAATAGGATATATCTATAAAAATGGATTTATTAGGGGAGAATTGGCTAACACGATCACAAAGGTAAAGTCCCAGCATAGGTCATGAGCAAGCTGCAGAACCAGAGAAGCCAGTGGCATGGCTGTCAGAGAGCCTGGTAGCATGGCTCAGTCCAATTCCGAAAGCCTCAAAACTGGGGAAGCCAACAGTACAGCTCCCAGTCTGAGGTCAAAAGACTGAGAGCCTCTAGGAGCTTGCTGGTACAAGTCCAACAATCCAAAAGCTGAAGAACCTGGAGTCTCACGTCCAAGGGCAGGAGGAGAAAGTCCTGCTCTGGCAGGGAGAGACAGAGCAGAGGGTGGATCCCCCATCTTTTCCCACACTCCTTCTTTGTCCTCGTGGGGCCACCAGCCAACTGGATGGTGCCTATCCATATTGAGGGTTGGTCTGCTTCTCTTAGGCCACTGACTCCTGCATCATTCTTCTCTGGAAACACCCTCACAGACACATCCAGAAACACTGCTCACCAGCCATCTAGGCATCCTTCAATCCAGTCAAGTTGACACCTACTGTTAACCATTGCAGGTGGTAAAGCCTGAAATAACTGCCTCCGTCAGAGAAGAAATTGTTCTCTTCTTTCCAACCTGAGAGCTGTTGCACTGTAGAAACAATGGCGCTGGAAGGGTAATTTTTGGTGTTTGAGCTGCTATTGGGGAAGTCCATCTGAATAAGAGGCTGCTGTGGTGAGCTCTGAAGAAGCAGAAGGCAGTATGCTTTGTGAATTTTATGCAAATGTTACAGATTTATAAAAATGAAAACACTCAAATTGTCTCATTTTTGGAAAAATTAAAAAACACAGGAAGTCAGGATGATGCTCTGAAACTCAGGTTGAAAGTGGGTAAAGGGCACAGAGTGAGACAAATGAGAATTATACCAAAGAACAACTGTTTTTTCATGGGAGAAAATGGATTGTTTTAGGGTACCTTGCCAATGTGTGAGGCATTATATGGGCATAGGGTATTACTTAAAGTTTTAAGGCTCTATTTTTTTATTTTTTATTTTATTTATTTTTTGAGACAGAGTTTCATTTTTGTCGCCCAGGTTGGAGTGCAGTAGCACGATCTCAGCTCACTGCAACCTCTGCCTCCTGGGTTCAAGTGATTCTCCTGCCTCAGCCTCCTGAGTAGTTGGAATTACAGGTGCCTGCCACCATGCCCGGCTAATTTTTTGTATTTTTGTAGAGGCAGGATTTCACTGTGTTGGCCAGGCTGGTCTCGAACTCCTGACTTCGTGATCCTTCCACCTCAGCCTCCCAAAGTGCTGGCATTACAGGTGTGAGCCACTGCGCCTGGCCTATTTTTTTATTTTTAATTTGTTCTTAAGAGACAGAGTCTTACTCTGTTGCCCAGCCTGGAATGCAGTGTAAAGTTTTAATATGCTTATGTTGTATACTCTTAATGATTTTATCCACTTCAGGCTATTGCTTTGCACTTACGAAAAGCATGATAGAGGCTGGATGTGGTGGCTAATGCCTGTAATCCCAGCACTTTGGGAGGCCGAGGTGGGCAGATTGTTTGAAGCCAGGAGTACAAAACCAGCCTGGTCAACATGGCAAAAACCCATCTCTACTAAAAATACAAAAAAAAAAAAAAAAAAAAAAGAAGAATTAGCTAGGTGTGGTGGTGCACACCTGTAACCCTAGGTACTCGGGAGGATGAGGCAGGAGAATCGCTTGAGCCTGGGAGGTGAAGGTTGCAGTGAGTTGAGATGGCGCCACTGCGCTCCAGCCTGGGTGACAGAGCGAGACCCTGTCTCAAAAAACAAACAACAAACAGAATGTGATAGAAATCTAGAAACTGGACAGCGACTGACTGCTTTATGATACTGTTCCGTGCGACAATAAGCTGCTGATTGAATTCTTGCTTTAAGATGATTGTCTTAGAGTTTAAAATATGAAGCTATTCTCAAGAGTTTGGTTAATGGAAAGTACTGATTTGATTCCATGTCCCTTTCTTGAAACTCTGAACACTATTTGTAATCAACTTAAGACTATCCCACTCTTTATGAAGTCAGTTGGATCCTGGAGACAAACATTTTTATTTTATTGGAGAAAATTGGTCTATATAAAATGAATATAAAGAGAAGAGTCTGAACTCACTTTATTAAAAAGGGTTCTTTTCAGCACTGTGGCCCGAGTCCCATGCTGTTCTGTTTTCTCTTTGAAATCTTTGTCAATTCTCCCATTCAGAATCCGTCACTCATTTTATTCATATCTCCTATATACTTTTTCTTTTTTGGTCTTATTCTAGTCTATATTCTCCTTGAAGGAAAGAACTACTTCTGCAGATATTTCCTCAATTTTGTTTTCTATTGAATATGCATGGTGATGGCTTATATATAATAAGCATTTTATTTTATTTATTTATTTATTTTTGAGATAGAGTCTCACTTTGTCTCCCAGGCTGGAGTGCAGTGGCAGGATCTCGGCTCACTGCAACCTCCACCTCCCGGGTTCACACCATTCTCCTGCCTCAGCCTCCCGAGTAGCTGGGACTACAGGCACCTGCCACCACGCCTGGCTAATTTTTTGTATTTTTAGTAGAGACGGGGTTTCACTGTGTTAGCCAGGATGGTCTCAATCTCCTGACCTCATGATCCGCCCGCCTGAGCCTCCCAAAGTGCTGGGATTACAGGCGTGAGCCACCGTGCCCGGCTATAATAAGCATTTTAATGTTTGCCCAGTTCATTCTGTTTATCTGCTGTGAGGCTGCCATTTTTTTCCTGCATCCCATCCTTTACTTCAGCAGTTCCCAGAGTGTGAACTCAAGGTAATGGTGGTCCCTAAGACTTTTAGAGGGTCTGCAAGGTCAAAACTACTTTCATAATAATAAGAATGTCTTTTTACTCTCATTTTATTAAGTGTACACTAAAATTTGCAGAGGGGGCATGAGGAGCTATGACTTCATCACCATGTGGCTAATCGAACTTGTGCTTGTATATGCTTCTGTTTTAAAAATGTCTCATCTTTAATTTTGAATATGGGAAATATCAGTAAATAAAACAAAAACTAAAGTGCTTTGGGGTCCTTAAAATTTCAAAGTAGAAAAGAGCCCTAAAACCAAAAAAATGGAAAACTGCTTTTAGTCTGTCATAGGTTATTCTGGAACAAATCCTCCACTAGCATCTTGAAAAATGAAGTGTGATCCTTGGTGGTTCTTTCACATTTGAGATTGGGGCACCAAAACAGCTTGTAAGGGCAGGGTTGTGGGCTGCTTTACTTGCTGTGTCACTTCAGGGTGGTTATTCAGGATTCCATTTCACTGTGGCCCCCTCTTGGTATTTGTAGATGTAGTAAGTCTTCACTTAATGTAATTGATAGGTTCTTAGAACCTGTGACTTTAAGTGAAACAACATATAACAAAGCCAGTTTTACCATAGAGTAATTGAGGTAAACAAGAGTTAAATTCCTGGCTGGGGCTCATGCCTGTAATCCCAGCACTTTGGGAGGTGGAGGCAGGTGGATTCCTTGAACCCAGGAGTTTGAGACCAGCCTGGGCCACATAGCAAGACCTCGTCTCTACAAAAAGAATACAAAAATTAGCCAGGCTTGGTGGTGCGTGCCTGTAGTCCCAGCTACTTGGGAGGCTGAGGTAGGAGGATGGCTTGAGCCCAGGGACACTGAGGCTGCAGTGAGCTGAGATCATGCCATTGATTCCAGCCTGGACAACAGAGCAAGACTCTATCTTAACAGCAACAAAGACAACAACAACAATGAACTAAGTTTCTATGGTGTATTTCTGGTCACAAAACTTCTAAATAAAGACCCCAAGCCCTTTAATATTAAACATGGAAATAAATGTAAGCTACATATACATTTAAGAAAGATTAATAAAAACAAGTAAGATAATTATTTATCTAATTTTTGGTGAATCAGTGAGTAATAGTGGCTTATAGTGTGGTGGACCAAATCAATGAATTAACTTTTGCAGAGTGAAAATTGTCAGGAGCACTTCCTGCCACCCCATAGTTCAAAAAGCAAACAAGGGCTTGCTGAGTGCTTTCATAGTGCATCATTTATTTTTGTGCATTGGTATGATTATCATATACTTTATGAATTTTTATTTTATAATAATTTGTTTTTATTTCTTCATTCATTCTTCAACTCACTTATTCCCGTTCAGGGTTGTGGGTGGCTGGGGCCTGTCCTGGCAGCTCAGGTGCAAGGTTGGAACCAGCCCTGGACAGGATGCCATCCCATCTCAGGGCACTCACACACAGCCACACTCACTCACGCTGGGACCATGTGGACATGCTAGTTCGCCTCATGTGCACATTTTTGGGATGTGGGAGGAAACTGGGGTACCCAGAGAAAACCTATGCAGACATGGGCAGAACATGAACTCCACACAGACAGTGGCTCTGGTGTCAGGAATAGAGTGTTTTGTTCTCATCAATGTTATAACAAAACAACATTATTTGAGAACCTGCTGTATTTTTTCTGGGCCCAGTAATTTTCTTTACAGATGAAGATTCCAATTTCCTGTCTCTGTCTCTCTCCCTGAAAGTGCTCCTGGGCATAAGCCTAGTTGTCATTATTTTGCGAATCCAGGAGGTGAAGAGACCTGGCAGACTTCCCTTTTATTATCATGGACTTGTCCTGAATACTCCATTTTTGGTACAGAACCTCATTCTTGCCACGAGGGATGCGAGGTTTCCAAACCCACAGCCTCTCTGCTTTTATTTCTCCAGAGATTAAACAGAGATCCCTGTAGACTTGCTGCATTGGTCAGCTGGGACTCTCATAACAAGATACCACTGTCTGGGTGGCTTAAACAACACACACGTATTTTCCTACAGTTCTAGAGGTTGTAAGTCCAAGACTGAGGTGCCAGGAGGGTTGGTGTTTGCTGAGGCCAAACACAACTTATAAATACCCCAACCCCTTTTAATATTCCTGGCTTGCCGGTGGCACCTTCTTTCCGTGTCCTTACCAGGGTGGAGGAGAGAAAGCTCTCGTGTTTTTTCCACTCTGCGGAAGCCCACCAGTTCCATTAAATTAGAGTCCCACCCTTATGACCTTATTTAATTTGAACTACCTCTTTAAAGGCCCCATCTCTAAATACAGTTGTATTCGGAGGTAGTGGAGTCAGGGCCTCAACATATGAATTTTGGGGAACATAATTCAATCCATGACACTTAGGAAGGGAATAGTCCTCTGGCTTCATTGTTGGCTGCTGGATCTGGTGGAGGCTTGGCTCTCTGTACATCCTTTCTGCCAGTTCTCCTGTTTTCAGCCCTATCTCTGTTCCCCACCTTCTGAGGGAACAGGCACCTACAATGACAGAACCATTCTGGGATTCTGCTGCATGAATCAGCTAGCCTGTTGTGGCATTTCCCCTGTGTAGGTGCCTTGCAGAGTGAAGAAAGATGGTGAGACTTAGTTTCTGGCTATATCCTTCTCATCTTCCAAAAATGTGTTGATCTTTCTCATCTGCTACTGTTTCTCCCTTGCTCTTTTTGTCGATGTTGGTTTTTACCTTAAAAAAATACTTTTCTCTAAGAAATCTGAGGTGCAGCAATAGAGATAAAAGCATGTGTTCAGTCTGCCATTTTACACTGGAAATGAGTCATTGATAGAATAATCAATGCTATTATTGTTAACCAAAGGTACATTGCTGGGACAAGACCTATTGGTCATGATTTTTTTTTGGTTATTCTATTTCCCCTTCTCTATCTTATTTTGGATTATTTACACACTTTTGATATTTTATTTATTGCCATATTTTGTATGTTTTTAAGTGGAGTAGGAACTACACTGTACATACTGAACTTCTGTCTACTTAGAATCAATATTTCACCACTTCAGTGGAATATATAATTCTTACCACCATATAAGTCCCTTTATCTGCCCCTCTATGTTTTAGTTATATATTATATTCATATTCTCTGATGGGCCAAATTGTATACACCCCAAATTCATATGTTGATGTACTAATCCTCAGGACTTCAGAATGTGACTGTATTTGAAGCTAGGGTTTTTAAATAGGTAATTCAGTTAAAATGAAGTTAAAATGAGGTCATTAGAGCGAGCCCCAATTCAATATGACTAGTGTCATTGTAAGAAGAGGAGACTTGGACGCAGACACAGAGAGGATCATGTGAAGACACAGGAAGAAGATGGCCGCCTACAAGCCAAAGAGAGAGGCTTCAGAAGAGACCAACCTTGCTGGCACCTTGCTCTTGGAATTCTGATCTCCAGAAATATGAGAAAATTTTATTGTTTAAACCCCACAGTTTGTGGTACTTTGTTATGGTAGCCCTAGCAAATGAATACACATACTTTTTGCCTTCAAAAATCAAGCATGTTTTAAAGAATTCATGAGAAGAATGGTTTATTATGTTTACCAAGATATTTATCATCTTTGTTGCTCTTCTTTCACTCCTGATGATCCAGATTTCTCTTAATAATATTTCCCTTCTGTCCAAATAACTTCCTTTAGCAATTCTTTTAGAGTAGGATTGCTGGCAACAAGTTTTCTTAGTGTTCCTTCATCTAAAAATGTCTTGATTTCCCTTTTGATCTTGAAGGACATTTTCACTGATATAGAATTCTGACTTGACAGTTGCTTTATTTTAGCACTTGAAAAATGTGCTACTTCCACCCCAACAAAATAATCATAGGATCTGAAAGTGTGGTGCAGACTTGGTAGAAATGGAAAAGAAGAAAAACACACAGAGTTATACAGATTGTTCTGAGTGTAAAGGAGAATTGGATCCTATCTGATACCATAAACATATAAATTTGAATACACATCTCAGATCCACTATGTGCAGTGACAGTTTGTCCTTTGGCTGAGGGTGAAGACCCTGAGTACTCTCAGAGACAGACAATACAGATCAAATTCTTTTTCCTTATTCTCTCTTTAAGGCTATTCCTAACACTGTTAGGCCCAAAGCATGTGCACAATCATGGAAATGTTAGGGAAAACACCACCACCAACTGGACCAGGAACAAAACACTGATCATAAAGTCTATGGGCTTAGACAGACATTTGAAAAAGATAAGAACTGTAATGAAACAATAAGCCATTATAAACCCAATGCTATTTTGCATTGGAGAATATGTTATATTGGACAAAATAAAGTTTGCTAAAACCTATTTCCTCATTTTTATAATAGTATCTACTATTTAGTGTTGTATTTTATGAGTGATATTTTAGTAGACTTGTTGGCATTCTGCTTGACATATATTTAAGTATAAATCTATTAATATATCACAAAAGAAAAAGTGCCACTTCCTTCTGGCCTCTATGATTTTAGATGTGGAAATCCACTGTCATTTGAATTGTTATCCCACTGTATATACTTTATCATTTCTGTCTGACTGCTTTCAAGATTTTTTTATTATCTTAAATTTTCAGAAATTTAATTATGATATGTCTGGGTATGGATTTCTTTGGGTTTCTCCTGTTTAAAGTTTAGTTAGGTTTTTCAATCTCTAGATTTATGTCTTTCCCCAAATTTGGGATATTTTTATTATTTCTTGAAATAGTTTCTCAGTCCTGAATTCTTTCTCTGATCCTACTGAGATTCTGATAACACAAATATTAGATTTTTTTTTGGTTATTGTCCCACAGCTCCCTGAGTCTTTGTTCATACCTTCCTCCTAAACTTGTCTCTCTATTGTTCAGATTAGACAATTTCTATTGATATATTTTCTTTTCTTTTTTTTTTTTGAGACGGAGTCTCGCTCTGTCGCCCAGGCTGGAGTACAATGGTGTGATCTTGGCTCATTGCAAGCTCCGCCTCCCGGGTTCATGCCATTCTCCTGCCTCAGCCTCCCGAGTAGCTGGGACTACAGGTGCCAGCCACCACGCCCAGCTAATTTTTTGTATTTTTAGTATAGACGGGGTTTCACCGTGTTAGCCAGGATGGTCTCGATCTCCTGACCTCGTGATCCACCTGCCTTGGCCTCCCAAAGTGCTGGGATTACAGGCATGAGCCACCATGCCCGGCTTTATTGATATATTTTCAAGATCACTGATCTCTTTCCTCTGTCAATTCTCTTCTGCCACTGAGCCCAGCTAGTGAGTTAAAAAAAAAATTAAGTTATTGTATTTTTCAGTTCTATTATTTTCAGTTTTATTCTTTATATCTTGAGTATTTTTCTGAGCCCACTGGTTTTTCCGTTTGTTTGAAGAGGGTTCATAATTTCTTGGAGCATTTTTATGATAACCGCTTTAAAATCCTTGTCATAAATTCCAACATTTGTGTTGCTTTGATGTTGGTGTCTGTAGATTGTCTTGTCTTTAAGATTTTCCCTGTTCTTGGTATGATGAATAACTTTGATGAATAACTTTGGATTGTATCCTAGACATTTTGAGTATTACATAATGAGATTCTGGTTTAGAGGCAATCAACCTGCTTGGACTCAAAATTCATGTCTTATTCACTTTTGTGGGCTGTGGCTTGAATGTCGATTTAGTTTTTATAGCCTTTGCCCTGCTATTCTGATCTGCTCTATATAGAGTGTTATCCATAGGTGAACTGAAACCTGTATGATATTTCTCACCGTAGTTCAGTTCCCAAAACTTTACTATGTTGACTCCGGTTGATTTCACACATGGACCATTTAGGGGTCTGCACAGGACTTCATACACAGATTGACAAGATTTCTTTATCCAGTCCTCTTTTCTCCATAATCCTTCCTCACTCTCTAGTTGAGAGGAGGTAGGGTGTTGCCTCTTGCTGTCCTTCAGTTAGTAAGTGCAGGGTGGTAGAGTGCTTCTCCCTACAGTCCATGGTGGGTTCTGTGGTCGCTATGCCATTGAAGAAGGGAAGGGGCACTGCTTCTTTCCCGATCTTGTCTTGGTTTAGGGCAGGAATGGTCAACAGAGCTCCAATCCATTCCAGTGAGGAGGAGAAGGCGTGCTACTTCTGCTGTTAGTGCCAGGCAAGGATGGTCAACAGGGCTCTTCACAGTGCCTGGTGAGGATGCAGAGAGATGCGGTTCTTTTGTGGTGTTTGCCTAAAATACAATGAGTATATTCACAAGGGTTCTGTCTTGCAGCACTGTCCTCTTCCACGTCCTTTGGCTAAGGGGATGGATTCTCAACTGGAGATAATTTTATTCCCCCAGATGACATTTGCCAATGTCTAAGACATTTTTGGTTGTCACAACTGGAGGGTTGTCACTGACATCTAGCCAGGGATGCTGCTGAATATCCTATAATACAGAGAACAAGATCCTGCAGCAGTTATCCAGCTCCAAATCAAAAGTGCCAAAGGTGAGAAACCCTGAGGGACAGAGAGCAGACTTTTCTTGAAGCTTTTTGTTTTTTGTACTTATTCCATCTTGTCCAGAAATGAGAGTCCCTTCAACATTTTAATGTATTACTTTTTAGTCCTTTATCATCTATCACTGATGAGAATTATAATTTATTTTTAGATACATTGTCTTCCTCCGGTTGATTTTAAGAATTTCTCTTTTTTTAATCTTAAATTTAACCATTATGGGTATAGGTGTGGATTTGATTTTATTTAGACATTTTCTGTCTTAATTCTCACTTTCTAATTCTGGAAAATTCTTAGTCATCTCTTTGAGTATTGTCTCTCTCCCATTCCCTTCTTAGACCTCTTTAAACTGCCATATGCTGAAGCATCTCTTTCTGTGTTTCTTATCTGTTAACTATTCATTGATTCATATTCATATTCTTTATTTCTCCTTTTTCCCTTCTCCACACCTTGTCTCTGGTACTTTCTCCAGATTTTTCTTTCACTTCAGTAGTTCTTTTTTTTTTTCTTTCAGGTAAACTGGTCATTTATTAGCAGTGGTACTGTTTGGCATAACAGGTTTCCAGTAAATAGGCATGGAGTTATAGTATGGAGGTGACAGAGCAAGGCTCAAAAGCAGGACAGCATCTCTCACTTCTTCCACTCGTTCTTGTCATAGTCCCACTTGGCTGGCGAAGCCCTGCAGGGGTTCACCTCATGTCCAGCATCCTCTTGGTCTGCATGGGCACCCACTCTTTGTCAAAGGTGTGCGGGATGGGGCCGTACACACAGCGCTTCTCCCAGATGATAATGAACGCCGTGAAGCCAAGGAAGAACATGGCAGCGCCCACAACCGTCTTCCACTCGTTCACGCCCCTGTTCATCTCAGCAAAGCTCTCCTTGAACTGAATGTGATACAACTCGACTTTCCCATCCGTGGAGCGGTTGCTCCAGGAGGCCTTCTCCTTCTTCTTCACGGCTTTCTGTCTGGCAGACAGGTGCTTGACATGGGCCACATCGGGTACGGGATAGTCACGTCGATCCACATAAGCTGGGAGCGCATAGTCATCGCTCTTCACAACATTTCCGTGTGCTCGTACAGACACCAAGGTGGAAATTGCTCGCTTGCCAACTAGGCTAACTACCCTGGTAGCCAACATTCTGCCGCAGCTGCCCCACCACCGCCGCCCTCTATGCCCGGTGTCCCGCGACCCCAGTAGTTCTTTTTTGTTTTTTTCTTTTCCGAGACGGAGTTTTGCTCTTGTTGCCCAGGCTGTGGCGCAGAGGCGTGATCTCAGCTCACTGCAACCTCCGCCTCCCGAGTTCAAGTGATTCTCCTGCCTCAGCCTCCCGAGTAGCTGGGATTGCAGGTACCCGCCACCATGCCTGGCTAATTTTTTGTATTTTTAGTATAGATGGGGTTTCACCATGTTGGCCAGGCTGGTCTCGGACACCTGACCTCAGGTGATCCGCCCACCTCGGCCTCTCAAGGTGTTAGGATTACATGCGTGAGCCACCGTGCCCGGCCCAGCCCAGTAGTTCTTTTTAAAGGTGGCTCTGTTATATTATTTAACCTAGCAATAGTTTTGTTTTCCACTAATAATATTTTTTATTTATAAAATTTTATTTGGTTATTTAAAATAAATCTATCCCTTTGCCAGAGTATCTTATTCCTTCACTATGGTTTCTAAATTATTTTAAAACTTGACTATTTTGTAGTCCGTTTAATTCATCTATTGTTTTCACTTCTTAAGGTGTCAATTTTCAGGTCTGCTGATTCACCCTCATGGTGATTCGTTTCCTCCTGTGTTCTGTGATATTTAATTGTGCTAGTTCATCTTCAGTGAGTTTTCCATAAGCTTTGAGCTGTAAAATTATTTATTTCAATCTCTGTCTGTAAGGACGGAGATTTTCATGTTGTGTTTACTGTATCCCTAGGAATTTTGGTGGTCCTGGATCACTTTTTATAGTAACAATTCATCTTGGAGTATTAAAAACTGTATGGAGGAAACATTTAGACCCCTCAACCTGTGCAAGTCCTAGATTTCTATTTCTCATGGCTCATGGGTGGCTTTTTTTTCTTTTCTTTTTTTTTTTTTTGAGACGGAGTCTTGTTCTTGTTGCCCAGACTGGAGTGCGATGGCTCGATCTCAGCTCACTGCAACCTCTGCCTCCCGGGTTCAAGCGATTTTCCTGCCTCAGCCTCCCGAGTAGCTGGGATTACAGGCATGGGCCACCATGCCCATCTAATTTTGTATTTTTAGTAGAGACGGGGTTTCTCCATGTTGGTCAGGCTGGTCTCGAACTTCTGACCTCAGGTGATCTGCCTGTCTCCAAAGTGCTGGGATTACAGGCGTGAGCCACCGTGCTTGGCCAATTTTTGTATTTTTAGTAGAGACAGAGTTTTGCCATGTTGGCCAGGCTGGTCTTGAACTCCTGACCTTGTGATCCCAAAGTGCTGGGATTACAGACATTAGCCACTGCGCCCAGCAGTGGCTTTTTTTTTTTTTTTTTTTTTAAATTTAAATTTTAAACTCAAGGACCAGGGCACTCAGCAGCTTCCTCGCTCTTTCTTTGCGCTAGCGAGCAGGCTGTGTACAGTTTCCTTTTTACTTACAGGACTGTTCTTTAAGGTGCAGGGCTTTATTCCTGCAGGGAGTTGGAGGTGGAGCTTCCAATCCTGTTCTTTTTCCCTGTGGAGTCCCATAGCCTCTAAGTCTGAAACTAAATTTCCAGTGGATTGCTGAAGCTCTGGCTTTGATTTTTTTTTTTTTTTTTTTTAAATTTTGGAATCTGGGAGATACTTGTTCTTTGGAAGTAATTTTGCTTATTGGTTATATTTTATTTAGAATTTCCATGTGTTTTTAGTGGGAAGGATGCATCCATATCAGCTCTGTATACTACACGGTTAAATGTCCTGATTCACATTTATTTTTTTTGAGATGGAGTCTCCCACTGTCGCCTGGGCTGGAGAGCAGTGGTGCGATCTCGGCTCACTGTAACCTCCACCTCCCAGGTTCAAGCAATTCTCCTGCCTCAGCCTCCTGAGTAGCTGGGATTACAGGCACCTGCCACCATGCCTGGCTAATTTTTTATATTTTTAGTAGAGACAGGGTTCCATCATGTTAGCCAGGTTGGTCTTAGACTCTTGGCCTCGTGATCTGCCTGCCTTGGCCTCTCAAAGTGCTGGGATTACAGGCATGAGCCACCGTGCCTGGCTTTTTTTTTTTTTTTTTTTTTTTTGAGACAGAGTCTTGCTCTTGTTGCCCAGGCTGGAGTGCAATGTGGTGTGATCTCGGCTCACTGCAACCTCTGCCTCCCGGGTTTAAGTGATTCTTCTGCCCCAGCCTCCCAAGTAGCTGGGATTACAGGTGTGCGCCACCATGCCTGGCTAATTTTGTATTTTTAGTAGAGATGGGGTTTCACCATGTTGGCCAGGTTGGTCTTGAACTCCTGACCTCAGGTGATCTGCTTTCCTTGGCCTCCCAAAGTGTTGAGATTACAGACATGAGCCACTGCACCCAGCCCTGATTCACATTTGATATACCAGATCACCCATCCATCTATCCAGTTGTACTGGTATATAAATACTGTTTGATGCTCTGAATTGTTCTCTCTTAAAATTATTCATTAAACACACTGCTGTATTCCAATTACCTGTTGTTTGAAAAAGATGTGTGTTGATATATGATGGTATATAGCATAGCATTCCCATAAAACCAGGCATGTGTTTGGGAATATTTGTTTCCAAAGCACTTGTTTTAGTTTCATTAAGGTCTTAAAGAAACTTACCTTTTTATAAATCCTGACCTTTTATACCCACTTTGCATATGAAGATATTAAGAGAAATTGTTGCATTGTTTGCTGTGATAAGACATTTTCAAGGAAGAAGGCAGTGTGTGCTGATTTATAGCTTTAAGAACAGCAAAAAACAGTTAATAGGCTGCTACTTTGAGCAGCACTGACTAGTGGAGTAATGTGTATAAGGACCTGCCTTTTCAATAAATAGTACACTGTAAATGTTGTCTCATGAAAGGTGAATTTTTTTTTTTTTTTTTTTTTTTTTGAGACAGAGTCTCACATTGTCGCCCGGGGAAAGAGTGCAGTGGCGCGGTCTCGGCTCACTGCAACCTCCTCCTTCTGGGTTCAAGTGATTCTCCTGCTTCAGCCTCCCAAGTAACTGGGATTACAGGCGCCTGCCACCATGCCCAGCTAATTTTTTGTATTCTTAGTAGAGATGGGGTTTCATTATGTTGGCCAGGCTGGTCTCAAACTCCCGACCTCTTGATCTGCCCATCTTGGCCTCCCAAAGTGCTGGGATTACAGGCGTGAGCCACTGCGCCCGGCCAGGTGACTTTTTTTTTTTATGATTGATTTTATCAATCACCTTTTTATGGCCATTTAGGGATTTTTAAAAGATCAAAAAATACTGCCAGAATATTCCTGAAATTATCTTTTTACACTGTTTTCTTCTTCTGGGTGCAGAACTGCTGAGTCAAAGGATATACTCATTTAATATTTTGATGTTGCCAAATTTCCCTACAGAAGGATTGTACCAATTTATACTTTGATCAGCAGCACATTGATAACAAAATCAAACAAAACTTTTCTACAGAAATACATTTTAAACTATAGATAATGGAACAAAAATTTTCCTACCTGGCTCACAGAAACTTTTCCTGTCTTTCTCAATTTACATGTCCCAGGTGAGTAAGACCCACTCTCGTTGGCCTAGAACGGTGGTTTACAAAATATGGTTACTGGACTAGTAACGTTGCCATCACCGGGAACTTGTTAGAAATTTAATTAATCAGAACTTGTATCAGATCCACTGATTGAGAAACCTGGTGGAGCGTAGCAATCAGTGTTTTGATTAGCCCCCCAGGTGATTCTGGTACTTGCTAAAGTTTGAAAACCACTGGTCTAGGGGCAGCTTATCTTTGTATAACCCAGAGGTCAGCTCAAGTCTTTACTCCTGTATCCTTCATACACATCATAGAAATTGAATTCCTGGGGGTTGATTTCTCATGGTACCTTCCACCTCTTTGTGCCTGCACCTGCGTGTGTTTATTGCTCTACTTTACTGCCGGTGGCTGCTCTTGTGTCTGCATTGCAATGGCCCAGATCGGCAAAGGAAAAGGAATCCATTTGCCTTAATTCACACAAACATCAGCAGTCCATTCACTTGAAAGGCATTTGAATATGTAGAAAACCAATTGATGGTTTGGAGGGATAGGAGAAGTTTATATCTTGGTAACATAAACAGTCTAAAATTGAATATTAAATGTGCACCTTCTGAAATCCTGTAGCCATTCTCCTACATTCCTTCCCCAGTCCCTCATTTTCCTTTCTACTCCACCTCCCATTGATTTGCTTTTTTCTCTAGAGTGATTTACTAATTCTATTTGTTTCCTTGTCTTCTGTTGTAATAACCAGGATTTTTATTGCAGACATTACAACCTACTCAACTACCTTAAGAGAAAAGAGTCTCAACTATAGAGTTACATGGCAGCTTACAGAATTGATGAGAGGGCCGGGGAAACAAGCTTGTTAGCCATTCAGTCATAGGTAACCTTTACATCCATTTATTTATGTCTGTCTTAATTTCTTTCATTGAATTTCTAAACTTCTATGAATTTTTTTGTGTGGCCTTAAATTAATACCCAGTTAGGTTTTTATTTTCTGTCATGATTTCATGCAAATTTTCTGATTGCTCTGCAGATTTTCCAATCTCTCCTACCTCCCCTGCAGACAGTACGCTAACCCCTACTGATAGGAGGAGCAAGGGAAGTGATTTGAATATAAGGCCAATTCCCCTTGACTGAGGCAGTTGAACCTGCATTTGATGAGTTTGACATTGAGCTTATCTTTCTTCCTGTTTGAAGACAGGACTTTGAGATTGAGGGGGTTTCAAATGATACCTCTATTCAGTGGTAAGTCTGTGCTGGTGAGCAGGGCCAGGCCTCCTCATAGGTGTTGATCCTAACAGATTTCCATGATTCTCCACTGAGTGGCAGAGGCTGATTTTTTTTTTTTTTTTTTTTTGAGACAGGGTCTTGCTCTGTTGACCAGGCTGGAGTGCAGTGGTGCGATCTTGGTTCACTGCAACCTCTGTCTCCTGGGCTCAAGTGATCCTCCCACCTCAGCCTCCCTAAGTAGCTGGGACTACAGGTGTGGGCCACCTTGCCCAGCTAATTTTTTGTATATTCAGTAGAGACAGGGTTTTGCTATGTTGGCCAGGCTGGTCTCGAACTCCTGGCTTCAAGTGATCCTCCCACCTCAGCCTCCCGAGTAGCTGTGATTACAGGCGTGAGCTGCCGTGCAGCTGAGGCTGATCTTGGAGCTGGGGAATCGGCATCTGAAAGCTGCTAAGGCCTCACAAAGGCTCTTGGAGGGTTTGCCTCTAGAAGATGGGTACATTAATAATATGAGAATCCACCGCTCAGTGGAAAAGTCCTCTAGATACAGGCTTTCCAATTATTCTGTATTGCCTGTCTCCTGGGTTCTCTTTCTCTGTGCATTCCAGAACAGCCACGCCTTGGATGCTATGCTTCTGGCGTGCAGAGTCACCCTGCCACCTTGTGGCCATGTTTGGGAACTGTACTTCCTCAGATGTCGGCTTCCTTCCTATGTCTTTCTCAGTATCCAGCAAAGCTGAAATTGGTCACCCTGGATTGCTTCTGCCTTTAGCTTTTTGAACTAATAGGATTTGAAGAGATACTTCATAGCATACACCAAAAGAAGACTTTCTAATAGCTTTAAACAGAAATATATATGCAAGAAATTTCGTTGCCCCTGTAATGACATCTTGACATATTAGATAATGTGTGTTCAAAGCAAGAATAGGTCAATGTTATGTCTCAAAGCTGTTTCAGGGCTGCTCTGAGAGATACTGTACTTTTCCTGGGGATTGGAGTGAGCATTATGTAGTAGACATTAATTTTAGAGCACAGTTCTCTTTTAGGTCACATTCCTTTATTTTTCTATATTGAATTAACTACCTGACTGGTGGGAAAATTAAATCTCAATCATTACTGATACCCTTTCCCACTCCATAGGATAATATAAGAATCCCAGGCTGGTACAGTGCCATAAATTTGGGATGGGGCCCAGTCCACTCCCCACAGTTGGCTCCGTCATGACCACTGCACATTCCGACATGCTGCTGCTGAAGACATGATCCCCAGCAACTAGGCTGTCAGAGGACCCTCCCAGCTGTTCACCCACTGACGACCACCCTGAGAGAGAATGCACCATGTCCATCTACTGTTGGCTTTCTGGAAGAGCTCCCCCAGCTCCCACCTACCCAGGCACAGGTGGGAACGAGGTCTGTGTTTCTGACAGAACACAATCTCTTAAATTCATTCCTTTCCTGTTCTGGAGAATATTCCTGTCCTTTCCCTTTTGGCATAGGCTTTCTTTCACAAAGCCCTGTCTGGATGGGAACTTTTGTAAGTACCTTGAAACTTCAATTTATTACCCTGAAATTCACAAAATTATTAAAAATGGAGTGTGACTCTTGCTAAGGACTCAAAAACTCCAAACATAAAGTTGTCTATGTTATTGGAAGGGAGAAGGGAAAAATACTGATAGTAGCAATAGCAGCAGGAAGAAAGTACAAATTAATATCTCGATGAATCATCATGCCCCATTGTGTTTGATGTAGGCAACAGGCCTAAGGCTTCTGCAGCTAAATCTTCTCTTTACTTGGGCCATCCCTAGCAAGTGAAAGGGTGTTTATTGAGGGTGTTTCCCCACCGGCCCCCCACCCCCCCGCCATGGTCTAAGCACTGTGCTGGGTTCTTGCAAAATGAAGATGACCTCGCAGCCACAATTACAGAATGGTAATCAAGTACTAAGTGCTAGGAGAGGAATACAGCTGGAGTTCTGTGGGAGTGCTAAAGGAAGTTGCTGTAGTCTAAATGTGCCCTCCAAAATTCATGTGTTGGAAACGTAATCCCCAAGGTAACATTATTGAGATGTGTGGCCAAAGGGAGGTGTTTAGGTGATAGGGCTCTGCTCTCATGAATGGATTAATGCCACTATAAAAACAACTCTTGGGAGTGGATTCATGCTCTGCTGTTCTTCTGCCATGTGAGGACACATCAAGAAGGCCCTCACCAGATGCTGGTACCTTGATCTTGGAGACTTTTCAGCCTCCAGAACTGTGAGAAATAAATTTCCATTCTTCGTAAACTACCCAGTCTGTAGTATTTTGTTATAGCAGCACAAAATGGACTAACACAGAAGTGATGATAATTGCAGGAGGAGTTATATATAAGTCAGGAGGTAACCTATATGAGATGATATTTTAGCTGTGCCGTGAGAAAGCATCTGCTTGGTGGGAAAAGAGTGAGGTGCAGTACATTCAGGCAGTGAGAACTGCACCAGTACAAGTGTGGGAATGCTCTGTGGCTGAGAGTGATGCACGTTTTGGAATTATCTGAGGAAATGAGTAAATGTGAACTGGGTTGGAGCCCAATCACATTTGACCTCATTTGAAAAGCCAACAAAATCGTAATTTATTTTTTAGGCCAGCAAATCACAGTCCATTTTCTGTTGCATTATATTCCCATGCGCTTACTTAGGGAAATGTGCCAGTTCCTCAGGGCTAACTGTATTTCTATGTCTTTTTCTTGTGATGAAGAATGTCATTAATCTGGGAACATTGTGGAGGGGAAAGGGGGAGGGAGGAGGGAAAGAGGAGGGGAGGGGAGCAGAAGAGGAAGAAGGGAAAGGGAGAGGAGAAGGAGAGATGAGTTAGTGATTATTGGATTAGGTCAAGCAAGAGGTATTCAGGGGCTGAACTCAGACAATTCATGGGGAATGTGTGGATATAAGACATTTTGGAGACAGAATCCAGGGCTTGTATGTCATAGATTACATGTAGGGAATAAGGGAGAAAATAAAAGATTATAGAATTTTTCAAGTTTAGACAACTGGTGGGATGAAAATCACATTGAGACAGAAGATAAGAGAAGAAGCAGATTTGGAGGCCAAGATAATGAATCATTTGGGGGCACATTTAAGAGCCTGTGGGACTTCTGGATAGGGAGGCAAGGTGCGCTATTGGAAATACGAGTCTAGAGCTTGGGAGAGAAGTTGGTGGTTTTAGTTTTGGGAGACATCAGTGAAGAGAGTTTAGGGAAACCCCAAGAATGGTTGAGATCACCCAGGGAGAGTGAGTAGAGTAAGGAGAAACGTTAAGGTGAAAACTGTGGGGATATACATGTTGATGAGTAGGAGGTTAATGAAAGTATCACCAATGAGACCAGGAAAGAATAGCCAGAGTTGGGAGCAAAACCCAGGAAGAGGGTGGCCGTAGCAGGCAAAGAAAGACAATTTTATTTCTCTTTTCTTTTCTTTCTTTCCTATTTCCTTTTTCTTTATTATTCATTTATTTTTATTAGGAAGACAATTTTAATGTCATAAAGCAAAAGTGTAGGGAGTGAGCAAATCTTTAAAACAGCAGTGACAAGGTGGCTGGTGGCTTCCATGTTAGTGTTAGCTAAGCAGCATAAAGGGAGCTGAGATAGCTGCATCCTGGTAATTAGGTATTAAGGGAGATGAAGAGGTAGAGCTCATAAATATAGGCTATTCCATCAATAAATTTGTGGGAGAAAATAAGGAGATGAGAAGGCAGCTTAGTATTCCAATAAAATATCTTATTTTAGAAGAGAAGACTTGAGTATATTTATAGGCTCAGAGGGAAAAGCCAATGGAAGGGGAGAGATGGAGGTGTGAAAAGGAAGAAATAATCAACGGAACAGTCACCCAAGTGAGGGGAAGGCAATGGGATTAAGTTAAACCTGTGGTTCTTTGTCATTTGGAACCAGTTTTGGGGACTAGTAACCAATTTGGCTTGCTTGAGGACCTACTGAAGTGGGGTAGAAATCCCCTAAGATTTCCCTGGGCCAAAAGATAGCCAGAATAGGAGGTAACCCAAGGTCTCTTAGGGTTATCTGGAAATAGTTTGACCTTCCAGCACCATTGAAATGCTTTTGTAGAGAGCCATATTATTCAAGTTCAAAAAAGAAAAATCACAGAGCATTCATTCTTAGCAGACATTGTATGGGGATACATTTATAGCTATGTTCCAGGGTTTTGTTTCATGTCACAGAAAATGCTTGGCAGCTCTCCAGCTAACTGAATCTGGTTACAGGAAAAAGAAATGATTTTATCCTGTGTCACTGCTTTCATATTCATTAGCATGTAATTAGAAGCAATGGAGGAATTCCTAGATTAGCAGTTTTCATTTAAAAGGTTTTTAAAAAATAATAGCTAAGTCTGTTTAATTTGAAATTCTTTAATTTTAATTATTTTATTTTAGATTCAGGGGGTATATGTGCCTGTTACATGGGTATTACATGTGTAATGGTGGGGGTTGGGCTTCTAGTGTACCCATCAACCAAATATTGGACATTGTACTCAGCAAGTAATTTTCAGTCCTTCCCTCTGTGGAGTCCCCAGACTTCATATGATAGCTTTGTTTTTCTCCATCTTTATGTTCATGTGTGCCATTTGGTTAGCTCCCACTTATAAGTGAGAACATGCAATGTTTGATTTTTTTTGCTTTTGTGTTAGTTCCTTAAGATAATGGCCTCCAGTTCCATCCATGTTGCTGCAAAGGACATGATTTCATTCTTTTTTATGGCTTCATAGTATTCCATGGGGTATCTATGCCATATTTTCTTTACCCATTCAACTGTTGGTGGACATTTAGGTTGGTTCCATGACTATGCTATTGTAAATAGTGCTGCAATAAACATATGAGTGCAGGTGTCTTCTGTTTTTATTTTTTTAATCTGTCGCAGGCTTTAAAAATTAAATTTTAATTTGTGTGGGTACCTAGTAGGTTTATATATTTGTGGGGTACATGAGAGGTTTCAGTACAGCCATGCAATGTGTAATAATCACATCATGTAAAATGAGGGATCTCTACCATCAAACATTAATCCTTTGTGTTATAAACAATCTAACTATACTCTTTTAGTTATTTAAAAATGTACAATTATTATTAACTGTAGTTACCCTGTTGTGCTAGCAAATACTAGGACTTATGAATACTTTCTACTTTTTTGTACCCATTAACCATCCCCACCTTATCCTCCTGCCACTCTTCTAGCCTCTGATAGCCAGCCACCCTTCTACTATCTATGTCCATGAGTTCGATTGCTTTGAATTTTAGGTCCCACAAATAAATGAGAGCATGCAATGTTTGTCTTTCTGTGCCTGGTTTATTTCACATAGCATAATGACCTCCAGTTCCATCCATGTTTTTGCAGATGACAGGATCTCATTCTTTTTTATGGCTGAATAGTACTCTATTGTGTATAAGTACCACATTTTCTGTGGCACATATACACCATGGAATACTATGCAGCCATAAAAAATGATGAGTTCATGTCCTTTGTAGGGACATGGATGAAGCTGGAAACCATCATTCTCAGCAAACTATCGCAAGGACAAAAAACCAAACACCGCCTGTTCTCACTCATAGGTGGGAATTGAACAATGAGAACACATGGACACAGGAAGGGGAACATCACACACCGGGGACTGTTAGGGGGTGGGGGGAGCGGGGAGGGATAGCATTAGGAGATATACCTAATGCTAAATGACGAGTTAATGGGTGCAGCACACCAACATGGCACATGTATACATATGTAACAAACCTGCACATTGTGCACATGTACCCTAAAACTTAAAGTATAATAATAATAATTAAAGAAAAATTTAAAAAAGTATCACATTTTCTTTATCCACGCATCTGTGATGGACACTTAGGTTGCTTCCAAATTGTGGATATTATGAACAGTGCTGCTACAAACATGGGAGTGTAGATTTCTCTTTCATGTACTGATATCTTTTTTTTTAAGGTATATACCCAGCAGTGGGATTGCTAGATCATATGGTAGCTCCATTTTTAGTTTTTTTTGGAACCTCCCAACTGTTCTTCGTAGTTATTGTACTAATTTACAATCCCAGCCAACAGTGTTCCCTTTGCTCCACATCCTTGCCAGCATTTATGATTCCCTGCCTTTTGAATGAAAGCCATTTTAACTGGAATGAGGTGATATCTCACTGTAGTTTTGATTTGCATTTCTCTGATGATCAATGATGTTGAACACCTTTCCATAGAGTTATTTCTTAACTTTGTTGATTGTTTCCTTTGCTGTACAGAAGCTTTTTAACTTGATGCAATCCCATTTATCCATTTTTGCTTTGGTTGCCAGTGCCTGTGGGGTATTACTGAATAAATTTTTGCCCAGGCCAATGTCCTGAAATGTTTCCCTGATGTTTTCTTGTAGTAGTTTCATAGTTTGAGGTTTTAGATTTAAGTCTTTAATCTATTTTGATTAGATTTTTGTAAAAGGCAAGAGATAGGGATCTAGTTTCATTCTTCTGCATATGGATTTCCAGTTTTCCCACCACCATTTATTGAAGAGACTATCTTTTCCTCAGTGTATGCTCTTGGCACCTTTGTCCAAAATGAGTTCACAATAAGTGTGTGGATTGTTTCTGGGTTCTCTATTCTGTTCCACTGGTGTATGCATCTGCTCTTATGCCAGTATCATGGTGTTTTGGTTAGTGCAGCTCTGTAGCATAATTTGAAGTCAGATAATGTGATTCTTCCAGTTTTGCTCTTTTTGCTTAGGATCATTTTGGCTATTCTGGGTCTTTTGAGGTTCCATATAAATTTTAGGATTTTTTTCTATATATGTGAAGAATGTCATTGGTATTTTGATAGGGATTGCACTGAATTTGTAGATTGCTTTGGGTAGTATGAACATTTTAGCAATGTTGATTTTTCCAATCCACGAATATGAAATATCTTTCCATTTTTTGGTGCCTTCTTCAATTTAGTTCATTAGTGCTTTGTAGTTTTCATTATAGAGATCTTTTCCTTCTTTAATTCCTGGATATTTAATTTTATGTGTGGCTATTATAAATGGTATTACTTTTTTGATTTTTCAGATTGTTTACTGTTGTCATGTAGAAATGCTGATTTTTGTATGTTGATTTTGTATCCTGCAACTTTATAGAATTTATCAGTTCTAATAGTTTTTTTTTGGTGGAATCTTTAGGTTTTCCAAATATAAGATCATATCATCCACAAATAAGGATAATTTGACTTCTTCCTTTCCAATTTGGATGCCCTTTATTTCTTTCTCTTGTCTGATTGCTCTAGCTAGGACTTCCAGTATTATGTCAAATAACAGTGGTGAAAGTGGGCATTCTCATTGTGTTCCAAATCTTACAGGAAAGGCTTTAAGTTTTTCCTCATTTAGTAGGATACTAGCTATGGGTCTGTTATATATGGCTTTTATTATGTTGAGGTATGTTCCTCTATACCCATTTTTTTAGAGTTTTTATCATGAAGGGATGTTGAATTTTATTAAATGCTTTTTCAGCATCAATTGAAATGATCATATAGTTTTTGTTTTTCCTTCTCTTGATATGATATACCACACTGACTGATTTGCATATGTTGAACCATCCTTGCATCCCAGGAATAAATCCCACTTGGTTATAATGAATGATCTTTTTAATGTATTGTTGAATTCCATTTGGTAATATTTTGTTGAGGACCTTTGCATCAATATTCATCAGAGATATTGGGCTACAGTTTTCTGTTTTTAATATGTCTTTGTCTGGTTTTGGTATCAGGCAATTCTGGCATTATAGAATGAATTTGGAAGGATTCTGTCCTCTATTTTTTGGAATAGTTTGAGAGTTTGAGTAGGATTGGTATTGGTTCTCCTTTAAATGTTTGGTAGAATACAGCAGTGAAGCCATTGAGTTGCAAGCTTTTCTTTACTAGAAGACTTTTTTTTTTTTTTTTTTTTTTTTTTGAGATAGAGTCTCACACTGTCACCCCAGCTGGAGTGCAGTGGCATGATCTCAGCTCACTGCAACCTCTACCTCCTGGGTTCAAGTGATTCTCTGGCCTCAGGCTCCCAAGTAGCTGGGATTACAGGCATCTGCCACCATGCCCAGCTAATTTTTTGTATTTTTAGTAGAGACGGGGCTTCACCATGTTGACCAGGCTGGTCTTGAACTCCTGACCTCGTGATTCGCCTGCCTCAGCCTCCCAAAGTGCTGGGATTACAGGCGTGAGCCACTGTGCCCAGCCTGGGAGACTTTTTATTATGGCTTCAATCTTGTTACTTGTCTGTTCAGGTTTTGGATTTCTTCATGGTTCAATCTTGGTAGGTTGTATGTGTCTAGAAATTTATCAATTTCTTCTAGATGTTTCAATTTATTGGCATATAGTTGCTCATAGCAGCCACTAATGATCCTTTGAATTTCTGCAGTATCAGTTGTAATGTCTTCTTTTCGTGTCTGATTTTATTTATTTGGATCTTCTCTCTTTTTTCTTAGTCTGGCTAAAGGTTTCTGAATTTTGTTTAGCTTTTCAAAAAACCAACTTTTTGTTTCATTGATATTTTGTATTCTTCATTTCAAATTTATTTCCGTTCTGATCTTTATTTCTTTTCTTCTACTAATTTTGGGTTTGGCTTGCTCTTGTTCTTTAAAATGCATTATTAGGTTGTTTATTTGAAATTTTTCTTGTTTTTTGATGTAGGCACTTATAGCTATAAACTTCCCTCTTAGTATTGTTTTTGCTGTGTCTCACAGGTTTTGGTATGGGACTTATGTGTTTCCATTATCATTTGTTTCAAGAAAATTTTCAATTTCCTTCTTAATTTCTCCGTAGACCCATTGGTCATTCAGGAGCATATTGTTTAATTTCCATGTATTTGTATCGTTTCCAAATTCCTCTAGTTTTATTCCATTGTGGTAAGAGAAGATGCTTGATATTATCTCAGTTTTTTGAATGTTTTAAGACTTGTTTTTTGACCTAACATATGGTCTATTCATGTGCTGGGGAAAAGAATGTGTATTCTGCAGCTGTTGGATGAAATGTTCTGTAAATATACATTAGGTCCATTTGGTCTATAGTGCAGATTAAATCTGATGTTTCTTTATTGATTTTCTGTCTGGAAGATCTGTCCAATATTGAAAGTGGGGTGTTGAAGTAGAGCACTCCACTTATTATTAGCTATTATTGTACTGGGGCCTGTCTCTTTAGCTCTCATATTTGCTTTATATATCTGGGTTCTCTAGTGTTGGGTGCATATGTATTTAAAGTTGTTATATCCTCCTGCTGAATCGACCCCTTTATCATTATATGGTGACCTTCTTTGTCTCCTCTTACAGTTTTTGTCTTGAAATCTATTTTGTCTGATATAAGTATAGTGATTCCTGCTCTTTTTCAGTTTTCATTGGCATGGAATATCTTTTTCCATCCCTTTATTTTCAGTCCATGTGCATCTTTATAGATGAATAGTGTTTCTTGTAGGCAACAGATCACTGGGTCTTGCTTTTTCATCCATTCTGCCAGCCTGCATCTTTTGATTGGAGAGTTTAGTCCATTTGCATTCAGTGTTACCATTGTTAAGAACTTACTCCTGCCATTTTGTCATTTTCTTGTTGTTTTATGGTCTTCTCTTCCTTCTTTCATTCCTTCCTGCCTTCCTTTTAGTGAAGGTAATTTTTTTCTGGTGATATGATTTAGTTTCTTGCATTTTATCTTTTGTGTATCTGTTGTATGTTTTTTTATTGGAAGTTACCATGAGGCTTGCAAATACTATCTTATAACCCATTATTTTAAGCAGAAAACAACACTATTTGCATAAACAAACAAGCAAAAAGAAAACTGATAAAGATTCTATGCCTTTACTCTGTCTTCCTGTTTTTAAACTTTTTGTTGCTTCTCTTTATATCTTACTGTACTGTCTACATTTTGAAAAGTTGTTGTTATTATTTTTGGTCAGTTCATCATTTAATCTTTCTACTTAAGACTAGTTTACACACCACAGTTAGAATGTTATGTATGTTTCTCCTTGTACTTACTGTTACCAGTGAGTTTTACACCTTCAGATGATTTCTTATTGTTCATTAACATCCTTTTCTTCCTAATTGAAGTACTTCCTTTAGCATTTCTTGTTGGACAGGTCTGGTGTTATTGAAATCTTTCAGCTTTCGTTTGTCTGGGAAAGTCTTTATTTTTCCTTTATCTTTGAAGGATATTTTTGCTAGATATACTATTCTATGGTAAAAGTCTTTTTTTCCCCAGCACTTTAAATATGTCATGCCATTCTCTCCTGACCTGTATGGTTTTCACTGAAAAGCCTGCTGCCTGATGTATTGGAGCCCCATTGTATTTTATGTTAGTTGTTTCTTTTCTCTTGCTGCTTTTAGGCTCTTTTCTTTATCTTTGACCTTTGAGAGTTTGATTATTAAATACCTTGAGGTAGTCCTCTTTGGGTTAAATCTGCTTGGTGTTCTATAACCTTCTTGTACTTGAATATTCATATCTTTCTCTAGGTTTGGGAAGTTCTCTGTTATTACTCCTTTGAATAAACTTTCTACCCTTGTATCTCTCTTTCCATCTCCTCTTTATGGCCAATAACTCTGCCTTTTAAAGACTATTTTCTAGATATTTTAGATGTGCTTCCTTGTTTTCTATTATTTTTTCTTTTATCTCCTCTTACTGTATTTTCAAATAGCCTGTCTTCAAGCTGCCTAATTCTTTCTTCTCTTGATTAATTCTGCTGTTAAGAGACTCTAATGCATTCTTCAGTATGTCAATTGTAGTTTTTCAACTCCAGAATTTCTGCTTGTTTCTTTTTAATTATTTCAATCTCTTTGTTACATTTATCTGATAGGATTCTGAATTCTTCGTGTTATCTTGAATTTCATCGAGTTTCCTCAAAACAGCTATTGGATTTTCTGTCTGAAAGGTTACATATTTCTGTCTCTCTCAGATTGACCCCTGAGGGCTTATTTAGTTTGTTTGGTGAGGTCATGTTTTCCTGTATGGTCTTCATGCTTGTGGATGTTTGTCTGTGTCTGGACATTGAAGAATTAGGTATTTATTGTAGTCTTCACTCTCTGGGCTTTTTTGTATTCATTCTTCTTGGGAAAGCTTTCCAGGTATTTGAAGGGATTTGGGTGTTGTGATCTAAGCGTTTGGTCACTGAAGCCGTATCTGCATTAGGACACATCCCATGCCCAGTAATAATGCTGTGGCTCTTGCAGACTTAGGTGCCACCTTGGTGGTCTTGGATAAAATCTGGAAGAATAATCTGGATTACCAGGCAGAGACTCTTGCTCTCTTTCCTTACTTTCTCCAAAACAAAAGGAGTCTCTCTCTCTCTCTCTGTGCTGAGCAGTCTGGAAGTGGAGGACACATGACATAAGCACCCCTGTGGCCACCACCATTGGGACTCTGATGGTCAGACCTGGAACCAGCACAACACTGGGCCTCATTCAAGGCCCACTGTAGCCGCTACCTGGGTACTGCCTATGTTTGCTCAAGAACCTTGGGCTCTGTGATCAGCAGGTAGTGAAACCAGCTAAACTTGTGTCCTTCTCTTCAGTGCGCTGAGTTTCCCTGAGCCATGGGAAGGTCCAGACATGTTCTCTGGGAGACAGAGCCTGGAGTCAGAAATCTACCTGGTACTTTATTCTACTGTGGCAGAGCTGGCACCTAAACCACAGGGGCCCACTTAGGGCTTGACCCTTTTGTGACAGAGCTGGTATCTAAGCTGCAAGACAAGCCCCCTTTACCTTTCCCTCTGCTTTTATCAAGCAGAAGGAGTCTCTCCTTGTAGCTACCACAGGTGGCAATGTGCTGGATCAAACCTGAAGCCAGCATGTCTCAGAGTCATGCAAGGCCCACAGCACATATTACCTGGTTGTTGCTACAAATTTTTCAGGGCCCAAGGGCTTTTTAGTCAATAGGTGATGAATCCTGCCAGGACTGGGTTCTTCCCTTCAAGGCAGCAGGCTCCCTTCTGGCCCAAGCTTGCCTAGAAATGATGACCAGGAACTAGGCCCTAGAATGGGGGGCCTCCGGACTCTGTCTTGTGCCCTATCCTATTGTAACTGAACTTGTATCCAATTTGTAAGACAAAATTGTCTTTACTCTTCTCTCTCCTCTCCTGAGGCAGAAGGAAGGAGTCTTTTTTGGAGCTGTGAGCTGCACTGCCTGGAGTTGGGGGAGGGCTGACTGGCACAAGCACTCTCTTAGTTGCCCCAGCCAGTGTCTCGCTGGGTCATGTGTCCCCCAAAATCCACTGGTTCTGAGCCCAGCACAGCATTAGGATTTGCTTAGGAGTTGCAGTCGTTGTGGCATAGATTGCCTTTCAAATTTATTTAGGACCCCAGAGCACTTTAGCTTGTGGTGGCGAGGCTTGCTGAAATTCAAGTTCTGACTGCTTGGATGGGTGATTTCCCTCTGATTAGGGCTCATCTAAATGCTCCATCCATGGGCACTGGCTGAGTTCTGTCTGGTGTTGCTTTCTGCTGTGATAGGGCAGCACTGAGTTCCAATGCAAAGTCCCACAATCACTATGCTCTCCCTCCCTCAAGTGCACAGATTCTTTACCTCATGTGGCCACTGTCGGGGTGGGAGAGGGGTGGCATTGGCAGTTCAAGACTGTCTTTCCTACCCTCTTTAGTGCCTCTTTCAGTGATATGAAGTTAAAACCAGGTACTCTGATTGGTCACCCGATTTTTCATTCTTATGTAGGTGCTTTTTTGTGTGGATAGTTGTTCCATTTGATGTTCCTGAAGGGAGGATGGTTGGTGGAGGCTTCTATTGGCCATCTTGTGCTGCCTCCACTTCCACAGGTATCTTTTTGATATGATGATTTATTTTTCTCTTGGTAGACATTTCCATATTTTTTTCCATAGATATTGAACTAATTTACATTCCCACCAACAATATGAGTTTTCCCTTTTCTCTGCATCCATTCCAACATCTGTTGTTTTTGACTTTTTAGTAATAGTCATTCTGACTGGTGTAAGATGGTATCTCAGTGTGGTTTTAATTTGCATTTTTTTCTTTTTCTTTTTCTTTTTTTTTTTGAGACGGACTTTTGCTCCTGTCACCCAGGCTGGAGTGCAATGGTGTGATCTCGGCTCACTGCAACCTCTGCCTCCTGGGTTCAAGTGATTCTCCTGCCTTAGCTTCCCTAGTAGCTGGGATTACAGGCACCTGCCACCATGCCTGGCTAATTTTTGTATTTTTAGTAGAGATGGGGTTTCACCATGTTGGCCAGGCTGGTCTCAAACTCCTGACCTTAGATTATCTGCCTACCTTGGCCTCCCAGAGTGCTGGGATTACAGGCATGAGCCACCGTGCCTGGCCTAATTTGCATTTTTCTGATAGTGATGTTGAACTTTTTTTTCATGTGGTTTGTTAGCTGTTTGCATTTCTTCTTTTAAGAAGTGTACATATCATTTGCCTATTTTTAATGGTGTTGGTTGTTCTTAAAATAAAAAACATTTTTATCTAACTTTATTATGTCTACCCAGTAAGTAAATTGTAAACATTTCAAATAATGAGATTCTTTTATGTTTATCCCTTCAGTGCCCTCCACATCAGATGCATTCAACAAAAATCTATTGCTTTGGTTTGGATGAAAATGCCTGTAATCTTTCTATTTGCCCTATTATGTGTTGGTAATCATTAGTGAATCAGAATGTTCTTCAGATTACTTTTGAGGCCAACATTATATTTTCTTGAGTTTTAAACTTGTGAAAGGGTTAAGGGGATGAATTGGCTGTTGTGAAAACAGCAGTTACTCTGAAAGATTATTATTATTTTTTCTTAAACTTTTATTTTTATTTTAAATTCAGGGGTACATGTACAAGATGTGCAGGTTTGTTATATAGATAAATGTGTGTCATGATGGTTTGCTGCACAAATCATCCCATCACCTACGTATTAAGCCCAGCATCCATTAGCTGTTCTTCCTGATGCTCTCCCTCCTCCCACCCCACCCTCCAACAGGCCCCAGTGTGTGTTGTTTCTCCCCATGTGTCCATATGTTCTCATCATTCAACTCCCACTTACAAGTGAGAACATGTGGTGTTTGGTTTCCTGTACCTGCATTAGTTTGCTGAGGATAGTGGCTTCCAAGTCCACCCATGTCCCTGCAAAGGATATGATCTTGCTCCTTTTTATGGCTGCATAGTATTCCATGGTGTATATGTACCACATTTTCTTTATCCAGTCTATCATTGATGGGCATTTAGGTTGACTCCATGTCTTTGCTATTGTGAATAGTGCTGCAATGAACATACGTATGCAGGTATCTTTATAATAGAATGATGTATATTCCTTTGGGTGTATACCAAGTAATGGGATTGCTGGGTCAAATGGTATTTCTGCCTCTAGGTCTTTGAGGAATCACCACACTGTCTTCCACAATGGTTGAACTAACTTACACTCCCACCAGTAGTGTAAAAGCATCCCTTTTCCTCCACAACCTTGCCAGCACCTGTTGTTTTTTGACTTTTTAATAACAGCCATTCTGACTGGCACGAGGTGATGTCTCACTGTGGTTTTGATTTGCATTTCTCTAATAATCAGTGATGTTGAGCTTTGTTTCATGTTTGTTGGTTGCATGTATGTCTTCTTTTGAGAAGTGTCTATTCATGTCTTTTGCCCACTTTTTAATGGGGTTGTTTGCTTTTTTTCTTGCAAATTTGTTTAAGTTCCTTGTAGACTCTGGATATTAGACCTTCATCGGATGGATAGATTGCAAAAATTTTCTTCCATTCTGTAGCTTATCTCTTCCCTCTGATAATTTATTTTGCTGTGCAGAAGCTCTTTAATTAGATCCCATTTGTCAATTTTTGCTTTCGTTGCAATTGCTTTTGGCATTTTCATCATGAAATCTTTGCCAATGCCTATATCCTGAATTCAATGCCTATATCCTGTATTGCCTAGATTTTCTTCCAGAGTTTTTATAGTTTTGGGTTTTACATTTAAGTCTTTACTCTATCTTGAGTTAATTTTTGTCTATGGTTTAAGGAAGGGTTCCCATTTCAATATTCTACATATGGATAGCCAGTTTTCCCAGCACCATTTATTAAATAGGGAATCCTTTCCCCATTGCTTTTTTTTTGTCAGATTTGTTGAAGATCAGATGGTTGTAGGTGTGCAGTCTTATTTCTGAGATGTCTATTCTGTTCCATTGGTCTATGTGTCTGTTTTTGTACCAGTACTGTGCTGTTTTGGTTACTGTAGCCTTGTAGGATAGTTTGAAGTTGAGTAGCGTGATACTTCCAGCTTTGTTCTTTTTGTTTAGGATTGTCTTGGCTATTCAGGCTCTTTTTGGTTCCATTTGAATTTTAAAATAGTTTTTTTCTAATTCTGTAAAGAACATCAATGGTAGTTTAATAGGAATAGCATTGAATCTATAAACTACTTTGGGCAGTATGGCCATTTTCATGATATTGATTCTCCTATCCAAGAGCATGGAATGTTTCTCTATTTATTTGTGTCCTCTCTGATTTCTTTGAGCAGTGGTTTGTAGTTCTACTTGAAGAGGTTCTTCGCTTCCCTTGTTAGCTGTATTCCTAGGTATTTTATTCTTTTTGTGGCAATTGTGAGTGGCAATTCATTCATGATTTGGCTCTCTGCTTGCCTGTTGTTGGTGTATAGGAATGCTTGTGATTTTTGCATGTTGGTTTTGTATCCTGAGACTTTGCTGGGAAAGATTATTTAAAAAGCAACATATCTTTTTCATTTGAAAGAAAGTTAATTAGGATTTTTAAAAGTCAAATTGATACTGTAAACACAGAGGTTTATTGCCTGTTATATTATTGATGATTTAAAGCATGGAGTTTGACTTTTTGTTTTGAGATGGAGTCTCACTCTGTTGCCCAGACTGGAGTGCAGGGGCGTGATCTTGGCTTACTGCAACCTCCACCTCCCAGGTTCAAGTGATTCTCCTGCCTCAGCCTCCTGAGTAGCTGGCATTACAGGCATCTGCCACCATGCCCAACTAATTTTTGTATTTTTAGTAGAGATGGGGTTTCACCATGTTGGCCAGGCTGGTCTCAAACTCCTGACCTCAAATGATCCACCCGCTTTGGCCTCCCAAAGTGCTGGGATTACAGGCATAAGCCACTGCACCTGGCCTTGTTGTTCTTTACTTGTCCCAAACAGACAGAGCTTTAAAGTCAGAAGAATTAAAATTGTTTTGGACCCTTGAGTCACTGGGGCCCTTTAGAGGCTGGGCATCTTTTCACTATTGCTATATTCAGGGTCAGTTTTTAATCTGCAATGAGAAACCTACTGTTATGGTTTGAGAGTTTGTGTCTCCCCAAGTACATGTGTTGAAATCCTAACCCTCAAGATGATGGCATTAGGAAGAGGTGATAAGGTCATGAGGGCAGAACCTTCATAAATGGGAATAGTGCTAAGGCCTTCATAAAATAGGGCTAAGGCCTTCTGCTATCTTCTTTGTACCTTCTACACAGGGAGAAGGTACCATCTATGAATCAGGAAACAGAACTTCACCAGATACCAGATCTGCTGGCACTTTGATCTTGGAACTTTCCAGACTCCATAACTGCAAGAAATAAATTGCTATTGTTTTTAAGCCGCTAGCTTATGGCATTTTGTTACAGCAGTCTGAATGGACAAAGACACTTACATGTTGCAAATGGGAAAATTTGGGGATAGGAAACGGATGGGTTTTTAAGGAAGGAGCTTCTCGGGGAAATAGTAGTGGGAGCACAATTTATTATTGGAGGTCTTTCAGTCTGTGATTACCTTTGGAATTATTAGGATTTCTCATGGACATCTTATTCATCAAGGACATAAAATTTGAACTTTTGATCTAATGTCTAAATGTGTCTCTATATACATGCATATTGATACTGTAAGTCAAAAAGGTGTACACATAATACACGTAATCTATGAACATCATAGTTTACCCTACCATAC
Organism: Homo sapiens; assembly: GCF_000001405.40. Lineage (NCBI taxonomy): Eukaryota > Metazoa > Chordata > Mammalia > Primates > Hominidae > Homo > Homo sapiens. The sequence continues at coordinate 61,854,029 of NC_000014.9, forward strand.
TTTAAATATGCTCAGAACACTTGCTTTAGCCTATATATATTAGGTTGATACACACACACCCCCACCCCAATATGTGTATGTGTACATACACATATGCACATACACACATGTATACATGTATATATACTTTTTCCAGAGATATACTTGTGAGATTGAAAGAAGGTATTAGTATTCATTATGCAACTTTAAACTTGGGTTCTAGATCACACCACTGTGAATTAAGGTATTTATATATCTAGTGATTATCTTGTAAATAATATAATTTTGCCACTTTTTTCAAAAGGGGCTAATTTGTTGAATGAAAAAATTTAAAATATACTCCAATGATGTTAAAATCTCTTCTGGCATTTCCTAATTTTTATTATACTAACTTTACCTAGTTTTAATCATACTACACACACACGCGCGCACGCGCGTGCACATGCTTATACCTCTCTCGGAGATCCTTGTCACTATTACTATAGTAAGAAATAGTAAGTGGATTGGCTTTTGCTTGTGCCTTTCCTTTTTTCACATGTTCAATGTTTATAATGTCACTGCTCTGGTTTGCCAACCCAGAAAGTCAGCCCATCTGGGAGTCCTTCTTGTGCATTTGTTTAGGGAGAAAACTGGTTTCCTTGGACTCCTTTGACCAATTTAGCAAAGTGAGGAAAGAGAGGAACCCAACATTGATTGCCTCCCTAGAAACATACGCATCACTCGTGGTTATTCTATCTTGTGTATATATGTGTGTATACATTCATATGGAGCAGCAGTTTTTTGCAGTGTGTTTTTCTCCACACTTACCTAAAGTTTATAAAAACTGTTGCTTATTCTTTTTTTTTTTCCCACTAGCTTAGCCCATGGCATGCACAGTGAATATTTCCACCACTCCCACCCTGCCTCTATATATAGAAGAGGACTTGTGGGATCTTTCTTTTGCTTGTCTCATATTAGTGAAAATCTAGCACCTTGGGTTTTTCTCTCATCACACTTGCTTGTATAGGAAATGGGGAAGCAAGGTTATATGAGTACCTTATCTACAAGGACTGAGATAAATTTATTGATTGTTAGCTTGGTGTCCAAAAAGTTTTTCTCTTTTTGTCATTCATTAACTACAAATCAAAGACAGAGTCCTTCAAGTCAAAAGGTGACTTAGGGCATATTTACATTTTCAGAATCTATTTAATGCTATCTGAGTCCAAGTTAATTTCCTAAGGAAGGTAAGGAACAAGTTTATCTTGCACCTATTGGTGGATTAATTAGACTATAATTTTGCATGGAACTACAGATGTATACAGATGCTCCTTGACTTATGATGGGGTTGTGTCCTGATCAACCCATCGTAAGTTGAAAATAATTGTAAGTCGAAAATGTGTTTAATACACATAACCTGCCAAACATCATAGTTTAGCCTACACTACCTTTAATATGCTCACAACACTTATACTGGCCTAGAGTTGGGCAAACTTATCTAGCACAAAACCTATTTTATAATAAATTATTGAATATCTCATGTAATATATTGAATACTGTACTGAAAGTGAGAAACAGGATGGTTTTGTGGGTACTCAAAGTATGGTTTCTACTGAATACATATTGCTTTTGCACCACTGTAATGTTGAAAAAAATCTTGAGTTGAACCATCCTAAGTTGGGGACTATCTGTATGTGTATTTAATAGGATGACTATTAAACTACTAGAAACTATTATAAAAAATTTACCATCATAAGAGTAGAGTGGTAATTATGTTGTTATTTATTTATCAGTTATAATGCCTAGGCAAAGTTTTTCTACTTCTTCATGATTAGGGAGCAGAATCCAACAGACCCATGAAAGAGGGTCCAGTCCTTTTGTAATAAACCTGAATGGTTTGAATAAATCTAAACTGACTCAGCTGAAAAAAAGACTCTTACAAGTAACATTTAAAATTAACATGTGAATTTTATATCTTCCCATTCAAATGTTATCTCCAATGTCTGCAAAGGGATATAAAAAGGAGGAGCCAGGAGTGTATGTGGTGTGGTTGAGGGATGGCGGGGGGTCAGTCCACCTGGAGCAGAGCGAGTGGAAGGGAGTGCAGGAGGAGGGAGGTTAGAGAAATGATGGACAGCCAGATGTGACGGGATGGCCCCTGGAAACTGGCAGGAAGGCTTTGGATTTTACTTTGAATGAGATCTGAAGCTATGAAGAGTTTTGATAACAGAATAATGTTATCTAACACATACATCTCAACAGGATTGCTCTGGCTGCTGCTTTGACGGTCAACTAAAGATGGGTGACAGTGGCATCAGGTAGAATGTAGACAACAGATGATGGCAGCAGGGGAGTAGCAGTGGAAATGGTGAGAATAGTCAGATTTTGGAGATATACACACACTTATCTCCAATATAATATTTTATACATATGCACATATACTATTTAATACATACATACTATTTTGAGGATAGAACAGACAGGATTTGCAGACAGACTGAAGTATGAGAGATACTGAAGATCATTCTAAAGTTTTTGCCCTGAGAAACTGGAGGGCAGGAGATGCCATAAATTTAGAGGGGAAGACTGTGGAAGGAGCGGGTTTGGGCGGGTGAGGGTTGGGGATGAGTGGAGATCAGGAATTTCGTTTTGGGAACACCAAGTCTGAGATGTCTATTAAACATCCTATTGGAGATATTGAATAAGCAGTTAGGTGTTTGAGTCTGGAGATCAAAGGAAAGATCTGGGCTTGATATAGAAATATGGGAGTCATCAGCATTTGGGAGATGTTAAACACCATGATTTGACATCACCAATGGAGTAAGCATAGGCATGGGAGACATGTGGCCAAGGACCCAGAGTTTAGGGAGGAAGACCTAGCAGGGATGAGAAGGAGCGGTCAATGAGGTAGGAGGAAACACACGATATTTAATATCCTAGAAGCCAAGAAAAATCTGCTTCAAAAAAGAGAATGATCAACCATGTCAAATGTGGTTAAGTTAGATGAGGATCATCTTAGTTTGGGTTCTCTAAGGCAGAGATGGTGGACAAGGTATTTATTTGGGAGATGATCCCAGGAACAGGAATGAGAGAGCAGAGAAGTGAGATAGTGAAAGAAGAAAGCCAATAAAGGGTGTGTTATTGAGATGGTTGCTCCAGACTGTGGGGTCAGCTCCACTGAGACATCTAAGAAGGATGTAAAGCGCCAGCCACAATTTTCTGCTCAGACAATGGGAAGCTGGGACATGTGTCTGGTCCCCCTTGGTTGAGGGTTTTCTTGAGAGTGTTAACTCTTCTCTACTTCTGGGATTTGCAAGCTCTTGTGGGAGAAACCTTGAGGCTGAAAGCAGAGAGAGATGAGGTGGGTGCTTGTTAAGGAATGCTGTTAATGAGCACGGAACCAACTGCAGCTATGACTGAAATTAGAGGTGGGCCCAGGGAACATGACATGTACCATAGAAAGTGTCTACTTCGAAGATTGACAGTTGACTGCCAGAGTTTACAAAGTGAGTTTCCCTAGTGACCTTGAGAAAGCAATGTAATGGAGTGGTGGGGTAAGCCTGGCTGGAGTTGGTTAAGGAAGAGGGGCTGGAAAGAGCATATAGACAGTACTAAAGGAGAGTGCAGTCAAGAGGCTGGAGGGGAAGTGGGAGCAAGAGATTTTCTTCTTAAGATGGGAGAAATAATAGCATGTACAGTGATAGGAATAACTCAGTAGAAAGGGAAAAATCTCTGATGCAGGAGAGAAAGAATTGATGGAACAGTGTCTTTGAGTAGAAGAGAGGTTGGAATCCAGTGCATAAATGGAGGATTTGACCTAAGATGGGAACACAAGCAATTCATCTCTAATAAAAGGGAAGAAAGAGTATATGGAAGGAAAGTTTGGTCCCTTCTGATTGTCTGTCTGTCTGTCTGTCATTTTGACAGGGGGAAAAAACATTCAAAATTTATTTTCCAGCAGACAGCATCAGTGGATAAAACTACAGGGGTTTCTCTGTAGATCATACATTCACAAGACATTATCATCTCAACAGTGAGAAAGCCACTGTTGTGTTCTCCGTAACAGTATCCACTTCACAGTGTAAGCATGTACTATTGTGTTCACTTACAATTCCAGAAGGAAAGGCACAGCTTGGCAAAAAAAAAAAAAAAAAAAAAAAGAAAGAAAAAAAGAAAAAAAAAATTGGGGAATCCTAAAGTCAAGGTGCAATAACTAAGAGACAAAACTTGGCAAACAGTCTTAGGTCCACATTTCAATCAGGGCCTTCCGCATACAGGGGAAAGACTTTTCCACCCAGAAGTTAGGATCTTTCTTTCTCCTTTCCCGTTAAGCCATTAGAGGAACAATAATTCATATGCTCAATGTTATTACATGTACAAAAGGAGATTATAAAAAAATGGAATAAAAAGATCATCTTGAACATTCAGTTCTTCCCACCAATACATCAACTCTTAAGTTTAAGACAGGGCCTGGGAATACTTCAGTGGTCTTAAAATAGGAAAGCAGAGACTATGACTACAACAAATAAAAAATAAATGAGGTAGATAAAATAAAGCTTTCACACCCAGGATTTGCCTGTTCCAACTTCCTAGGCTTCATGAAATACCCAGGAAAAAAAATCTTCATAATTACTTGGCATAAGTCGCACCAAGGAAATTAAACAAAAAAATTAGTACGTGAACTTGTGATAGGAAACGTGTCCTTCCATAAGTTTCTTCTCAAGAATGAAAAACTAGTTTTTCAATAGAGTAGGCACTGATACAGGGGTTAAGAAGAAATCACTTAGGCAGATAGTAAGGTTATGGGAGTCCTCGGTAAGGCTTTTTAATGAAAAGCAGCCCCAAATCATTTTCTTTTTTCTTTTCTTTTCTTTTCTTTTTTTTTTTTTGAGACGGAGTCTCACTCTGTTGCCCAGGCTGGAGTGCGGCTGTGCGATCTCGGCTCACTGCAACCTCCGCCTCCTGGGTTCACGCCATTCTCCTGCCTCAGCCTCCCGAGTAGCTGGGACTACAGGCGCCCACCACTACGCCCGGCTAATTTTTTTTTTTGTATTTTTAGTAGAGACGGGGTTTCACCATGTTAGCCAGGATGGTCTTGATCTCCTGACCTCATGATTCGCCCGCCTCGGCCTCCCAAAGTGTTGGGATTACAGGCGTGAGCCACCGCGCCCGGCCAGCCCCAAATCATTTTCTAACAAAGAGCAGCCTGTAAAGTCGAGCTGCAGACGTAGACAGCCAACCTGGGAGCTTGCGCTAGTGAATGCTGGCGGGAACTAGGGACTAGACATGTTGGCTCCATCTTCCTTTAGGTGCCAGCCATGTGTACAGTAAAGAGCGACAAGATGGCGGCCAGACACGGAGAGTTCATTAGCATAATAAGATTAGGGTGGGGTGACCGGATTTGGGCGTGCTATGTAAACTTCACATTTGATTAAACCAATCTGTGAGCCCTACCTACCTAAATCAGACACCACCTCCTCAAGCTTTACTATACAATCCGGCACATCCACAGCCAGCCCATCTTTTCCGCTCGGAAAACCCCTCTCTCTCTCGACAGAGAGAGCTGTTTCTCTTCTTCTGCCTATTAAACCTTTACTCCTAAAGGTTTAGGACACAGACACAAACTCCTTGTGTCTGTGTCCTAAATTTTCCAATGCCAAATGGTGAGCCCCTGGATATATACCCCAGACAATGTAGCCTCCTCAGCACTGGAAAACCAAATTAAGTCACCTGAGATTCCTAGCTCAAGTGCTCACAGGAAGATGAAGGCATCTGGGAAGTGTGGGGAGGACATTGGCACACTTGGGGCTCCAAGCGAACTATATTATAATAAGCAGCAACACATTGACTCCCTAAAGACTAACATAAATCCATTTGAAGGCATCTTAAGGTTCTAAGGTTGAAATAATTTTATAATTCTTTGTTTGGAAAAGTACATTCAAAAGAAAACAAAAAGATGTGGATAAGGTCGGGGACATATAAAACAAGTCCCTAAATAGATGACAGACCTTGTCCATATACCCACATACAGTTGCCACAGAAATAAACAGTACCCTTCTCCTCAATTAGGCTCAATAGTTGTCTTTTCCACTGTGGTTCAGTACGTTTTAATGGTTCCACCTTGAAATAGGTAACAATCTTTGGAAAAAGTCACTCTAGGTTGCACAAAGGTTTTATGTTTACAGTTTGGTACAAGTAACAAAGCTACTTTGAAAGAACTGCTTCTTTCCAAACAACAACAACAACAACAACAAACCATTCTAGCCTGTATTTGTTTGGGTGTGATTTATTTTTAGTTTTCATTTTTTGCAAAGCAGCACAGAAGCAATTATAGGAGTGTAGTAATAACCTTTGTAAACATCATTTGCATATCAGTAAGAACTGATTGTCTTTCATTCCTTTTTAGTGAAAGAGGAAGCAAGATGATCAACTCAGAGTGAATAAGGTGGGGAGGTGCTGGCAATTTGAGATTTGTCATCTAGGACTGCAGTGCACAAAGTGGCCAGTTGGGGAGCCCTTGGTTACTGACTTGCCAGGAGATGAGTACAGAAAGTGAGAGCAAGCTTTTAGAAACTGTTATAGCACTTGACATTGCTGTAACATTTTTATTGTATTTTTAAAAAGTATTGGTCTATAATAGATTGGAAATAAAAACATCTAGTCCTCACAGCAGATAGTTTAAGAGGCACTGGGCCAAGAGAATGGGAGAAAATGGAGTAGGGAAAAGTAGAAAGATTGCTGCACTACATTGAGGATCCACCTGAGGCTTGAGGCCATGAATTTCATGTGAGGCCATTCGATTCAAGAGTGTTTTTCTCCAGCCTTGTTTAGCTATGTTGATACAGGCAGTGTTGGATTTTACCAGGGTGTGGTTTTGCTAAGTGGGCCTAATGCAGTGGGAAGATGCAAGTGTTGAGGAAGTATTCAAGTGAGGTGTACGGAGACTGACCATGGCATTTTAAGCTGGGGGAAGAAGAAAGCAATCGGAGGAGGGTGAGAGGCAGTGACGAAAGTGGTAGGATGGATGGAATCTAGGACCAGGAAGAATCAAGTTGGCTGGAGTTGGAATGTAGGACCAGCAAGGAGTGAACTAGAAGTATGGAAGGTGGTGATCAGAGAGTGGGATTTCTGATAATGAGATTCATCACAATACTGCTCACCAACTGGGAGGGAATCTGAATTAATTATTTTGTATATATCCAGTGGACTATTTTGTAGCCATTAGAGCTCATGTTGTCATTCTATTTCTTTATGGGCACAGAAATGTTCAGGATATCTTAAGTGAAAAAAGCTTACCAATTTGCAAAATTAAGTGGCAAAATTTACTAATTTTTTTTGGTAAAAATATAAACATTTTAATGCACAGAAGTCTTAACTGTGGTAGTATCTGGATGGTTGAATCACAGATGCCTTTTACTTTCTTTCGGATAATCTCCTTTTTGTTTTCGAGACAGGGTCTCCCTCTGTTGCCCAGGCTGGAGTGCAGTGCAAACATGACTCACTACAGCCTTGATCTCTTGGGCTCAGGCTCTTGCTTCAGCCCCCCACGTAGCTGGGACCACAGGCACGTGCCACCATGCCTGGCTTATTTTTATATTTTTTGTAGAAAGGGGGTTTTGGCATGTTGCCCAGGCTGGTCTCGAATTCCTGGGCTCAAGCAATCTGCCCACATTGGCCTCCCAACGTGCTGGGATTACAGGTATGGGCCACCATGCCCAGCCTGTTTGATAGAATTCTTACATAGGCATATTTTAGAGATACTGGGGATTCAGTTCCAGCCTATTGCAATAAAGCAAGTATCTCAATAAAGTGAGTCACACAAATGTTTTGGTTTCCTAGTGCATATAAAAGTTACGTTTACACCATGCTATAGTTTATTAAGTATACAATAGCATCATATCCAAAAAAATACCTACCTTAATGAAATATACTTTATTGCTAAAAAAATACTGGCACAGAGTCACAAAGTGAGCACATACTTTGGAAAAATAGTGCTGACAGACTTGCTTGATGTAGGGTTGCTACAAACTTTCAATTTGTAAAAAAAACACACACAATATCTGCAAATCACAATAAAATGAAGCGCAATAAAGTGAGTTATGTGTGCTTTATTGTTATATTCTTATAGCTTTATGAAAGTATAATTTGCATGCAAAAATTCACCAGTTTTAAGTGTACCATCCTATAACTTTTGACAAGTGTGTAGTTTTGAAACTACCACCACATTCATCTTGTAGAACATTTCTCTCATGCCAAAAAATTTCCCTTGTCGCCCATTGCAGTCAGTCTCCTCTCCCACCTCCCGGACCCTGGAAACCAGTGATCTGCTTTCCATCATGATAGTTTTGTCTTCTCTAAAATTTTATATAGATGGGATCATATCATATGTCATCCTTTGTGTCTGGCTTCTTTCACTTAACATAATGCTTTGGAGATTCATCATTGTTCTTGTGTGCATCAATGTTTATTCCCTTTTAAAAAGTAGACATATTTTAGAGTAGTTTTAGGTTCACACTAAAATTGAAGGGGAGGTGCAGGGATTTCCCACCCATGCCCTGCCCCTACACATGCACAGCCTTCTTCACTATCAGCATCTCCCACTAGACTGATACATTTGTTAACACTGAGGAACCTACCCTGGCATATCATCATCATCCAGAGTCCATTAAGGTTCACTCTTGGTGTTGTACATTCTCTGAGTTTGGACAAATGTATAGTGACATGTATTCATTATAGTATCATACAGAGTAGTTTCACTGCCCTAAACATTTTCTGTGCTCTGTCCATTCGTCCTTCTACCCTTTCTAACCCCTGGCAATTACTGATATTTTTACTGTCTCCACAGTTTTTGTCTTTTCCATAATGTCATATGGTTGGAATCATACAGGATATAACCTTTTCAGATTGACTTCTTTCACTTTGTAATATGCATTTAAATTTCCTCCATGGCTTGTCATGGGTTGATAGCTTATTTCTTTTTAGCACCGAATAATGTTCTATTGTCTAGATTCACCACAGTTTGTTTATCCATTTACCTATTGAGGGACATCTTGGTTGCTTCCAAGTTTTGGCAATTATGAGTAAAGCTGCTATAAACATTCATGTGCAGTTTTTTGTGTGGACATATATTTTCACGTCCTTTGGGTAAATCCTAAGGAGAATGACTGCTGGATCATATGGTAAAAGTGTGTTTAGTTTGTTAAGAAACTTCCAAACCGTCTTCCAAAGTGGTTGTACCATTTTGCATTCCCACCAGCAGTGAATGAGAGTTCCTGTTGTTCCGCAACCTCTCCAGCATTTGGTGTTGCCAGTGTTCTGGATTTTGGCTATTCTTATACATGGTATCTCATTGTTTTAATTTACCTTTCCCTGACAACATATAATCTGGAACATCTTTTTACATGTTTATTTGCCATCTGCGCATCTTCTTTGGTGAGGTGTTTGTAAAGCTCTTTGGCCCATTTTTCAATCAGGTTGTTTGTGTTCTTACTGTTGAATTTTAAGAGTTCTTTGTATATTTTGGATAACAGTTCTTTATCAGATAGTGTTTTGCAAATATCTTATTCCAGTCTGTGGCATATGTTCTCATTCACTTGACTTTCTCTTTCACAGAGCGGAAAGATTTAATTTTAATAAAGTCCAACTTATCAATTCTTTCTTTTGTGGATTGTGCCTTTGCTGCCGCATGTAAAAAATCATCACCAAATCCAGATCATCCAGATTTTCTCCTATGTTATCTTCTAGGGGTTTTGTAGTTTAGTGTTTTACATTTAAGGCTGTGATCCATTTTGAGTTAATTTTTGTGAAGGGTGAAATGTCTGTCTAGATTCATTTTTTTTTTGCATATCAATGCCCAGTTGTTCCAGCACCAGTCGTGGAAAAGATTATCTTTGCTCCATTGTATTGCCTTTGCTCCTTTGTCAAAAATCAGTTGACTGTATGTATGTGGGTCTAATTCTTGGCCCTCTGTTTTATTCTATTGATCGATTTATTCTTTCACCAATGCTACATTGTCTGTAGTTTTATAGCACGTCTTGAAGTTGGGTAGTATCAGTCCTCCAACTTTGTTCTTCTTCAATACTGCATGGACTATTCTGGTAATTTGTTCTGTTTTATGTGGAGGAATATACTTTTGTATGAATAGACCACAATTTGTTTATCCATTCACCAATTGGTAGACTTGGGGTTGTTTCAAATTTTCCACTATTATGAATAAAACTATTACGACCCAGGAGGAGGTACTCCCCTTACAGGCTGACGTTGTCCAACGTGAGGAGGAATTGAATTCCCTGAAGCAGAAGCTGGCAGCGGCCCTTTTGGCGGAGCAGGAACCGCAGCCAGAACGACTGGTTTCGGTGTTGCAGCTGCCGCGGAAGGCCGCTGTGTTCCAAGATGAGATTCTGCGCTCTAGCCGGCAGTTAGTGCTGCCCGAGCTGGGCGTGCACAGACACGTGCTAGTCGTGGGCTGCGGTGGGCTCCGCTGTCCACTGGCGCAGTACTTGGCAGCGGCCAGCGTGGGCCGCCTTGGCCTTGTGGATTATGATGTGGTAGAGATGAGCAACCTGGCCTACCAAGTGCTGCATGGCGAGGCACTGGCTGCACAGGCCAAGGCCGCTTCGGCCGCCGCCTCGCTGCGCGGCCTCAATTTGGCGGTGGAATGAGTGCGGTACTCTCAGGCCCTTTTATGCCGGTCCCTACCCTAGACCCGCTCCGCCGATATGATGTGGTGGCGACTGCTCGGACAACGTGTCCACTCGCTACCTGGTTAATGACGCATGTGGCTGGCCGGTTGGGCCCTAGTGTCTGCCAGCGCCTGGAGGGCTAAATCACAGTCTACCATTATGACGGTGGGCCTTGCTATCGCTGCATATTCTCCCAGCCACCCCCGGCGGAGACAGTGACCAACTGCGCGGATGGCGGGATGCTCCGTGTCTTAACCGGGGTCCTGGGCTGCCTGCAGGCCTTGAAAGTGCTGAAAATTGCTGCGAGTCTGGGCCCCTCTTACAGTGGCAGCCTGTTGCTCTTTGATGCCCTGAGAGGGCATTTCTGCTGTATTCGGCTGCGGAGCTGCAGGCTCGACTGTGCAGCTTGCGGGAAATGGCCCACTGTGACTCATCTGCTGGACTATGAAGCCTTCTGTGGCTCCTCAGCCACCGATAAATGCCGCTCCCTGCAGTTACTGGGCCCAGAGGATCGTGTTTCTGTCACTGACTATAAGCGACTTCTGGATTCTGGGGCACCCCATCTGTTGCTGGACATCAGGCCTAAGATGGAGGTGAGCATCTGTCTTTTGCCTCATGCCCTACACATCCCTCTGAACGCAGGGATGCGGAGAGCCTGAAGCTCTTAGGAGAAGCAGTCCGGAAAGGGAAACAGGGCACACAAGAAGGGGCTGCTCTCCTCATTTATGTGATTTACAAACTGGGAAATGAATCACAGAAAGCCGTGAAGATCCTCCAGGCCTCATCAGCAGCTCAAGAGTTAGACTATTTAACAGTTTGGAATATTGTGGGGGACCTCATGGCCTGGGCTGCCCAAAACGGTGGAACATTTCCACAGTACTAAGGTGACTGGTATAGTCTGATGGGAAAGATGTGGATTGCCGTAATACCGCAAAGATATATTTATTTGCATTTTTCAGTAATATACATAGGAGCTGGAGATTCTACAGTATCTGTGAATACATGGACTCCTTTTTTATAAAGAGTTTTAAAAATTGTTATATATTGGGTGACTTATTAATGGATTATACTGTTTCTGGGAATCATCATTTTTTTTCAGCACATGGAGGGTGTCTTGAACATGTGAGATGTAATGTGACAGGATTTTGTATTTAAGCTGCAGATCATTTACCTGTCCTTATTTTCCACCTCCCCCAGTCAAAATGCTTTCTAAATCATTTTATATCTGGAATTAAGGTGCAGTAAACTTAGTCTTACGAAATTGATCACAGATTATATACTTAGGATCAGTTTACTGTTTACTTAAGAAATTATTGGATCTTATTAATATTTCAGATGATAGAATACATCCTACAGAAATACATGTTTAAAATGTAAGTTGTTTTAATTATTCAGAAAGTGGGTCATTCTATTTGGCATTTTGAATTAGTATCAAAATGAGATCTTTAAAGTTTACCAAAATAAAGGAAACCACCTTTGTAGTCTGAAAAAAAAAACTATTATGAATACTCGTGTATAAGTATTTGTGTGGATACATGCTTTAATTTTTCTTGGGTAAATACCTAGGAGTTGACTTGCTGGGGCTGGGTTATATGGTAGATGGGTACACATTTAGCTCTACAAAAAATTGCCAAAAAAGGAAGAGGAGGGTGGGGGAGAAAGGAAAAAATAATTGCCAAAATGTTTTCCATAGTGGCTGTACCATTTTGTATTCTCCCTAGCAATGTATGACATTTCCAGTTGCTTTACATCTTCTATTATACTTGATATCATCAATTTATTTTTATTTTTGTCATTCTCATGGTTATAACAAGGTATCTCATGTTGGTTTTAATTTGCATTTTTCCAATGACTAATGATGTTGACCATCTTCTCATATGCTTATTTGCCATCTATACCTATTCTTTGGTAATATATGTGTTCAAATCTTTTGTTCATTTAAAAATTATGTTTGTCTTATTATTGCATTATGAGGGTTCTTTAGTGTGCATACAAGTTCTTTGTCAGATATGTATTTTGCAAATACTCTCCTGTAGTCTGTGGCTTGCCTTTTAGTTTTTCTAACAGCATGCTTTAAAGAGTAAAAATTTTAAATTTTGATAAAATCCAATTATTTTTTCTTTTATATTTAGTGCCTTCTGTGTTCTACAGAAGAAATCTTTGCCTAATCCAAAGTCAAAAGAATTTTCTCCAATGTTTTTTCCTAGAAGTTTTATAGTTTTAGATGTTACATTTAGATCTGTGATGCATTTTATATTTTTGCTTATGTTGTGAGCTAAGGGTCTAGGCTCATTTTTTTTTTCATATGCACATGTAATTATTTTAATAGCACTTGTTGAGATTATCCTTTCCCGGTTGCATTATCTAGGCATTTTTCCTGAAAAGTATTTATATATGTTTGAGATTATTTCTGGAGTCTCTCTTCTCTTTCATTGTTCTATGTGTCTATCTTTATGCTAATATCATACTGCTTTGATTACTGTAGCTTTATATATAATAAGTGTTGAAATCAGGTAGTGTAAATCTTTTTCTTTTTCATTTTTTCAATCCTGTTTTGGGTAATCTAGGTCATTTTATTTCCATGTCAATTTTAGAATTAACTCATCATTTTCTGTGAATAAATTCTTCCTGGATTTTCTTGTTTGTACGTTAAAATTTGTTGAGAAAAAGAAATAAATGGCATATAGGTTGAAAAGGAGGAAGTAAAACCCTTTATTTGCTGATTTAACCTCACGGTGACTCATTTTCTCATGCGGTTTGTGAGAATTTTGCTAGTTTGTCTTCAGTGAATTTCCCCTGTAGCCAACGTCTAGAAGACCCATATGCTCTGAACTATGAATTGGAATCTACATAAAAGCTACGAGAATTAATAAATGAGTCTAACAAGATGCAAGGGAAAATATACAAAAATTGTTTTTCTATATACTAGCAATTAACTTAAAACAATATTATTTACAATGAAAATACATTACTATTTACAATAAAAAACAATACTATTTACATCAGCATAAGAAATATGACAGACTTAGGAAGTGATTTAACAAGTTTGTACTGTTGAATAGGATGACCTTGCTCCCAGTCTTGGGGGAAAGCATTTAGTCTTTTACCATTAAGTCTGCTGTTGCTTGTAGATTTTTCAAAGATGCTCTTTATGAAGTTGAGGCAGTTTCCTTCTATTCCTAGTTTGCTGAAAGTTTTGATCAAAAATAGATGTTGAATTTTGCCAAGTGCTTTTTCTGCATCTGTAGAGAAGATCATATGGTTTTCTTTAACTAGTCTGTTAATATGTTGAATTACATTGAGTTTTGAATGTTGAATCAGTCTTGTATTATTGGGATAAACTCCACTTGTTCTTATGTATTACCTCTTTTAGGTTGGGTTTCTTTGGATAACATTTTAAGAGTTTTGTGTGTCTATATTCTTGTTCATGAAAAATATTGGTCTAAATTTTCTTTCCCTAAAGTAGAGAGTAGAATAATAGTTGCCAGAGTCTGGGAAGGGTAGTCTGGGAAGGATTTAAAGAGATGTTCTTTCTCTCTTTTCTGAGAATGGTGTCTTCTCTCTTTTTTTAATCTTAATCAGTGTGATTAGAGGTTTATCAATTTTATTGTTTTTTCCAAAGAAATAACATTTGGTTTAGATTTTTTTGTTATTTAAAAAAATTTTATTTCCTTAATTTTTGCTTTCATCTGCTTATTATTACCTTTCATCTGCTTACTTTGTTATATTTTGCTCTTATTTGTCAGATTTCTTAAAATGGAAGCATTGATTTTAAATATTTGTATTTTTATAATATAAGCACTACTTTTGCTGCATTGCATTCATTTTGGTATATTTTGTCTTCATTTTTATTCATTTCAAAAAATTTTTAAATTTCCCTTTTGACTTCTTTTAATCATGGGATATTTATAAGTATGTTCTTTAGTTTCCAAATATTTGGGGGAACTGTCTAGAAACCTTTTTATTATTGATTTCTTATTTAACTCTCTTTCAATAACATTTGTATGAGATGATTCCTTTTAAATGTGTTAAGACTTGTTTTGTTGCCCAGATTATGGTCTGGGTAAATGTCCCATGTTCACTTTATAAGAATATTTTGTTTTTGTTGGTTGTTCTATAAATGCTGATTAATTTTATTGATAGTGTTTTTCTAGTGTTTTATATCCTTACTGAATTTCTGTCTACTTTTTCTATCAATTATTGAGGTTCTGGTATTAAAATATCCAACAATGCTTATGAATTAGTCTGTACATTTATCCTTCTAATTCCATCAGCATTTGCTTCATGCATTTTGAAGTTTTTTATTATCTGAATAAACATTCAAGATTTCTATGTACTCCTGATGACTTGATCCCTTTATGATTATGAAATGATCCTTTTCTTTGGTAATATTTTATTGTGAAATTTAACCTTAGTATAGCCACTCAGCTTTATTTCGGTTAGTTTTAGTGTGGTTTATCTTTTTTCTATCTTTTTTACTTGTAATAATTCTGTCTTTTTACTTAAAGAGTATTTCCTGCAGATAGCATACATAGTTGAGTATTGTCCTTTTATCCAATTTTATAGTCTGTTTTTTAGTTGGTGAGTTTAGACATTTCCATTTAAGGTTGGATTTAAACCTACCATTTTATTATTTGTTTTCTATTTGTCTTACCGTCTTTATTCTTTTTGCTTTGTTTCTACCTTCTTTTGGATTAAATGAAAATTTATTAATATTATATTTTAGGTTTTTTTGGCTTATTAGCTCTATCTTTTTTGTTGTTTAATGGTTGCTCTAGAGTTTACAGTATAACTTTTAAATTTATCAACATCTACTTTCAAATAATATTACAGTGATTTCCACATATTTTAAGAAACTTAAAATTGTATAGTTCTATTTCTCTTGGTCTTTGTGTTGTTGTCATACATTTTACTGCCACATATGTTATACACCCAACTGCTGTGGACTGAATGTTTGTATCCCTCCACAACTCACCTATTGAAGCCTAATGCCCAATGTGATGGCATTTGTAGGTGAAAGCTTTGGGAGATAGTTAGGTCAAGAGAATGGATCCCTCATGAATGAGATTAGGGTCCTTATAATAAGAGACATGAGAGAGTTTTCTTTCCCTTTTTTTGTTCTCTGCCATGTGAGGTTATGAAGAGAAGATGGCTATCTGCAAACCTGGGAGCAGGCTCTAACCAGACACTACATCTTCCAGTGCCTTGAACTTGGACTTCCCTCCCCACAGAACTGTGAGAAATAAATATTTGTTGTTTAAACCACCCAATCTGCTAATTTGTTATAGAAGCCCAAATTGACCAAGATACACAACAATATGTTATTATCTTTGCTTTAGAAGTTATCTTCTAAGTATATTAAAAATAAGAAAAAATTTATATCTAGTCACTCTTTTACCATTTCTGATGCTCTTCATCCCTTTGTGTAGATACAAATTTCCATCTGGTATTATTTGCCTTTTACTGAAGGACTTCCTTTACTATGTGCAATGATGCTCATGATATATTCTTTTAGATTTTGCATGTCTGAAAAAGTATTTACTTTCATTTTTGAAGGATATTTTTGCTAGATATAGACTTCTAGTTTGCCAGCTATTTTGTTCATTGCTTTAAATACGTTGTTCCACTGTCTTCTGACTTGCATTGTTTCTGATGAGAAATATATTGTCATTCTCATTGCTGTTCCTTTGTATGTAATGTGATATCTTTTTTTTTTCTTGCCTGCTTTTCAGTTTTTCTTTGTCACTGTTTTTTTAGATACCTGATGATGATGTACTTTAGTTTGGTGTTCTTATTGTTTCTGCTTGGGGTTTACCAAACTCCTTGGATATGTAGGTTTATAATTTTCTTCATATTGGTAAACTTTTTTGGCCAATTGTTTCTTCAAATATTTTTGCTACACTTCTTTTCTCTGAAACTCCAGTTATATGTATGGTAGGCCACATGATGTTATCTTCTTTTGAGTTTCTTTTCTTAAAAGTCTTTTTACTCTGTGTGTTTTATTTTGTCTAGGTTTTATTGCAATGTCTTCATGTCCCTAAATCTTCTACAATAACTAATCTGTTAATCTCATCAGTGTATTTTTCATCTCAGTTATTATATTATTCATCTCCATAAATTTGACCTATGTCTCTTTTTATCTTCCATTTCTGTTCTCAATATGCCTTTGTGGAGTACAT
Organism: Homo sapiens; assembly: GCF_000001405.40. NCBI lineage: Eukaryota > Metazoa > Chordata > Mammalia > Primates > Hominidae > Homo > Homo sapiens. The sequence goes on from NC_000014.9 coordinate 61,870,845, forward strand.
TTATAATAGCCGTTTTAACTACCTTGCCTAATAATTCTATAATCTCTGTCATTACTGGGTCTGTTTCTAGTTATTGAATCCCTCCCACTCCCACTCCCCATTTTTCTTTTTTGCCTGCCTGGTAATTTTTGGTTGGATGTTAGATATTGTGAATTTTATATTGTTGGACGGTGGTTCATTTTATTTCTTTAAGTATTTTTGGCTATGTTCTGGAAGGCAGTTAAGCCAGCTTGACTTCATCTAGTTTTGTTGAAACTTGCTTTTAAACCTTTTTAGATGGGTATAAATCATCCGATAATCTACTGCTAATTTGGCCCTACTAATGAGGCAATCAACCTTTAAGTATTCCACTTTATACTCTATATATTAGTATTTTTTGCCCACTGGCTAGTGACAATGTAAATTATTCCCAGCTTTTTATGAGCTCTAGGGATTTTTTGATTGTACCTTTCTGGTGGTTCTTTTCCTGGTCTTGTTAGTTTCTTAATACACATGTGCTGATCTGTACTCAAAGACTCAAAGGAAATCCTGTCTGTGAATGTCTCTTCTGCAGTGCTTTACCCCACAAATTCTAGTCACTGTGGCTTCCCCAAACTCCACCCTGCTTCTATTCAACTCAGCAAGACTCTGTTCTGGGTCTGTTTGGGCTCCCCTTCCCTGTCCCGTGACCTGCTCTCCAGGCAGTGAGCTGGAGCACCCACAGGGATCACTTCATTCATTTATTCTTTCTCTCAGGGATCACCATTTAGTGTTGCCTGCTTTCCTGCATCTTTAAAAACCATTATTTTATATATTTTGTCCAGTGTTGTGGTTGTTTAAGGCAGAAAGATAAATTTAATCCCTATTACTATATTATGATCAGAGCTGGATTCCTTAACTTTTTCACATGAAATTACAATAATTATAAAAACAATACCGCATTATAGACAATATATTAAATGATATAAAATGCCCTTCTATAAAGTGTTGTCATAGCACATTTTCTTTCAGTAGTTTTTGTCCTCTATGAAGTTTTTAGGCAATATTGTTGGTAAAATGAGACTTTGGAGTTGCTTGACCCTACAATTTATTATCACTGTTCCATTTTTAATTCTTTTTTATTTTGGGAATATTATCTTCTTTAAGACTCATTTTCTTACCAGTAAAATGTGTGGGTAATTGTACCTTCCTTGCAATATTGTAGCAGGGATTGAAAATAAAATATGAAGTATTCAATAAATAGTAGTTATCAATAGTTTCAATTACACTATGTATGCAGCTTCATACCTTGATTTTAAAACAATTATAAACATTTGCTATATTGTCTTATAGCATTGATTGATGCATAATGAATGGCCCAATGCATACTCATAAACTCTTCCCTTATTTTTGTTTATTTCTTTGTAAATACATATTTTTAATTGATATATAATAGATGTACCTATTTTTAGAGTACATATATAATGTTTTGATACTTTCATATAATGTGTAAAGATCAAGTCAGGGTAATTGGGATATCAATCCTCTTAAATATTTATCTTTTTTTAATGTTAGGTCTTCCCTTATTTTTGGATATCTGGTTTATTTATAATTTTCTCCCTTAATATACCATCATACCTGGGGCTGTCTTATCTAAATTTAAAAGTTCTTAATACAGCCAATTTGAAGATAAGTCTTGATTTGAAACATGTTTGAGATCTTCCTGCATTAGTTCACATGAATTTAACTGGATCTCAGCAGCTTCAACTCTTCATTGTGCTTTTCCTGCCCCTTCCTGTTTCTTCTCAAGAGAAGACAATTTCTTGCTCATTATTTTCTGTGGTAACTGAGAAGAGGAACTGAGTAGAAAGGTGTTGGGCTGCTAAGACCCAGGGCACATCCCATATAGAATTCTTTCTACTCTGTTTTGTGCTTTGGGGAATACAGACGTTGGTTCAGCTGCCCTCATCACAGCTCATGGCTTCTCTTGTTTTATTCTCTTTCAGGGCAGGGAGTTAGCTCTTGTCTGGATGCCTAATTCAATCTCTATTGACTATGTTTAGTTTTGCATAAATTGTTTACACATTGGTAAAAATAATTCATTAATCTTTTCTGGTAAACAGTTACAATGACAATAATTTGATTTTGAGTAGAATACAGATGAGACTCATATTAAAACGTTGTATTCATAGGTAGGATGTATCCAAAAGCAATTTCATTAGCCTTATCTGTTTGTTTTTTTCATGAAAGGCAATCATTTGTTAAAGAGGGTTCAATGTTTTACTGAGAATGGGCCAACTAAAATATTGATTATAGATAGATCCTTCCTGGGAAAAGAGGACCCATGAGTTATAAAAACCTGTGAAATTTAAGTATATGATCTCAAATAGTCCCTAATGTTTGCTATTGCAAGCTTGGAGAGTCCTTGGTTGAAAAAGCATAATTCTTTCCCCGAAAGAGTTATAGGCTTTTCCCATTATCTGAAGAGAAACCACCATGTCACAGCCAATCAGGAATGAAATGGGATGAGAGGATGGATAGGCATTTTTTCCTGGTTCATCTCAGGCCTCTTTCTGTCATGCTGGGTTTGCCTCGCTTCTCCTTAACAAACCGTCTTTCCTTTTTCTCCTACTGTCTTTCCACCAGAGCCCTGGCTGCCACTGGCCCCTTCCTTCGTACTTACTGCCTATGCCCATTGGCCACAGAGCTTGATGTTGTTCAGAATATTCACCTGAAAATGAATCTCTTTTGTGAATAACATTTATTCATAGCCTAACTTTGATGCATTTTTAAAAAATCATTTTCTCACATGAGTAGGGGAGGTACAAAGTGAGCAAAGTGGGAAGAGAATCCATGTGTAATACCCCAAGGGTGAATATTCACAGGAGTGCTAAAATGTCCCTAATTAATGAACCATTTCCTATTCTGACCAGTAATCTAAGCTATCCATCATCATATAAAAAACAGAACTACATGTTATGATAGCCAAAAGTAGGATGATGTCTTCCTCTACCCTGTGGTCTTTTAGGAAACCATAACTGATGGCAGTTCTTTCTAGAGGTATTAAAACGGGATGGTGGGCCTTTTAAAATTTTCGTATGTATTGTGAAATGTTGGATATGTTTAGTGAGGAGTTGTCAGTGTTTTAAGTAAAGGAGAATATATTCTGCCTTCAGTAATTGCATTAATACTCAGAATAATTAATACTCAGAAAAATACTCAGATTAATACTCAGAAATACTCAGAAAAATGTGATGACCAATTTTGGAGGTGAATTTGGGGGTAAGAGCTGCTGATGGCACCAGCGTTATAGAGGATGGTGAATATGAACTGTGAACTCTAGTTGCATAGAATTTTGCAAAACAATTTTGTTCCTATTGACAAGGGACAGTCCCTTTCAAAGACATTACTGTGGAACTCTATTAAGTGCAGGAGAGGAAAGTGTGACCTGGAAATACAGTTGACCCTTGAACAATGTGGGCTTGGACTGTGTGGATCCACTCACATGTGGATGTTTTCCTACCAGACAGCATTTGCGGGATGTGAATGCCACATATCTGGAGGGCCGACTTTTTGTATGAGTGGGTTCCACAGGGCCTACTGCAGGACTTGAGTGTATGTGGATTTTTTTATATGAGGGGGTGATGGTTCCTAGAACAAATCCCTTGTGTATACCGAGGAACAACTGTACATACACAATATATTTTTATATCAGACAAGGTACAGAGAATATTTCTTTCTTGTGTCATCACACGTTTGTGCCCAGGTATTACAGTGCTTCAAAGATAAGTCTTCATACCTTTAATTTATATTTGAAAAAAAGTTAGAGTCCATCCAGATGAGACTCTTTGGGACCATAAAGTAGACAATTTTCTCTGTAGTATCCAAACTGAAAGCCTAAATGGCTCTTGTATTAAATAGGCTAGTTTTATAGAATTTAACATTTTCAGAGCCAATGCAGCAAGATTTTTTTTTTTTTTTTTTACATGTTCTAACACTTTGCACATAAGAAATTTTCCATTTGGTGTGAGGCATGTGCCAAATGATGGAATGTATTGCCACGTTAGAGTCTGGTTATTCTAAATATAAAATTAAAAGGAAAAGTAGGGAGATGAGCTCCAGAAAATGGAAAGAAAACACACTGAATTTTTTCTCTTTGGGGAGAGTTTTATTCTGGGGACATTGGAATAGTTACCTGAGCATTCAAAACTTTGCTATGCAAAGTGCAGTTGTGGATCAGTAACCTGCCTGGGAGCTTGTTAGAGCTGTGGAATTTTAGGCGTACTAAATCAGTCTACATTTTGGCACAATTGCCATGAGATTCATAAGCAGATTACAGTTTGAGAAGCATTGCTCAAAATTGATAAGGGCTGCTCTGTGCATCACCTGATATCAGTGTTATGGCTTTAGAGTATAGATGTAATGCTTCTTGATCCTTGGGGAATATTCTTATACAAAAAGGGCTGTGTCAACCTGTATCTCCCTTCTGTGACTTTGACCTTTCTATGTTTGGTTACATTCCTAGTTGGAAGTGAGGAATCAGGGAATCTTTGGGAATTAGAGAAATTTATGTGGATTGGGTGTACATAAAATAAAGACCGAAAACTCAAGAATTAGGAAAGAGATGGACAATTTTGAAGGGTAACGAAAACTTCAAGGATATTATTGGTTTTCATGTGGTTAAAACATTAAAATTTTTTTTCTCATGTAAGGTTTTTGGTTGTGGCAATAAACACCAGTGCTGGTTGATTTAAGCAGCAAATGAATTGTTTAAAAGATGCTGCTTGGTTCACAGATTCTGGGAGGGCTGGAGAGCCAGATTGTAGCTATGAAGCCAGGGACAGAGTCCAAGTCAGCCTGTAGAGCTGGGTTGGTGGATACTCCTGTTACTGCAGAGCACTAAAGGCTGCAGATGGCACCCCAGGTGCCATTGGTACCAAACCATGCATGCCTGCACCAGACCTGCATTGTGGGGCCTCTGTATTCCTTATGGCATCTCTATTCCCAGAGGGAACACTGGGTGATCTCTGTACACTGGGGTGCGTATGTCTGATTGGTGGTGTCTAGACCATGTTCCTTTGTCCCAGGTGCCAAGGAAGCTGGGAAAGCAAGTCTTTGGTATTTTTGCAGTCATTGTGGAAGGTGACCACTGCCTTGTTAGGTTGGGGAATTTCCCAAACCCAGTTCTAACCTAGGGTTCAGATACAGGTGGATAAAAAGAATGATAGATGCTTGATAGAGTTGCGTGTTTGTGTGTGTGCGTGTGTGTGTGCACATGCACGTGTGTGTGAGTGCGTGTTTACTGTGTTTACTAGGGATATTTATTTCAATAGGGCATCTTCCTGAATTTATGATGCAGGTTGATAATGGAAAAATCGGATTCATTTTGCATAATTTTGCTTTTTGGTTAAAAATGCTAACATACATATAAAATCAAGAGTACCGATACTTGTTTCAGGTTGCATTTAACCAGGAAAAATCTTGTGTTCTGTGAGATTGAACAGCTTCCTCGCACTCACGCTGAAATGTGCAGTTCATTGCATTTGCTTTCTAAATGAGAACCACATTTAATGAAACCCTGACCATGTAATCAAGATAATGAGGGATTTTTAATTTGGGTGAGTGACTCAGTTGTGGAGTACACACTTTGACTTGTGTTCGGATGGGAGGTTGAGAAATTATCACTGCCTTGGTGTACATGAGACACAAAGCAGAAAACAAAATCAGCATGCGCTGTGTCATATTTGTACTGAGATAACACCGAGGAACAGCTGTGACTCTTTCAAATGACTCCATTTGTTTGATAATTGCTGGGTAAAAATAGTGCCACTATTGGCTATTTCAGGAAGACAGATGGCGTTCTAGATTATGTTCCTTTCCTTGTACCCAAAAAGAACAGGACCAAGTCTTTCTGAAAATTACTGTCTGTGTGTGTGAAATAGCATCGGGGAAGGGGACAGCGCATTTCAAGCTTTTGCCCCGCAGGTAGGTAGGAAGCAGGGGCTGAGCCGTAAAGGAAACAGGGAATTCAATTATTCCAGCCTGAGCTAGGGTGGGAAATCAAGGCATCTGTCTGTTGCTTAGGAACAGAAATATCTTGTGCTTCAGCTACAGTTGGAGAAACCAGGTCATTTACTTTGAGAGTTCACCTACTGGTTATCCAAACAGAGCTGAAGGAGAAAGCACCTCTTTTCTCCTCCTGGCAGGGGTTGTTTTTCTCATCAGACCTCCTACCTTTCTTCCACTCAGCAAATTCTCTGTTGTTCCTAATGCATTGTCTCAAAACTGTGCCAATCAAATGACAGTACTACCTGGGGAGGCGGGTGGGAGATGATCGGTTTTCTTCGGGAGCTGGTCCTTGGGTCTTCTTCCCTCCCAGGAAGCCTGGGGACTGGCGGTGGTGGAGTGCAGTACTCCGCCTTTTGTCTGAATGGCAGGCATGTGATGGTTTGACATCTGGTTGGCATTCTTGTCTGCACCTCAGGGAGGGAAGGTTGTCACACACACACTCCCACAGTCCGACAGTTAGGTCTGGGGTCAGGCAGGGAGGCAGAAACACAGATCTTTTGTGAAGTATGAGGACTCCACTTCCTGTGCTAAGGGAGGACCATGAATTGCAACCTTACCCGTGTATATGAATCTCTTTGAGATCTTTCCAAAAAACACACACCTGAGACTTACACCCAGAAATTCTGCTTCGTTAGATCTGAGGTATAACCTGGGCCCCTGAGGGTTCAAAAGTTTCCCAGGTAATTAGAACTTAAAAGTCAGTCCCATTTTTCTCCTTAGCCCCTGCTAAAGAGTGCTGGACTCCCAGATCCAGGCTGGGCATAGAAACGCTTAAGCATGGAGTTCCTGGGTGTCCTCATTTCTGTCCAGAGTTGAGAGCTTGCCCTGTGGCCTTCTCCCTGGGGAGCTGTGTGTACTCAGGGTCACATGATTCCTGCAACAGTGGGTTCCTTGGTCTTCAGTTTGGGTGGGAACGTTTACTCTTTCAGGAGTACCCAGAAGGAGAATCGAGACTTGTAGTTGGGTGGAAACATGCTGGAATTATTTAGGCGTTAACTAGACAATGGGAAACTGGTAGGTAGAACCTTAATCCCTGGGTGTTTCTGACTAAGCAGGGTGATAAGAGCAGAATGTCCCAGGCACACAGGCACACACTGCCAGTATACCTTGCCCTGGGCACACAGACACACACTGCCAGTATACCTGCCCTGGGCAAGGCCTTGGGGTGTATGAACACTGATCATTTCTACTCACCGTTCTCCAGGGATCCCAGGAAAATCAGATAGTTTCAATAAGAGTATTACAGTACGCAGAGGCAAAAAACTTAAAAGGACCATGAGATGTAGTTCCTCTTTGCCTCTTCTTTTTATCTTCACAAAGAAAAAAAGTCATTATATTGAAAATGAAGATGATTAGAAAAGCTTTAAAACATTCTCAGTATGTTTTAAACATTTCTCCTAGAAAACCACAAGCCAAAGGCAGTTATTTCTTGCCTCCTTTTTGCTCAGTTATGTAAACGTCCATTTGTGGGAATACCAGGTTGATCCGGAAATCTCAATTTAAAGAGAGCTGAGAAGTAGACTTGTTATCAGGAGCATGAAAGGAAACACTGTGGGGCAGCTTTAATTTTCATGACTCTCAAATGCAGGGACATGACTGAAGCACAAGGTATCTGATTTTCAGTTGTACCCGGCCATGAAATCAATCTCTGGGTCTACATAGCCACACTTGAAACAACCTCACATCTCTCACACTGGCTTGCCAAATCTGAGGGACTTTGATTTGAGAAAAGAAAAGGAAGACATTTCCACCATTCATACCAAAACCTGGGTTTTTGAAGTAATTTGAATTTCTGATCCTTTTTTTCAGCCTGTACTTGCCTCTCTTCCTATCACTGCAGAATCCAAAATAAATTCGAAGCTCTCCCTCTTCTGCTGTGGACTAGGAAGAGTCAGAGAATGTTAGAAAGATTTTTGCCAACCTGCTGTGGACTAGGAAGAGTCAGAGAATGTTAGAAAGATTTTTGCCAACCTGCTGTGGGAGGTACAGAATTTCTAAATAGCAGGGGCTTGGAGTGGCATTCTAGGCGCTATTAGGGGATTTATCTAGAGGCAATGTCTATGTAGCAAGCATACTTAGTTTGTAATGTTTATATTTAGGATAATGAGAGTGTTGGCTCTAAACCCCCAGACTTCCCTTCAGTGCTACCACTGTAAGCTATGAATAATCTTTTATATACAGAATTGGATATCTCTCCCCAACCCTTTCCTGCTATTAATTTGTGTTTTTTTTTAAGTGTGAGTCCATTTCTCTTGATACACTCAATGTGCCTGTAAGGAAGAGGGCCAGCCATATCCCAGCTTGGAATACGACCAAAGCAGCCAGGACAACTGTGTTATTAATACTTTTTCTCTTTGGCTTCCATAAGGATTTAAAAACAAAAACAGAAAAGTGTGCCTTTTCTTGTCTCTCCTACTTGACCTTCAAGTTAATAAAATGAGTGACAGAGAGATTACAACTGTGAAGAAGTAAGGATGCCCTTTCAGCCAAGGGTGCTTGTCATACTTTCATCTCTGTGCTCTTGGAAAATAGTAAGATCTCAATAAACATTCTCTCTTAGCACTTTTGACAAGCAATTCACCTCTCTGGACTGAAGCTCTAACATTGCATGATCTATGATTTTAGGACCCAGATAATAATATTGCCAACCCCAGTTTCCATGGGTCCCTTGCTCTTTCATCACCAGTAAACGGCACCATCTTCAACATCTTCGTTTTAAGGTACCTGCTCTCCGACTCCTGTCCCACCCTCCTGGCGGGAGCTTCTAGTGTTATCACCCCACAGACCTCTAATCCATGGCCTACCACATTTTCATTGTCTATGATCCCCTTTCTCTCTTTTCCTTTTTTACTAGTTTAGATTTCACATTATATCATTTAAGCAGTTAAATATGTCAGGAGAAAAATGCATAATTGTGCTCAGTGATCTACAAATTCCTGACATCGATCTAACATTAGCCCTTGACACTGCCTGGCAATCCTGCCATCTATCCTTTGGATTTTTGTCCTTCTACTCTCCAGAACAATCACACTGTCTTCTCTCGCCCCAGCTTTCTGGGCTCCTTTCCTATTCACTCTTAGCTGACTATGTTGCTTCCAAATTCACTGAAAAGATAAAAGTAGTAAGGCAGGCCACATGCCTATCATCGAATCCAGCACCCCACTCATGTCTTTATTTGCACTCCATTTCCCACCTCTGTCTGCAGATGAAATGTCTTAGTTCCCACCAAAAGCTGCTTCTGCTTATTTACCTCCAGTGCTGCCACAGATATACTGGGCATGCATCCTCATTTGCCCAGTTCAATGATAGTTTCCATTTGTTGGCTTGGCATAACCGTGAATAAATAGTTCCCCCTAAAGTACCTCAGTTTGTGTGACAAATTATATAGTCTTAATCATGTAATAAACTTCCATATGTGGGTATGGGGGGTCTGTTTCTGGACTAGCAGGTCAGAGCATCTCTGTGACCACATCATACTGTCTTAGTTGCTTTACAGGTGGTTATGTAGCTTTAACAAGTCCAGACACAGGGCAGAGCAAGCATTCCTTTCTTTTCTTCAGATGTGAATCAGCTTTTTTTGGTCCTTTACTATTTCATGTGCATTTTAGAATTAGTTCGTAAAGTTCCACAAAATCCTGTTGGGGTTTTGATTGGAGTTTCATTGAGTCTCTAGATCAATTTTGGAAGAATTAAATCACTGCAAAATCAAATCTTCCTACTCATTAACACATATATTGCTCTATTTAGTTTTTCCTTAATATCTTTCAGCAAAATTTCACAATTTTCTGCTTATAGGTTAAATACATATTTTGTTAATTTTTTACTAGATATTTTATGGTTTTTGTTTCTATTGTAAATAGTGTATTAAAAATTGAACTTTTTTTGTTGTGGTACTGTTGACTTGTGTATTATTCTTATAGGCAGCCAGTTTGTGAAATTTTTATTTATAATGATTTATAAATTTGTCAGGGTTTTCTTTATAGGCAATCATAACACTTGCAAAAATGATGGTTTTTGTTTTCTTTTTTCTAATCCTTCTACTTTTAAACAACTTGATTGACATGTAGCATACATACAGGAAAGAGCACACATCATAAGGTCACCTCTTGATACATCTTCACAAAATGAACAAATTTATTTGACTAGCACCTAGATCAAAAAACAGAACATTATTTGCATCCATGAAGCCCCCCTGGTGCTCTCTTCCATCACTACCTCCCCAAAGAAAAATGTTTGTGTTTTTATTATATTTTTCTGGTCTTATTGACTTGGCTCTTGCAAAGTTCCCTTTCTTAACATAATCACTTTCTCCCTTTCTGCTGGAATATTTCCAGTAACATACAAATGTGCTTTGCAGTCTTCCATCTTAAATCTGAAATCACTCTCCCTTGACATTTATGTCCCTTTCTAGCCAGTGCTCCATTTGGCTGCTCCCCTTCTCAGCAAAACCTTTTGAATAAAAGTCCTATAGTCATGGTCTCTACTTCCTCACTGTACAGTTTTCTTTTCAACTCACTTTTATCTGGCTTCCGTTTTGGTATTCCATTGAGGCAGCTCTTGTCATGATACCAGTGTCATCCTTGTTATCAAATCCAATAGATGGCTCTGTTAATATCCTCTGCATCTCTAAGCATCATTTGATGTAATTAGCCCTTGCCCATTTTGAAACACTTCATTTTCATGGCTTCAATTTTTTGCATTTGGGTGACTAGTTGTTGAATGCCCTTCTCTTCACCTAGACTCTAAGTTCCACAATGGCTATGGTGATGTATAGCTTTTTCACTGTTCCATTCCCAGTGTTTAGTCCAGTGTTGACAGTAGATTGACAAATATTTGTTGCCTGGGCTTTAGGGGTGACAGTATATATCCAGTCACTTTTGTCTCATGTCTACTTAAATGTCTTACGGGTACCTCAACTTCAACATGTCCAAAATGTGTTTATCATCTTCTTCTACAGTCCCCCTCCTCCACTAGTATTCCCCTTTTGAGAATATACCAGTAACATCCACTAAGCCAGAAACCTTAACTCCTTACTTTTTCTCATTCCCACATCCAGTCCATGATTTCTGACCATGCTACTGCCTGCATACTTTTCCCAAATTCATCCTCTTCCTTCTATGTCCATTTGCATTCTTCTGGCATGCCATTATATTGAATTAATGAAACAGCTTCGAATCTGTTTTTGTTCTGAACTGTTCTGAACTCAGGTATTACTTCCTTCTAATTAGTCTCCACATAGCAGCCAAAGTGATCCTTTTAAAAATACAGGTCTAATTAAATCACCCTCATATGGCAGACATTGTGCCATATACTATCCTCCCAATTATAAAAATAGAATGAACAAAGGATAATAAACAAGAGAGTACAGGATTGCACTATTAAAAAAAATTACATGATAAGTAATTTATAGTTAATTTTAATATCACTATTCTTTCCACATTTTCAAAGCATCTGTATTAGTCTGTTCTTACACTGCTATGAAGAAATACCCAAGACTTCTTCACAGGGCAGCAGGACAGAATGAATGCAAGCAGGAGAAATGCCAGATGCTTAGAAAACCATCAGATCTGGTGAGACTCATTCACTATTATGAGAACAGCATGGGAGAAACTACCCTCATGATCCATTTACCTCCACCTAGTCTTGCCCTTAACACATGGGGATTACAGAGATTACAATTCAAGATGAGATTTTGGGTGAGGACCAAACCAAACAATATCATTCCTCCCCAGCCCCTCCCATATCTCATGTTCTCACATTTCAAAACACGATCATGCCTTTCTAACTGTTCCCCCAGATCTTAGCTCATTCCAGCATTAACCCAAAAGTCCAAGTCCAAAGTCTCATCTGAGACAAGGCAAGTCCCTTCTGCCTATGAGCCTGTAAAATTGAAAGCAAGTTAGTTACTTTCTAGATACAATGGGAGTACAGGCATTGGGTAAATACACCTGTTCCAAATAAGATACATTGGCAAAAACAAAGGGGCTTCAGGCTCTATGCAAGTCTGAAATCCAATAGGCCAGTCATGAAATCTTAAAGTTCCAAAATGATCTCCTTTGACTCCATGTCTCACATCCAAGGTGGCGTGGGACTTGCACCCTCTGAAGCAATGGTCTGAGCTGTACCTTTGTCCCTTTTAGCCATGGCTGGAGATGAAGCAGCTGGGATGCTGGGCACAATGTCCTGAGGCTGCACAGAGCAGGGGAGCACTGGGACAGGCCCAGGAATCCATTTTTCCCTCCTAGACTTCCAGGCCTGTGATGGGAGGGGCTGCCAGGAAGGTCTCTGACATGCCCTGGAGACATTTTCTCCATTGCCTTGGTGATTAATATTTGGCTTCTCATTACTTATGCAAATTTCTGCAGCTGGCTTGAATTTCTTCCCAGAAAATAGGTTTTTCTTTTCTGTCACATCATTGGACTGCAAATTTTTCAAATGTTTTTGCTCTGCTTCCCCTTGAACACTTTACTGCTTAGAAATTTATTCTACCAGATACCCACTATCATTTTTCTCAAGTTTATAGTTCCACAGATCTCTAGGGCAGAGGCAAAATGCCACCAATCTCTTTGCTAAAGCATACCAAGAGCGACCTTTACTCCAGTTCCCAACAAGTTCCTCATCTCCATCTGGGACCACCTTAGCCTGGACTTCATTGTCCATATCACTATCAGCATTTTGGTCAAAGCCATTCAACAAGTCTCTAGGAAGTTCCAAACTCTCCTACATTTTTCTGTCATCTGAGCCCTCCAAACTGTTCCATCCTATGCCTGTTATCCAGTTCCAAATTTGCTTCCACATTTTTGGATATCCTTGTAGTAGTACCCCACTCTTGGTACCAATTTACTGTATTAGTCTGTTCTTACACTGCTGTGAAGAAATACCTGGGTCTGGCTGTTTTATAAAGGAAAGAGATTTAACTGACTCACAATTCCACATTGCTGAGAAGACCCTAAGAAACTTACAATCATGGCGGAAAGCAGGCACCTTCTTCACAGGGTGGCAGGATGGCATGAGTGCAAGCAGGAGAAATGCCAGATGCTTATAAAACCATCAGATGTTTTGAGACTCACTAACTATCATGAGAACAGCATGGGGGAAACTGCTCCCATGATCCGATTACCTCCACCTGGTCCCACCCTTGACATGTGGGGATTATGGAGATTACAATTCAAGATGAGGTTTTGGGTGGGGACACAGGCAAACCATATCAGCATCCTTTGGATTTCACTGCCACTCCTGTATCCTCTACAACTACACACCCATCAGTGGCCTTTGTTTTTCTGCACCTACCTTTTCTCCAAATTGAAATCTCAGGACTATTTTTCAATAATAGCAGGTAGATTTTCAGTAACTATGAGAAGGAAGTATATAACTAGTTATCTGGGTTGATGAGCTACCCAGCAATCCATTCATCAGCAATAAGTCTTGTAAAAACATAAAAAAGAAAACTCTTCAGGCTTCCTTTATTAATATTAAAGATTGTTAGAAGTGATCAAAAGTAAGTTAATTATTACGTCGCCTCCTTTCTTAAACACAGATCTTCAACTAATTAAGGAAGTACCTTCTGTATTACTAAAGGCACTGTGCTTCAGTCAATGATATGCATATATCCTACAATGAAAAAATCTAGGTTTAAAGTGATAAACAGCTTCTCTTCTCCACTGATTGGAAGTTGCCACTTGCAAGAAAGCCTGACCAGTTGAAGGACAAAGTTGAAAAGTTCTTTGTTTTTGATGATGTGCCCTGTTTTTAAATTCGAGAGCAACAAGGCGTGACTACTTTCCTGTTTCCAAAATTAGCAGGAGTAGCAGGACAAGATTAATAGGTGGGTTCATTATGCCTAAGAAGCTGACTTTTTTTTCCACAGAAAATAATTGCTTTTTTGGAGTGCAAAAAGCTTTTGCTCATGCAGTGTCAAGATCTGTTATGTTGATTGGGGGATGAAGTCACTCTTCCCACTGTTTGTAGGGCAGAAAGTCAATAAATGTGATCGGTGGTTTTGTACAGCATTGAAAAGTCTCCAGAAGATTTCTCTCTTTTGGGACCCACTAAAAACCAGAGGACTCCAGGAAATAAAGCCAAATTGTGCTCTTTTGACATGGGGCCATAAACGTAATGGAATGATTTTTCCCATGAAAGATCTGAGCAAAATAACCTCTACTGATTTATTTGACTGAGTCACATCCAGCTTTCCTTCCTTCTTAGGTGCTGTTGCTTCAGAAAGTATCATCACAATTTCATTATCTGTCTAATACTGTGTAAACAGATACCTTATTTCAAATGGACACAAGGAGGTAGTGGAGTAGAGAGTAAGATCATGGGCTCTTGAACCAGACTCTTGGATTCTAAACTTGATTCAGCTGGTTTTAGAATGTTGGGTGAGTAACTTACTTTTTCTTTGCCTCAGTTTCTTTATCTAAAAAGGGAGAGAGGGTAGATAATTACCTCCCTTGGCCATGGAGTGTTTTTGTGAGGATTAAATTTATTTATGTAAAGTGCATGGCAGATATGATGATGATGATGATGATGATGATGATGATTACTGAGGTAACAAGGACTGGCTGAACATTCTCTTGTGGCATTCAGGGAACACTGAAGGTGAATTCTGCCTAGCATTAACATTTGTGGGTGGATGAATCCTTGCACATATAGTCAGATAAATGTTTAATAAGTGGTCATTGGGGGTTTGACAAAGCAAGGAGACATTTAGAAAACATACAGAATCCTGTTTTAGAATGTCTTACTTGATAGATATTATTTCTATTTACAGGCTTACTTTGGAGATATTGCAGGTTTGGTTCTAGACACCAAAATAAAGCAAATATCTCAATTGAATGAGTCACATACATTTTTTGGTTTCTCAGTGCGTATAAAAGTTATGTTTACACTATTATGTAATCTATTAAGTGTGCAATAAAGTGATGCCTTAAGAAGTACATACCTTAATAAAAAATATTTTATAGCTAAAAAATACCAACAGTCATCTAAGTCTTCAGTGAGCCATAATCTTTTTGCTTGAGGGTTTTGCTTCGATGTTGATGGCTGCTGAATGATCAGGGTGGTGGTTATTGAAGGTTGAGGAGGCTGTGGCAATTTTTTTTTTTTTTTTTGGAGACAGAGTCTTGCTCTGTCGCCCAGGCTGGAGTGCAGTGGAGCGATCTTGGCTCACTGCAAGTTCTGCCTCCTGGGTTCATGCCATTCTCCTGCCTCAGCCTCCTGAGTAGCTGGGACTAGAGGCGCCCACCACCACGCCCAGCTAATTTTTTGTATTTTTAGTAGAGATGGAGTTTCACCATGTTGGCCAGGATGGTCTCGATCTCCTGACCTCGTGATCCGCCTGCCTCGGCCTTTCAAAGTGCTGGGATTACAGGCGTGAGCCACCGCACCTGGCTGGCTGTGGCAATTTTTTAAAATAAGACAGCAATGAAGTTTGCTGCATTGATTGACTCTTCTTTTCACAAAAGATTTCTCTGTAGCATGTGATGCTGTTTGATAGCATTTTACCCACAGTGGAACTCTTTTCAAAACTAGAGTCAATCCTCTCGAACCTTGCCACTTCTTTATCAACTAAGCTTTTGTATTATTCTAAATCGTTTGTTGTCACTTCAGCCGTGTCCACAGCGTCTTCACCAGGAGTAGATTCTGTCTTAAGAAACCACTTTGCTCATCTGCTCATCTGTAAGAAGCACTTCTTCATTCATTCAAGTTTGACCATAAGATTGCATCAATTCATTCAGATCTTTAGGCTCCACGTCTAATTCCAGTTCTCGTGCTATTTCCACTGCAGTTACATCCCTACTGAAGTCTTGAGCCCCTCAAAAGTCATTCATAAGGGTTGAAATCAACTTCTTCCAAACTTCTGTTAATGTTGATATTTTGGCCTCCTCCCATGAATCACAAATGTTCTTAATGACATTTAGTGAATCCTTTCCAGAAGGTTTTAATATGGTAGCAGTAGCCTTATGAAATGCATTTCTTTAAGGGGAGTTACGCTTATTTTTTTTTTGTCTTTTTTTTTTTTTTTGTCTTTTTTTTTTTTTCCTTTTTATGGAGAACGGGGTCTTGCTATATTGCCCAGGCAGGTCTCGAACTCCTGGGCTCAAGCTATCCTCCCGCCTCTTGCCTCCCTGAGAGCTGGGATTACAGGCGTGAGCCACTGCGCCCGGCCATGAAATGTATTTCTTAAATAATAATACTTGAAAATTGAAATTCCTCCTTGATCAGTGGGCTGCAGAGTGGATGTTGTGTTAGCAAGCATGTAAATAACGTTGATCTCCTTACACATCTCTATCAGAGCTCTTGGGTGACAAGGTGTACTATCAGTGAGCAGTAATATTTTGAAAGGAATCTTTTTCTGAGCAGTAGATCTCAACACTGGGCTTACAATATTTAGTAAACCATTCTATAAACAGATATGCTGTCATCCAGGCTTTGTTGTTTTATTTCTAGAGCACAGGCAGAGTACACTGAGCATAGTTCTTAGGGGTCCTAGCATTTTCAGAATGGCCAGTGAGCACTGGCTTCAATTTAGTCACCAGCTACATTAGGACCAACCAAGAGAGTCAGCATGTCCATTGAAGCCTTGAAGCCAGGCGTTGATTTCTCCTCTCTAGCCATGAAAGTCCTAGATGATATCTTCCAATAGAAGGCTGTTTTGTGTACATGGAAAATCTGTTGTTTGGTATAACCAGCTTCATTAATGATCTTAGCCAGATCTTCAGGATAAATTGCTGCAGCTTCTACATCAGCACTTGCTGCTTTGCCTTGCACTTTTATATTATGGAGATGGCTTCTTTCCTTAAACCTCATGAACCAACCTCAGTGAGCTTCCAAGTTTTCTTCTGCAGCTTCCTTCTGCACCTCTCAGCCTTCATAGAATTGAAGAGAGTTCGGGCCTTGCTCATGATTAGGCTTTGGCTTGAGCAAATGTTGTGGTTAGTTTGATCTTCTATCCAGACCACTAAAACATTCTTCATATCAGCAGTAAGGCTGTTTTGCTTTCTTACCATGCCTGTGTTCACTGAAGTAGCAATTTTAGTTTCCTTCAAGGACTTCTCCTTTGCATTCACAACTTGGCTAACTCTTTGGTGCAAGAGGCCTAGCTTTTACCGTCTTGGCTTTTCACATGCTTTTCTCACTCAGCTTTATCATTTTTATCTTTTGATTTAAAGTGAGATATCTGTGACAATTCCTTCCACTTGAACACTTACAGGCCATTGTAAGGTTATTAATTGGCCTAATTTCTTTTCTTTTCTTTTTTTTTTTTTTTTTGAGACGGAATCTCACTCTGTCACCCAGTGCAGTGGCGTGATCTTGGCTCACTGCAACCTCCGTCTCCCACGTTCTAACGATTCTCCTGCCTCAGCCTCCCGAGTAGCTGGGATTACAGGTGCACGCCACCATGCCTGGCTAATTTTTATATTTTTAGTAGAGACAGGGTTTTGCCATATTGGCCAGGCTGGTCTCAAACTCCTGATCTCAAGAGATCTGCCCGCCTTGGTCTCCCAAAGTGCTGGGATTACAGGCATGAGCCACCATGCCCAGCTTAATTGGCCTAATTTCAATAATGTTGTGTCTCAGGGAATAACTAAGTCCAAGAAAAGGGAGAGATGTGGGGGAATGACTGGTCAAGGGAGTAGTCAGAAAACACACAGCAATTATTGATTAAGCTTACTGTCTTATATGGGTGCAGTTTGTGGCACCCAAAACAATTACAATATTAACATCAAAAGTCACTGATCACAGATCACCATGACAGATGTAATAATAATGTAAGGGTTTGAAATTATTGTGTGAATTACAAAAATGTGACAGAGACACAAAGTGAGGCATGTGCTGTTGGAAATATTGTGCTGATACACTTGCGCAATGCAGGGTTGCCAACAACCTTCAATTTGTAAAAAAAAAAAAAAAAAAGCAATATCTGTGAAGTGCAATGAATGAAAGCATAATAAAACAAGATATATCTATTTTTTTCTAAAAAGGTACAATGATGAGGATAAAACTAATAGCTATCTCTCTATAACTCCACATCTTGTAATCCTCTGTCACATTTAGGTTTTGCGCTGGTATTGGTACAAGGACTTAGGATCACATTCACTGTAGGAGGCCCAGAAAAGGTCATAATAGTCATTGCATAAAATAAGGTATTTAGAGCTGTTAAAGAAAAAAAAGATTCAAAAACTTGGTAAAGTTGGTAAGGCAGACTTTATTCAAGGGAGGCATGGTGATAGTTGCAGGGACCACTGCCATAGGGTCTTGCAGTGGAGGAGAGAGCCTGGACTCAACTCTGACTCCAACAAGGACAAGTGGGGGTTTATAACCACTGAGCAGGGTAGGGGTCAGTGGATGGAAAATTATTAAGAGGAAACTTCAAAGATAAGGGGTTACTGGCTAAGCCAAATTGTTATAATTATTGCTGAAGGGAGGCCAGGTTTATAAGATACTGGAGGGTGGTCAGATGCCAAGGTTGGGGACATTTTCCCTAAACTGACTGCTATAGTTTAGGTGTTTGTCCCCCTAAACCTCATGTTGAAATCTGATTTCAATGTTGGAGGTGGGGCTGTAATGGGAGACGTTTGGGTCAAGGGAATGGATCCCTCATGACTCCATTAATGCCCTCTCTGGAGGGCAGATGAGTGAGTTCTTTCTCTATTAGTTCCTGCAAAAGCTGTTTGTTAAAAAGATCCTGGTACTTCCCTCTGCTCGCTCTTGCTCCCTCTCTCTCTCTCTCTGTCTCCCTCCCTCTCTCTCTCTCCCCTCCCCTCCTTTCTGTCTCTCTGTCTTGCTCACTTCTTCTCCACTCATGTACCCTCTGCACAGGCAAACTCCCTTTCATCTTCCACTCTGAGTGGAAGCAGTCTGAGGCCCTCCCTCAATGCACCATCATGAACCTTCCAGCTTGCAGAATCGTGAGCTAAATAACTCTCTTTTCTTTATAAATTACCCAGCCTCAGCATTCCTTTATACCAACACAAAACAGACTAAGACACTCATTTAGCAGTATTTTTTCTCAAACTGGATTCAGCAAGGACAGAGAGAGAACCCCAAGGTCAGCCTAGTCAAGCAGAGGACTCAGAGGGGCTGGATACAAGTTTTGATCAAAGGAGGCAGTCTTTGTCACAGCCACTGGGGACATACAATCAGGCCAGATTCGGTAAATAAGAATAACCTTTTATAAGTCGAGAAAGATCACGAAGAGGCAGGATATTGCTCTACCCTGGGTTAGGAGGATCATGAGCAAGCCTTTCTTCCTCCTTTCACTTTTAGTTTCAGATGTTCAAGACTGTGTGGGTACATTGGTGGAAGTGAAAACAGTAAGAAAGGCTGGGAGCTTCTGGGCTGTGGGTAGTTTGGGTTGGTTGTTGGAGGGAGGACTGCCACCCTGGACAAAAGAGGGGCCAGGGGAGTTCCCAGAGCTTTGGATATGGGGCAGGCCCCTGGGAATTGTTGAGAAGGCGCTTTGGGTTTCCCTTCAAGTTGCCCATCTCATTTCACAGGTTAGTGAGAGGGACAAGGATTCAGGTTCACTGACCCAACCAAAGTGGAGGGGCTATATTTGTCCCTGAGTTCCAGATACAGGTAGTTGGGTGGTCTTAAATATAGTCAAGAATGTTTCCTTCATGACAAAAAAAAAAAAAAACACTATACAATTTTTACTTCTATAGAACAAACAATTTTTACTTCTTTTTAAAAGAAGCTCTTTTGAGCTTCTTTTGCTGCAGTATCTTTTTATATGCATCTAGATTTTTATAGAGTCTTGAAATTCATTGATATATGAGAAACTGAGGCCACCAATGACAGAAATTGTGTATGTTAGTAAATTGCGTATGTTAGTAAATACGTTAGTAAATAAGGGTAGCTAAGGAAAACCAAGCCTCTGGGATTGTATTGAACAGTTTCATAGCTGTGGTTCTGTGAGTGAATGGGAGAGGGCTGGCTTCCTGCATGTGGGGGTTGGCTGGTGAATGAGGAAAATTAGCATGGCTGGGTTGATTTTTCTCTTTGAAAAGACTTTGTTCCCAGATGTCATACATATTATTTAGCTTGAATAAATATGAAATATTCTGGGGAAATAAATATAAGTCCCTGGAGTGCAGAGACTCTCTGTTGCTAACTTCAGTTCAGGTGCTTTCAGTTACAAGAAAGGAGGTGACGTTTGTCTCCAGTGTGTGTGAGTGCTCCCTTGGCTTTTGGCTAAGGTACTTTGCTTCTTTTGCCTTTTAAAATTCCACTAATCACTTCATTTTTCTTTTGGCTCTAGAGAAAGCCAGAGTGTTTTATTCCTTGATGAGCATTTGAGAACTGAATCCTTTAATTTATCTTTTGGTCCACCTTCCAGGACATGTGTGCACGTGCATACACACACGCGCACACACACACACACACACACACACACACAATTTATCCATCTCTCTCTTGCTTTTGTGGCAAGCACGTCTTCACCTGTTTTTTTTTTCCCCTTGCAAACTTGAGCATTGATTCACATTTCAAGCCAATTGTTTATTGCTGTTGCTATTGAGAATGTGACATTAGGGAGATTCAGAACAATGCATTTCAGCTCACTGTTGACTCATGTTGGATGATTTCAGCAGCAGCAGCTCAAGCTGGTGGCCTGTGGGATCAAGATAATGAGCCTGAATAGCTGCCGCTGCAGCACTGAGAGGACAAGTAGGGCTGGAGGGACCAACAGCTGGGACCCTTCCAGAATTCTAAATGATCATGCAAAAGACAGAAACAAGGCAGTTTGCATCAGGAAAAGGTGATAAAGGTAGAACAACTTATTAGAACAGAGAACAAGATAAAAGGAGTGATAGGGAAAAGAATGAAGCCAGAAAATATAATAGTGTATAACCTTAGGCTAGGATCCTACTGAATAAGTCAGCTGGTAAAGTCTAAAAGGATAAGGTAGTAGAGATGCTCTGAAGGTTGAAAGTTCTTATTTTGGTAGAAGGTAGTCAGTTCTTGCTGGCTGTGTTATATAATTATGTGTCCATGTTTTGACACATATGTTGCTTTCATCTATTTTAAAGGTTGTTTTGGAAAATATAAGAAAATTCCCTACAGCAAATGGCAGGACCCTAATTAAAATGATAAATGCAAAAGAATTTATTGACTCATCCAGGGGCGAGGCTGACTGGGTTTGGCTGGACTGAAGCATTCAAAGGAAGATCTCACTTCCCTGCCTCCCTCCTTCCCTTCCTTTTCTCCTTTTCTCTCCACTTACTCCCCTTTCTGCATCTCTGCCCCTTCTCCTTCGCCCTGCATCCTCCCACCATAAACCTCTCCTCTTCCTCCCTTCTCTCTCGCTTCTTCCTCGCATCTTTCCCCTGACCCTCCGTCTCTCTGACTCTACCTTCCTCACACCACCCTGGCCCCTCTCTCCATTGCTTGCTAATCTCTCTTTCCATCCCCTTGATTTCTCTCTCCCTCCACCTCTAGCTGCTACTCTCGCCCCGTCTGCCTCCTCTCCTTCACACCTCATGCTCCTTTCTCTCTTTGCCCTCGCTTTGTCCCCACTGCTCCCCTGGCCACCCTTGGCCTCCATTTTCTCTCATGCTCTGCCTTCCATTCTTTCTCCTTCCCCCATTTATTCTTCCTCACCCCAGCCCTCTCATGGCTCTGTTGCTCCCTTTGCTAATTTTGTTCCAGGGCTGACTCTCCTCCGTGGTGACCTGCCTGCTGCTCCAGACTTGTATCCCCAGCTTGGCCTTCCCAGTGGAAAAAGAGTTTCCCTTTCACAATAGTTCCAGTAAAAAGTCTCAGGATTGACTCTCATTTGGCTGATGTGGGGACCAAGAGGCTTTAGAACCGATGGGGGGTGGTGACATCCCTTTCTGAACCATGTGGACTGAAGTTCAGGTACATCAGAGTGCTGGAGAAGGGGAATTGAGGACTGCATTCAGAAGAAAGGGGATTAGATACCGGGCCGGCAAGAAAACTAAGGCACCATTACTGTTCCCATTGGCCAGGCTTGGTTGGTAGTGGCTGTAACAAACAACCCCCACATCTCAGTAAAATACAGAATAAACGGTTTTTTTTTTTCCTTCCCTTTGCCACGGTCCAGTGCAGGTGGGGCCGCCTTCCACAAGCCTTCCTCAGTGTGGTGACTCAGGTGTGGTCCTGCTGTACTGGAGTCCTTCACTTCCAGGGCATCAATAGGAGGAAAAGAGTATAAAACAGGCCGTTATAGCGACACTCATGTGGTGTAGAGAATTCCTGCACACTTCCCATTAACTGGAACCCAGTTCCTGTTCTTGATCTTACCAGAAGAGATACTGGGAAACTTCGTGTTCTTATGTGCCCAGAAAGAAAGTGAATGTGGTTTGGGGAGCACACAGCATTGTTATGGCCATAGCCAGGCTGTTTGGATACATAATTGGATGACAAGCAGCTGGTACTAAACCAATATAAAGTTAACGCTGGGTATTTATGACTTGTACGTTTATGCTTTCCTCTGAAATGCCTTTCATTCCTTCTTTGATTTTAGATATTGTCCTGAAATTCTGCTTTTATGTGAAGCCTTCCAATATGGCACTGTATAAGAGCTTAGACTTTGGAACCAAATGGCATAAGTTAAGTTTCAGCTTCCCCATTTTCTAGGGGGTGACCTGGAGCAAATTAACCTCATCAAGCCTTTGTTTCCTCCTCTCATATACTGTGCAAAAAGAATCATTAATAATAATCCAGATTTAAAAAGCATTCAAATCACTTGGGTGCTTGTGACGTTTTCTTTTTTTAGCTGTAATTTTACTTAGCAACTCAGTGAAGCTCAGCAAATCAGTGGTACATCTGGGCGTGGGCTGCACTGTAGGCTCCCATTTTCCATCCACTAGAATCTTATGATTTCAGAGCCAAAGGGAAGTTCAGTGGTCACCATTCCAACCTCCCCATTTTACAGAAGAGGAAACTGAGGCTCAGGCAACTTGATTGTGCACATGGTGGCAGAGCTGGAGGTAGGTCCCATGTCCCCCGATTCTGCATCTTCTGATTCCGCATCTGAGAGCCTGTGGCTCCTCTCTCAGCGGTGGCCTTTTTCTTTTGCAAATCTTGTTACCTCAACACATCAAAACCTGGCAGTCTAAGGAGAAGGCTCCTCAGTTCTACCCCACAGCTCAGGAAAAAAAGGCCTGGCTGGCATGGTGGCTCATGCCTGTAATCCCAGCACTTTGGGAGGCCAAGGCGGGCAGATTACCTGAGGTCAGGAGTTCGAGACCAGCCTGACCAACATGGTAAAACCCCATCTCTACTAAAAATACAAAAAATTAGCCGGGCATTGTGGCAGGTGCCTGTAATCCCAGCTACTCAGGAGGCCATGGAAGGAGAATCGCTTGAGCCCGGGAGGCTGAGGTTGCAGTGAGCAGAGATTGCGCCATTGCACTCCGGCCTGGGCAACAAGAACGAAACTCTGTCTCGAAATTAAAAAAAAAAAAAAAAGCCTGTTCATTAGGTTCTCGGTTCTCTCTCCGTACCCACCCCCTGCCCCCCAAATCAAGTGTAGACATCTTTTTTGTGTTCTAGACATAAGACCGTCCTATCTGCAGCAACTGTGGTTTAAAACTTTTTGGTTTTACAGAGATGGCTGCTGCAGCTCAATGAGAGGTGATAAAGACATAGGTAATTGCTGTAGAATAATCCTGCTGCCAAGAAGATGATTGAACTCCCACACAGAAGGTGAACAGATGGTATATTTATTGAAATTCATAGGCTGTGAGATGGAATAATTTAACTGATGGCTGGGCACCCTCATTTCAGATTGAGGGAGGTTCTCAGAAGAACAAGTGTGCCGCTAGGTGGCGTGATTATCTAGGGCCCAGTGTGGTCTTCTCAGAGAGGGAGGCTGGATTCTGTGCACACTCAAGAATCACTTCATTTCCTAATTGGGATGACAAATCTTCCCTGTGGCTAAGTAGGAAACCATCATGTTTTTAAAACTTAAAATCGCTTTAATTATAAAATAAATATTTACCACTAAGGACTTTTGCATGGAAAAAATGCAATCAAATGACAGGATATCAAATTACCAAAGAGATGGGGTCATGGCTTGTTGGGGGGCAGTTTCTGGACCAGGAGTAGCTGTGGGCTCCAACACTGTCTCAAAGCATTGGCCCATCTGGGCCCAATGACATTTGCTCCCTGCCAGCTGCCTCACTCCTCAGCTCTGCCCACTGCTTGCAGTGCAGAACGGCAGAAACAACGGGGGCTCTAGAAACCTCATTTTTGGAAGTTGGTATCGTTAATGGCATTATATCAGAGGAAGAATAAAGGAATCCATTGTGAACTAATGTGAAGGAATGGAGGTAATGATTAGATCGCACAGGTAGGTTGATAACAACTTAACCTCTGATGGTTTCCCATCCTTATCTCTTTTGTTTAGTTAAATTTTTTTTAAAAAAATCAAAGTTCTTCCTCTAATGCTGAATCCCTCTGGCTTCCAAATCTAGAGCACCAAGAAACTTTGCCAGTGACTTTGGGATGCCCACACCTTGCTGATTTTGTGTGGGTACCACTTCCTGCTTATGTTTGATTTCATAAATGTGTCCACTTTTCAGCTCAGCAAATATTCATTGAATCTTTTTCTTGTTCAAGCTGTTCCTTTTTGTGTCTGAGTTTTCTCATCTGCAAAATGAATATAAATACTTGTCTCAAAGGGTTGTTGTGAGGATTAAATGAGTACTTTTATGTAAAATGCTTAAAACAGGGCCTGGCAAATAGAAAGTACTCAGTGAATATTAGCTGTATTTTACTATTACTGCTACCCCCACCACTAGCTACTATTGTATTACTACTACCACACCACTGATGCTGCTGCTGTTACTATGTATTTCTACTATATTGTTACTACTACTGCTACTGTTACTCTTGCATTACTACCACTGTTACTCCTACTATTCTGAATTAATTGGATTTTTGAGTCTTTATTACCCTGAATTGTAAAAAAAAATTAATCTTGTCAATTTAAGGTACATTTATTCTGCATTTTTAGGTAAATATTAGTTATTTAGGAATTTTTTTCTATGATCACTTCTCCTCAGAGGATGAGCTAACCTCTTAGGGTTTTATCTCCAGCCTGGCAGTGCGCGTGGGGACAGTGTGGTTCATGATTGCCCTCTGTTTGCGCTGGGCTACCTTGTCATTACTGTAGTTTGTTCTTTGGTCTTTGCCCTTACACCTCTCTGAGATCTCAACTGGTCGCTTTGGAGCCATTTTTTTTTTTTTGGAACTTGGTGGGCGTGGGGGATGGGATGGGTAGAAACCGGTCAGAATTTTCCAGATCTTCTCTGGCCCTGTGCTTTGTGAGGCTCAGCTAAGGCTTATTCTTGCTTATATGGGCAAGAACCCCCATACGTCACTCACACACTGCTGTGGGGACCAAGCTGGACTAGAGGTCTTCCTGCAAGGTGTACAGGTCCCCTGGGCTATACCTGGGAAGTAATGTACAAACCCCTTTGTCCTGGAGTCCCCACACTGAAGTGAGGTTTTATCACATAATTGCCTACTTCATTTCCACATACCTACTCATAGTGGAAAGGGTTTTGGGAAGAGGATAGAGTGTCCTTGAGAAATGCTTCTAAAGTCATAGCACAGAGAGGACTAGTTGAAGGCTCAAGTATATTGTCAACCATGAAGTTGTGCCTTAACAGTTGCTCTGGAACAAAATCCTTGGGTATGGCCAGTTACCCATTCAGACTGAAAATGGGTGGTGGTGGTAAGGCCAGAATGAGTTAATGAAAATTCTGGGTTATAGACTACAGAAAGAAATAGAGGTTTTTGGACTGAATACATGCCCATTCAACATAGGCCAGTAAAATATGCCAAATAGGGACCTTGTCACACTTTAAAAAATGAATATATAATAGTGTTTTCACTTATATATGTTGTGCTTGAAAATATTTTGCTTTATGCACTTTAGATGCTCATCTTATAATTTTGCATTATTTATAAAGAAATATGTAAACTCTAGCCCCCTCCTCCCATATCAAAAACTCAAAAAGAAATGGTTAATAAAGTTTCCTTTTATGTATTACTTGGGACCAGAATTAGTTGCTTGTTAGAACTGAGATTTATCCTATTAAATTGAGATGATCTAAGACAGAGGTCAACAAACTATGGCCTCTGGGCTTTGTTCCACTGTCTGCTTTGTATGAGCAAAGAATAGTTCTTACAGTTTCAAGTGGTGGGAAAAAAAAGAATATTTCATGTGAACATTATGTGGAATTCAAGTTTCAATGTCTATAAATAAAGTTTTATTGGAACACAACCATGCTTACTTGTTTACGTATTGTCTATGGCTACTTTCACACTACATTGGCAGAGATGAGGAGTAGCAACAGAGACCATATGGCCTACACCGAAAATACTTACTGTTTGACCCTTTCCAGAAAAATTTGCTGACCCCTGGTCTAGAACGTGGAAGCAGCATGAAATGAAGAGGAATTTAAGGAGACAGCATTGTTTTTAGAATTTTCTTTACGTTGTCTACAGGTAAGAGCAAAGCGGCCTCACAGTGGAGGTGTTGATCTTGTGGAAAGCGGGTGGAAAAAGTTGTGCTTCCATCAACCAGTGCATGGTGCTGTGTCAGCTCCACCCCTCATTTGTGGTTCTTAAAGTCTGCTGTTATTTTATGCCACCTGCATAACCTGATTTGCATCTTAAATTAATATCTAACTACCACTTGGACTTTTTTCAGAATAAGGAGAATGGCTTTTATGAAGCCATCTGTAGATGAAAAATAAATAGCAGCTAACAGTCCTGGAATATGTGATTCAGGGAGCTCCTGCATAGCAAAAGACTCACACAGCTGATTTGCTCCCCAAGTCAAGAAGATACCAAAGAAATTTCAGTATTTGCAAGATGAGGGAGGCAAGCAGAAGCCATCTGGGAGATAAAAGAAAAATGAAAGCCTTTTAGAACCCATAGACACACTTGGCTCAGGGACTGGGTCAGAGCTTGTCCTCTTATTCTGAATCCCCTGCCCTCTGGAGCTCCTGGGTCTTCTGTCCTTCTTGAGCCCGGCAGGCTTTGCTTGAAAGTCATGGAGCCCCACATCTCTTGGGGCTGCACTTGCTGCACACGTGGTTCTTCCTGTAGTTACTCAAATCAAATGATTTCTACACCTGAACCCAAGTTCCAATTTTGTCTTAATAATGTCAGAGGTTAATGACTAGATTAATATTCTGGTTCTTTTTACTTTTCCCTAACCATCCCTAGCGCCCGTTACCCCCACAGGAGTTGTCCGGGGCAAATTGCAGAAAATGTGCCAATTCTTAGCTTCTAAATGCAAAACAGAAGAGTGAAACAAAGGTTGAGGAAATAAATGTGAACAGTCAGAATAATTCTCTATAATTGAATTCTTCCCTGTAATTCCCCACCTCCCCCCACTCCTACCTTATCCTAGTTTTCGTCTTTGAGTAGATATAGACCTTTTAACCAGGAAAAGAGAGAAGAGAGGTAGACGAGGCATGCAAGAGAGACCTCTCTCACTGTGCCTGTTCCCTGCTCTTCTTAATATCCATCTCAAGTTGAGCGTTGGGGTTGTGGGAGTATAACCCCCTCCACCCCATTTGATTTAGAAATATGACAGTAGAGAAGATTTGTGTCTGGCATCCTGGGTGAGGTTTAGGGAGTTGTCAGATCTCATGGAGGAAATCCCGGGGCCATGATAGTACTGCTGGATAGTAGAAACAGCACTGAGGTGTGTCTAGGCTGGGGCAAGTCCTGAAGATCTGTGCACATTGGAACTGTAGAGCATCCAAAGTTCATGTGACTCCTTCCAGTGGGCACAGACACGAGCTGAGAGTGTACACTTGAAACCTCAAAGGTTCTTCCAGCCAGCACAGGGGGATGTGTGTTGGAAAGATATGACAGGGACGGTCTCTGCTCAGAGTGTGCCAACATCTCACTCCGGGAGCTATTTGAGAAGCCTGTTGTCTGCACCAGGGACTGAATGAGATAAGTTGTGTCCCCGTCCAGCACAGGATGAGGCCCGCACAGGATCCCATTTAGGGACAACTCTAGAGAAGAGAGGGACGAAGAATACTCTATTTTTCTATGTAATTGAGTTTTATTTTTCATATTGGGCAGAATGGAGGATCAAAGTCAGAAATTAAATTGAGTTATAGGAAATAAGTTATGTTTCTTGTACACTGGAATTTATGGTTGTAAAATTTGTCCAGATGCAGTTACATTTATTTTATATTTTGTGCTGGGTATTCTGCATATGATTTTCATGTATTTTCACATTTAATTCTTTTAATAACTTTGTGAGGCAGGTATTACTAATCCCATTCTGCAGAGGAAACTAAGGCTTTCACAGGTACAGTAATTAGCTTTAGGTAACCTAGTCAGAAGGGTAGGGCAGGATTTCAGTCCAGGTAGTTATGACTTCAGAGTCCCATTTGCTCCATGTACCCTGAAACTTGAGGGTCAGGTAGGGCCCTAGGAGAGGCTGCTGAAATCTACTTTGCCCATGGCTGTTAGAGAAGCAAACTTTTCCTTTGACAATAAAACCTTTTTGGGTCTGTTTTCATGTGCCAGGTGCTTTGCTAGGCATGGGATACATAATGAATAATATTCACTTCCCTCCAGGGATGTAACAATCTGCCTACATTTGTTCTTAACACATGGAAGGTACTCAGTATGGGCTGGCTGAGTGAATAAATTTGAAAGGTACAAAGCATCAGTAAGGGGAAGAATGCCTTTGTCTAGTTTCAAATGTAGCATCATGAGCTTTGCAACCGTGCTCATAGAGAATTTGAAAGAATCAGATGACTGATTCTGGTGGAAATACAGATTTGACTTCAGAATGGTCTCTGTCTTAGGCAGCGCCGGAAGGCCTGTTGGTTGGAAACTGAATCCTAGATGAACAAAGCCCTGGGGAGCAATTGGGCTCAGAGCAGAAAGACAGATGAGCTGATGTGAGGAGGTTCCTTTATTCTTAACATCAATGCTATGGTACCGATGAGGGAAATCAATCAGTGAATCTCCCAGGGAGGAACTGTGTTCAGAAGGGGGCACTCACTTCCCAAAAAGTTCCCCTTTCTTGGTGTTGATCTAAAAAATGGAAGAAGGGATTGATAAAATGACTGACATAAGGCAAGAAATATAGGTCTTATTACAATTTCTGTTATCACATATCACACACTGTTGAATATGGGATATATTAATACAACCAGACTTCAAGTTGCTGTAAGAGAAAGAAGAAAGAGCTGGTTCCAACCTCATACCTTGGGCAGCCCACAGGTAGTGACTTTGATTGCCAGGCAGTAAGCATCCTCTAAATTTCTGCTTTTTTTTTTTTTTTTTTGAGATGGAGTCTCACTCTGTTGTCCAGGCTGAAATGCAGTGGCGCAATCTCGGCTCACTGCAACCTCTGCCTCCCAGGTTCAAGTGATTCTCCTGCCTCAGCCTCCCGAGTAGCTGGATTATAGGTGCCTTCCACCACGCCCAGCTAATTTTTGTATTTGTAGTAGAGACGGGGCTTTGCCATGTTGGCCAGGCTGGTCTCGAACTCCTGACCTCAGGTGATCCACCCACCTCAGCCTTCCAAAATGTTGGGATTACAGGTGTGAGCTACTGTGCCTGGCCGCTATTTTCTTATTGGTACTTCTATTCTGAAAACAAATTTCCAGGAAGGCCAATTTATTGGAGTTGTATTAGGATGTAAGGGATCTTTGGTGGTTTGTAACAGACACTAGCTTTTGTTAATTTAAATCAAAAGAGAACTTACTGGAACAATAGAGGAGGGCCTGCAGGAGAGAGAAGCAGCTCCGAAAGGGCAGGGATTAGGTAGCACTGAAGGTCTTGAGGCAGGAATTGCTCAATGGGTCACTGGGGCCAGTGAACACCAGCCTTGCATGGTGTTTTCATCACTATCCTCCCAATTCCATTCCAGGAAGGAGGGAGGGCCTGTTTGGCTTGGCTTGGACTATGTACCCACCACCTGATCAGGGGAAGGCAAGGCCTCTTGATTTAAGTTACAAAGACATCCAATGGAGAAGAGGAAACTCCTCAAGGAAATAGGTGTGTGGGGCTTCTTACCAAAAGAAGGTGGACTGGATGCCAGGTGGCCACATACACCCCTTGGTTGAAAGGGCTCTGCTTCCTGAAGCCTTGTTGACTGCAGTGTAGGTTCCTTGGTATGGTCTTGGAAGGGTTCTGTGATCCTGCCTTCCAATTTCCCTTCTGACTTACTTGTGATACCTCCTCCTCGTGATTCAGCCACCTTCAGGCTTCCTCAGTGTCTAACTAATCTAGCCTTCCCTTTCTGACTGGTGTGTCTTTGCACTATCTGCTCTAATACCAGTTTGTCTTCACCTGGAATGAATCTCTTCCTGTGTGCTCTCTTAAAACGTTTTGTTTTGGAAATGTACAATCCTTATCTTCCTGGCCCAAGAATCCCCTGTGTACCTATGGCTGCTGCTGCTGCTGCAGCAAATACAAGGCACGTAATATGTGCCAGGCCTTTCCTAATTACTTTCTATATATTCACTCACTGAATCCTCCCAGCCATCTTTGTTGCTAGTTACAGGTGAGGAAATGAGGAGGGAAGCTAAACAACTTGTCTAAGCTCAAACAGCTGGTAAGTGGCTGAGACAGATTTTGAACTCTGCATTCTGGGTAGCAGTCTGTACCCTTAAGTAGTCTTGATTTTATTTCATGTCTCCTATGCCCTATACACTCATCAGATGTCTGTCCTACTTCTTAACTTAATAATTCTGGGTTCCCCCTGTATCCCCATGCATTAGTTGAGCCTGCTTGATCTGTTTGAGTAGCATGGTAACTGGTCTTCATCTTTCAAGTGCATTTAGCACACCACTGTCAGAAATATCTTATCAAAAAATGGAACATGATCATAGTGTTCATCTGCTTATAATAATAATAATAATAATAATTATTATTATTATTATTTTTTGGAGTCTTGCTCTGTCGCCCAGGCTGGAGTACAGTGGTGCAATCTTGGCTCACTGCAACCTCCACCTCCTGGGTTCAAGCGATTCTCCTGTCTCAGCCTCCAGAGTAGCTGGGATTACAGGCACACTCCACCACTCCCAGCTAATTTTTATATTTTTAGTAGAGACAAGGTTTCGCTATGTTGGCCAGGCTGGTCTCTTAACTCCTAACCTCAGGTGATCCACCTACCTTGGCCTCCCGAAGTGCTGAGACTATAGGGGTGAGCCACCGTTCCAGACCTGCTTATAATTATTGAAAGGTCTCCTATTACCTGCTGTGCCAACATAATTTGGGTCTAATGTTATGTTCCAGTTGTATCTTCCACCCTTTATACTCCTCCCTGTAGTTCTCTACCTCCATTCATTCTCTATGTGCCCCTTAGGAAATTGCCTAGAGCATATCAAGTGCTTTATAATTTGGCAGCTCCTCCAAATTACTTGCGATTCTCTCAAAAGGCCATATCTTTTCATCTTTGGCACAGCCTAAAAGACCTTCATGTTTGACTTCTCCCATGCGCCTGATAAAAGTCCTGATTATATTCCAAGACCCTGTGCAAATAGCATTTCCTGTGGAAAGCCTTCCTCACCCATTACAGGTACAGTTAAGTGATTTCTTCCTCTGTGTTCCCATCATAGCTTGTTCTTAGCTATGCTATAATGCTTAGCTGGTATATTCATTTCCTAGGACTGCTGTAGCAAAGCACAGCAACTGGGTGTCTTAAAGCAATAGCAATTTATTTTCTCACAGTTCAGGGAGCTGGAAGTATAAGATCAAGGTGTCCCAGGGTCATGCTTCCTCTGAAACTTGGCTTTTGGTGGTTTGCTTGTTGTATCAGTCCATTTTCACGCTGCTGATAAAGACATATCCAAGATTGGGTAATTTATAAAGAAAAAGGTTTAAGGGACTCAAATTTCCACATGGCTGGAGAGGCCTCACCATCATGGCAGAAGGTGAAAGGCACTTTGTACATGGCAGCAGCAAGAGAGAATGAGAGCCAAGTGCAATTGGTTTCCCCTTACAAAGCCATCAGATCTTGTGAGATTTATTCACTACCACGAGAACAGTATGGGGGAAACTGCTCCCATGATTCAATTATATCTTACCAAGTCCCTCCCACAACACGTGGGAATTATGGGAGCAACAATTCAAGATGAGATTTGGGTGGGGACACAGTCAAATCATATCAGTTTTTTACCAACAATATTTGGCATTCCTTGACTTGCAGCTGCAGAACTCCGGTATCTGCTTTTGTAGTCCTATAGTGTTCTCCCTGGTGGCTCTATCTTTATGGAACCATCTTCTTATAAGGACATCAGTCATACTGGATTAGGGGCCCATCTTACTCCAATATGACCTCATCTTCACTACTAGTATTTGCGATGACCCTGTTTCCAAATAAGGCCACATTTTGAGTTAATGGGGGATTAAGTCTTCATTATGTCTTTTTTTTTTTTTAGGGTGGGGCACAATTCAACCTGTGTAACCCCTGGCTATTTTGTAACCTTTTGTAAATGCATGGTTTCCCCCAGTAGACTGTGGCTTCCGCCTTATTCGTCTTTGTGCCACTTGCTCTTTCCCATAGTTGGCCCTCATTAAATGTATGTTAAATGTCTGTCTCCCTTCGTGAGATAGTAACTTGTGAAAGGAAAGAAGGCGGCTGTGTTTTTTAAATTAGGTTATGAATAAAGAAAGTAGATTAGGATTTCTTTTCAATATCATGTAAATTCCACAAAAGCAGCAATTCTGCCTGTTTGGTTGACTAATATATCCTTAATGCTTAGAACATGACTGGGCTTAATAAATATTAAGTAGGTGCTTAATAAATATTCACTAAATATTCATTTTTTGACTGGGATGGAAACTGGAATGAGTGGATTAAGATTATAGGAAGTAGATTATAGGTAGTTCTGGCAACATATTATTGGTCTTTGTCCTGGCCAGGTCTTTGCTGTGGTTGTTTAAATAAATTCATAAGCTTTAACAAGTAAACATGATTCTTGCTAGCTGCCAGCCAGTGGCAGGAGCTTGGTATAAAGGTAACCACTGCTGGGATGCTGAAGGTGTTGTAATTGGTTTTCTTGCCTGTAGATCAGCATCCTGCTGAAGACTTTGTGGGTTTCCTCAAGTCCTTCGAGGGTATCAATAATGAGGGAATGCCAGTAATTCCTGAGAGAAGTTGGCCCTGCTTTTCAGTCTATTCCTACAAACGCCCAATCACTCCTTTGACTGGGACCCGAACTTTTCTCCTGGATACTGCTCACACTGGATACTTGGCCGAATCCTATGCATTTCCTGTCATTAACCAATAACCTCTGGATACCACTGGAACTATCCATCCTTGGCTTTTCCCTGGGTCTCCCCATTCTGTGGAGTTTTGAATGCCCTCCATTATACCACATGTGGGACTTGATTTAGGACTATCAACGCTGAGGAAGTCAAAATTTGCTTTGTTTGCTTCACTTCCTGCCTCCCAACTGGACTCCTTTTGCTTAGGTGTGGGGTTGGCTTCTGCATACCATAGAAGGCAGATGCCAGCTTCCTTTCAGGGCCTCGGCAGGAGCAGCTCAGTGTAATGTGAAATGCAAACCTGGGATTGCCCATACCTTGGAGGCCTGCTTTGCATTCCTGTGATGTTATGAGGTTGTGTTTCTTAATGGTCACTTCATGTTTAGGCTAAACTTTTACGAAGAGCTGTGAGTGCTGGCTTTTGCTGGTTTGAGTCTTGAGTCTTGGAAATGGTATGTGGAGCTAATGATTGTAATGATTTCAGATAAAGGGGAGCTACCAAGGAAAGAGTAAATCTGTGTATCTTTGAACACTGACTTTCTACTCACTGAAGTGATGGTGCCTGAATAGCTGGAAGAAGTCAAGGCTTTGAGAATGCCCACTGACATACTGCATTCTTCTCACTGGGCCTCTGAAGGCAGATTGACTAAGCCTTTGGCCCACTTTTGTCACATGTATAATATTTATGAATTTTCCCTTTGTCTTTTCTTCCCTATATCTCATTACTATAATTAGCAGCTCCTAATCATAATTCACTTGAACCTGCAGGACCTCTGGGAGGTTAGAAACATAGCAATTATTAAAAGCGGGAGATCATTAAGATTCACTCAAAGGAGGTGAAGGAATAATCATGAACACATTTTCTTATGTGGCCTAAAACTTGTGTTGCCATCTAATTGCTTCTGTTACAGTTGGGGTCAGAATAGAATATCATGTATTTACTTATATCCCACTTCGAAAACCTCTCCCTTACATTTCTTCCTTGTTCCTTCAATAACCTGATTTCTAGGAACTACCTGCACTGACTTATGCCCTAGGGCCATAAAGATGAGTGAAACCCAACACAATTCTCAGATGCCTGAAATTCCATCTAAACCATTCTTTTAGCTTAAAATCATGATTTCTGCGAACACATCTTTGAGAAGACTTAAGCTTTTATCAAGTATTAAAACCTTTGTGTGAATGGAATATTCATGGTAGGGATGTTAGCTGTCCTCCAAAGTTCATGCTCTTTCTTTATTAGGCTAGTGCAAAAGTAATTGCGGGTTTTGCCATTATTGGCAAATTGCTGCAATTACTTATGCACCAAACTATTATATTGCGGAGTTGTTGCTGAGAAGTGGCTGTCTAGGTAGGAACTATATTTCCCAGATCTTCTTGCATCTGGGACCATCTGACTGAGTTCTGACCAGTGGAGTGTGGCTGGAAGTGTTGTAAGCTGCTTCCAAACCCAGCCTATGGCAACCTTCTGTGTAATTATCTGCTTGCCTTGCCCTCTTCTTACACCTGCTAGCTGACTGTCCACACCCCGGGTCTCTTTGGAAGTCAAGGGTTGAAGACAGCAGGGTCTCTATCAGTCTAGCCCTTAAAAAATTATGTGACACAGATCCCCTCCACTTCTATTTTCTGCTGCAATTGGACTTCTTCTTCTTCTTTTTTTTTTTTTTGGGGATAAATCTCGCTCTGTTGCCCAGTCTGGAGTGTAGTGGTGTGATCT
Source organism: Homo sapiens (assembly GCF_000001405.40). NCBI lineage: Eukaryota > Metazoa > Chordata > Mammalia > Primates > Hominidae > Homo > Homo sapiens. Next base: position 61,905,826 of record NC_000014.9, read on the forward strand.
TGGCTCACTGCAACCTCTGCATCCCAGGTTCCAGTGATTCTCCTGTATCAGCCACCCAAGTGGCTGGGACTATAGGCATGTGCCACCACGCCCAGCTATTTTTGTATTTTTAGTAGAGACGGGGTTTCACCACGTTGGCCAGGATGGTCTTGAGCTCTTGACCTCGTGATCCGCCTGCCTTGGCCTTCCAAAGTGCTGGGATTACAGGTGTGAGCCACCGCGCCCAGCCATGGACTTCTCTTATGTTAAGACACTGAAAATTGGAGTTTATTATCACAGCTAGTGCTTCCCTAACTAACAAAGAAGTAAAACACTTTCTTTAAAACAGTAGGTTTTGATAGGGAATTTGAGACAGCCAATTTCCTCAGAGAAAGGGAGAGGGCTGTGTCTACTGGTGAATGTGGGAGGGTTCTAGAATGACAAGCAGTGAGCCATAAAATAATTTTCTTCATTTAATTATTCCTTATGTTTTTTAGTAGCACAGTCTTTCTCTGTTACCCAGGCTGGAGTGCAGTGGTGCAGTCATGGCTTGCTGTAGCCTCGAATGCCTGGGTTCAAGCGATCCTCCCATCTCAGCCTTCTGAGTAAACACGAATATTCTTAGGGCTCTGTACTGTTTGTAGCATATTGGCTAAAAAGGATTTTTCACTGATTTAGCATTTCAGATTCTTTTCTCGCTCTTCGGCTTTTTTTAGTATAGTTTTCCTTCTCTTATTTTCATGGCCTGAAGCAAATATTTGTAAATCATCTCCTATATGTTCAGTACTTTGCTAAGCACTAGAGTATGCAGTTTTAGTTTCTTCTTGCTCCTAGCTGTGATGTGAAAATTCTAAAATGATATAAATGAACAGCTACACTAACTCAAGATGTACCATCCATCCATCCTTCCATCCATCCATCCATCCATCCATCCATCCATCCATCCTTCCGTCCGTCCGTCAATCCATCCATCCGTCCGTCCGTCCATCCATCCATCCATCCATCCATCCATCCATCCATCCATCCCAGTACTTGTACTATCCGCCTATGATGTGCCAGGAGCTCCACAAGGCTCTGAGGACACAATGGTAAATGAGACACACAGCACTTTGTGTCTCACAGAGCTCACATTCTAAAAATTAGAAATCATCTTAGAAGTAAATTACTGTTTTAAATGCCTGTTATTCATACCCTGTGCTAGAAGTTATGATGGATATAAAAAATACATGGAATTTCTGCTCCAAAAGCCTAGTCGAGGCAGAGACAAGCTCCCTTTGTCATTGCAACTGAAAGAACTGCTCTAAAGGCAAGGTGAGCTGAGCAGAGTGATTTAGTTCCTTCAATAGCTGCTTGGTTCATGGAAACTTGAGTTCAAGTGCATCATGAAAGTGGCTTTTAAATATTTGATCATTTTATTCTTGGTTATGGTTGCTTTGAGTATTTTCAGTAAAACATCTGCTTGTGTTTCCTGAGTGAGACATGTATATTAACTAGAGATGACGTTCTTATGAGTGATTATTACCAATGAAAATGTACTTCATTAATAAATGAAATCTGCATTAATTATCTTTTTGCCATGTAACAAATTACCCCACAAGTTGGCAGCTTAAAATAACTTTTATTATTTCATAGGTTTTGGCATCAGGCATTTGGGAGTGACTTGGCTGTGTGATTCTGGCTCAGGGTCTGTCTGAGGCTGCAGTTAGACCTTCCATTGGCATCAGAGGATCCACTTGCAAGCAGACTCACACACATGGCTGTTGGCTGGAGGCCACAGTTGCTCACCGTGTGGGCCTCTCCACAGGGCTGCTCATGATATGGCTGCTACATCTCCCCAGAGTGTGGGATCCAGAAGAGAGAGTAGGGCAGAAGCCACAGTATTCCTTATGGCCTACCTCGGCAATGACATGCCATCAGTTTTTCCATGTTTTATGAATCACACAGGTAACTCTGGCACAATATGGGGAGAGACTACAGAAGGGTGTGAGCCCCAGGGGGGTGCATCCTAAAGGCTGACTGGCTACCACAGTATCCTTTCTCCATAATTTTTTTAACTCTTAGAAATATCACTTGAATAAAGTGAGCTTACGTCGTGTTCCTACAAAGAGATTCAGGTGCCACAGGATCTTTAGGACCATATACAAAGAACACAGAGCATGAGAGACTTTGTGTGTGTTTAGGTGGAGATGTGTATGTAGCCATGCTCTTGCAACTTTGAGAACCTGTTGATCATTTAATACTATACTTCACAGTCCTCACCTGAGTAAGGTGGTGGGCCACCCCTGTAGGACAAGACCAGCCTTTGGCCTTTAAAGGCTGCTGTTTACCTGTCTTTCCCCTTTTCTCAGTTTTTCCACCAGCGTGTGAACTGCAAAGTTGATTTAGGTGTACCAGGTTTAGCTGCTTGGTGAACTCACAAAGTGTTCCCTTGAGACTTAAAATACAATAAGCCAGATTGAAGAGAATCAAACATATGCCATGGATTCAATCAGTGATTCACGAATTTGTCTGATCATAAGAATTATCTTCCATTCATTAGAAATACATATTCTCAGACTTTCCTAGACCTATTATATCAGAATCTTCTGTGGAGAGGCCTGTGTTTGTTTTTTTAAAGTCATTTCAGGTATTTTTTTAGGTTTCATAAGATGAGAAAACACTGGATTATATCACGTCGGGAATAGGAATTAGATGAACATCTAACTTAATGGGATTCATTTAATTTGAAATAAAATGGAGAACACAGTTTTAATAAGTGGACGGTTTTGTTTCCTAATTTTTCTTAATGAACATTTGCTCCAAACTGAGCAGGGATGGAAGGAAGGTCTGACTGTATTGCTTTCTTGGCAGTCTGAGCTCCATGGTGCCTTCAGGTCATGAACATCTTTTTCTGATTGAAAATCTTATACTGAGAGATACAGGATTTTTTGGTAAGTGTTCCTGAAACGCAAGCTAGCTTCTACATCTGGTGGCTGTGGCTCAACCAAAAAGCAGCAATCCATTTCTTTCTTTCTTCCTTTCTTTCCTTTCTTCTCTTTGACAGAATCTTGCTCTGTCACCCAGGCTGGAGTGCAGTGGCGTGATAATGGTTCACTGCAGCCTTGAACTCCTGGGCTCAAGTGATCCTCCCACCCCAGCTTCCCAAGTAGCTGGGACTACAGGCACATGCCATTACACCTGGCCAACTTTTTAATTTTTTGTAGAGATGGAGGTCTCCCTGTATTGTCCAGGCTGGTCTTGAACTCCCAGTCTCCCAAAGTGCTGGGATTACAGGCATGAGCCACCGTGCCTGGCCCCATCAATTCATTTTAAGCACAAAGTCAAAATGAACCATAATGGATATTTTTGTGAGTACTTTCAGAGTGATAGAGGGGATTTTCAAGGTGCTTTGGACTACAGGCAACTTTTACTTTATGTTCTAATTTTAAAACTCCACAAGAGATACTATTCCATCATGTATAGTGCATATACTACTTATTTTCTGTGGCCATCATAACAAATTACCACAAACTTGGTGGTTTAGAACAACAGAAATGTGTTCTTTCACAGTTCTATAGTCGAGTCTGAAATCAGGGTGTTGGCAGGGCCATGCTCCCTCTGAAGGTGCCAGGGAGCGAATCTTTCTTTGCCTCCCCTTATGGCTCCAGGTGTTTCTTGGCTTGTGATTACATAACTTCAGTCTCTCCCTCCATCTTCACATGGTGTTCCTCTCTCCTTCCTGTGTGTCTCTCCTGTGTGACTCTTGGAAGGATACTTGTCACTGGATTTGGGACTCATTGGGACAATGTTATCTCAAGCTGCTTAACCTAATTACATGTCCAAAGACCCCTTTTTCCCAAGTAAGCTCATAGTCACAGGTTATGAGTGTTAGGGCATGGAGATATCTTTCTGGGTCCACCATTCAACGTACCACACTACTTTACTGTAAAACTGGAAGCAAATTGTATGTAATATAGCTTGTAATGGCCCGAGTTAGCTGAGAATTTTTCTTTACCAGAATATTTGTGGAGCCTTTAATCAAGAATGGCTATGGCAGCACTTGGAGACGTCCTTGGTCTTTCCGTACCTGTGTTTTTTTCTTCTAAGTTGTCTCTGTGCCATTCTCTGATGTGCCTTGTCCATAGTCATGCCCCATGCCAAACCATGCATCACACTGGTTTTGTTGCTTTTTAATACAGAGGTTGTTGCACAATTTGAGTGAGTCCTCAGTTTCTGTTTGCATTCATTTAAAGGTCAGTTTTACAGAACAGAAGCTGTCTGCTCTAAATTTGACAAGTATGCTTCCATTATGGTAGCTATTTCTACTCTTACTTGCTATCATTGCTATCATTCATATCCATATAAATATATGCCCTCCAACTCTGTTATTTTTTTCAAATATGACATCATATTAATAATTTCTGCAAAATGTATGCTGTCTCCTTTTTTTGTTTTGTTTTGTTTTGTTTTTTGAGACGGGGTCTCACTGTTGTCACCTGGGCTAGAGTGCAATGGCATGATCTCAGCCCACTGCAACCTCCGCCTCCCAGGTTCAAGCAATTCTCCTGCCTCAGCCTCCCGAGTAGCTGAGATTACAGGCGCCAGCCACCATGCCCGGCTAATTTTTGTGTTTTTAGTAGAGATGGGGTTTTACCATGTTGGCCAGGCTGGTCTCGAACTCCTGACCTCAGGTGATCCACCTGCCTTGGCCTCCCAAAGCACTGAGCCGCCGCATCCCGCTGTTTTGTTTTTTTTTTTTTTTTTTGAGACAGGTTCTCGCTCTGTCACCCAGGCTGGAGTACAGTGGCATGATCTCAGCTCACTGCAACCTCTGCCTCCCGGATTCAAAGATTCTCTATCTCAGCCTCCCGAGTAGCTGGGATTACAGTCATGCACCACCACGCCAGGCTAATTCTTGTATTTTTAGTAGAGACAGGGTTTCACTATGTTGGCCAGGCTGGTCTTGAACTCCTGACCGCAAGTGATCCACCCACCTCGGCCTCCCAAAGTGTTGGGATTACAGGCGTGAGCCACCGTGCCCGGCCATATGCTGTCTTTAAATCTGTTCCAAAGCTTGAAACTAGCTCTGATGAGGCAAGGTAATAAACCTCCCTGCAGGGTATCAAATGACTTCCCACCATTTTTCCGAAGTTGTTTTCCTATACTGTGTTCGCTTTCAGTATTTCATTTTTAGATGTTCCCCCAAGCTGTTCCTCATTCTCTGGCAACAGCATGTGGTTTTACTGGGATCTTGCTATTGAACAATTTCTTGCCTATTGACTGACTTGCAGGTAGCACTTTGAATTTACACACTTGAATTTTTATGACTAAAATTTGTAAGGCGTTTCCTCTGACAGATCTTTTTTATCCTATGGACAAGTATTTCCTAGGATTCCAACTAGGTAACTAGATAACCCTGAAATGGTTGCAGAGGTTGAATTTTCAAGGACCGGCCATAGACTAGAACCTACCTAGGCTTGGAGATCTGCTATCAGAACCAGGCACTTTCTAAAATAGTTTACAGCCCTTACCTTTAATGTTTGGCCCTGATTTAGGTAGTTTTAAGTATTTTCTGTCTAAAGTAATAGTTTGGCCAATTTGGAGGGGCATTCACATTCTTACAGTTCTGGATTATATCACATCAGAGTTGGAAAAGCAGGTGCTGTCCCAAGCCCATCCTCATTCAGCAAGGCAATTGTTGTTTTCTGTTGAAAAATGTACAAAAGAAGATGCCAGTGGATTTGCATCATTGAAATGAAAGAACCAAGACAGATGAAAAAGAGGCTCAGAGGAGCTATGTCCTATGTGTTTAAGAAAAAGCTGAACACCACAGCAGCTTAAAAAATTGAAAGCATTAAAATCAATATCTAAGAGGTTCATTTAACCATAACAAAAACACCTTAGCAACAGACTTTTTTATAGTGCTTTGCAAAGGAAGTGGGGCTCTCTGAGCTGTGATTGGCCACTCGGTGCAGTGAACCTGTGAAAAAGAACTCAATGTTCCATTGAACTGGAAGCAAATTATGGTTGCCAAGGGAACCAGCTCCTCTGCACCTCTCAGGTGAAAGGATGTTTGATCTTTAAAATAACAGAAACGGGTTTGCATGAGGAATATTATCTGCATGGTGCAAAAAGCGCAGTTACGGGGAAACAAATGTATTATTGCTGTAATTTACCTAATGATTATAGAGGCAGATAATTGTTGGGAAGGCATTTGGTATGTACCTTACAAGACAGGCTGGCAAAAATTCAATTGCAAATTTATTAACATCATGTATATTTTCAAGATGATTATGGGAGTGATGTGTCTTTAAGTTTTAATGCCATTTTAGAATGAATTTTGATTACCAGTTAATATTTGATACTACTGCTCTGGGTACATGTCCCATGCTGGGAGACTAAGAATTTATCAAACCTTACCTCTAATTTGAAAAGACTTTGCTAAGCACTGAGAAACAGAATTATGCATGAAAAAGGGGGAACACGTGGGCTTCTTTAAAAAATCAGAGGATAGGATAGGATTACTAAATTCATTTTCATTTTGCTTACTGCTGTCACTCTGACAGCGTTTCACACAAATGTGACATTGTGTGTACTTATGACCAATGAGTCATTTGTTGGGTATGATTTCAAAAGAGTCAATTTGTATTATCCTATGTTTGGAAGCTCTGAATTATTGAGCTAAGGCAAGGTTTATGGCCTTTATGTTTGCTGTCTAGCAAAGAGTATTGAATAATGAACTACATTTTTAATCAAAGATTTCCTTTTACTCTAATCCTTTATTTCCCAGTGGCCCTAACCTGATTTATTGTGTTGAGTGCTCTACGAGGAGTCTATGTAACCTTGGTGTTCTCCTGAGAGAAGATGTATATTGACTCAGGAAGTAGCAAAGAAAATAATAGTTTTGACTCCTGGAAGTACTTAAGTTTTAGGCTATCAGTCCATTTATCTATCCATTCATCTCTCCATCAAACATATCATTCCCCCACATACAAAACATTAAAGGAGCTACAAAGATAAAGATGATTTAGTCCCCATCACTGTAATCTCTTGATAGGAACAGACAGAAACAGAATGAACTAAAGCTGCAAAAGAGCTCCAGGAATAGTGCCAGGGATGTGGTAGGCATTCAAGAATGAATGAATGAATAAAGATAAAAAGTGGGATAGAAACATGAGGTACAGAGTGATGGGTGATGAATTCTATTAGAGAATCTGGAGTCTTGGTCCTTCTTCATTTCATCCAGATTTTGCTCAATGTGACATTCCTTAGAAATCTTCCCTTCTCCCTATCCCTCCCTATCCTGTGGACAGCTCAAACATGTTTTTATCTCCTTGCCTAGCCATGTTTTTGTCACGATGTGCAAATATACCATATATTTGTTTATTAAAATTTGTGTATTTCTGCCATTAGAATGTGTGCTCATGAGTATAGGGATTTTGTCCAGCATGTGACCGTGTCCCCAGAGCTGTAGTGCCCAGAACATAGCATATGCTGCACCCGATATTTGTGGAAAGGATGAATGAATGATGGGTTCTGGAAATACAGTTTGCTACCATGGAAACCTGAGGACTACTTTATACTTTAAAGACTATAGTCTATAGACTGGAGGGGATTGGTGGCTGACCAAAAAATTAAAAAAAATTATTTTTCTTTTTACATCTTTAAAGATTGCCCTTAAGAAAAAATTAATATCATGTAAGACATGAGGAGTAAGGCAGCATAGAATGCTAATGCATACTGATATGTGATGTACAATTATTGTCTTTTCCATATTTTGAAGTTAAACAATTTCCCATTGATGGAAATGAAAGAAAATATACTCTGCTGTAATGATTATGGACACTGGACTGTATTTACACTAGTTTTAGCCTCAACTAAAAATGATAGAAGAAAATAAGATCATCCTTCTTTGGGTCTTTGTGTGTGTGTGTGTGTGTGTGTGTGTGTGAAATAAAACTCGAAGTTACAGGGACGAACTTGCATATGAATTTTGAAAATACACCAGGCAAGATGGATCTTCATAAGAAAAAGGCTCATTCAGTTTAAAAGCCTGGGCCCAAACTTGGATTTTTCCAACATAGCCTTGTCTGCAAACTTTCTTTTTGCAGTGCAAAGGAAAATAATGCACACACTATTAGAGAAGCTCCAGATTTACTGGCCAGTCTCACATTTTAAAGCAGGTCTTGGAGAAATAAGGTCACACTTCTTTAGCATTCAAATGGAAGAAATTACTGGGGTTTCTCAGGATAGCCTCTCCTATTTTTCCTATTCTGTGAGCCCCTTTTGGAACATTTAAAGGCTATTGACATCTTTGAAATGGTATAGAGAGTTATAATTTGTTCAGTTTGGGATAGCATTAATTTCTCTGTAATATTTTGTTGGATCACTTTGGAGCTGGAGAAGCTTCATGACTTCTGAAAACTCAGGACCAAGCAAAGTTTCTTTGCTAGGCAAAACTCCAACTGGAAGGAAAAGCTTGGTCTCTGAAGTCCAATGAGGCACAGATGACGCACTATTTTTGCTGTTTTGGTGAAGCAAAAGCTCCACATGTTGTGGCTGAATCATGCTGTCTATATGAAGGGATCTCATTCAGTCCCATGCACACTATTTTAGCATACTCTTAGGACTCTCTATTTTTATCTCCAGTGTTGACCTGAAATCCAGACTCATTTATCCAATCAGCATTTTCACTTAAGTGTCCAGTAGGCCTCTCTAATTGAGCATGTTCAGGACAGACTCCCTACCATCAGATTCCTCCCTACCACCTGTTCCTCCTCCAGTGTTCCCCAGCTGTGTAAAGTGGCACCATCTGTTGGCTGAGGCCAAAAACCTTGGGGTTATCTTTGACTCATTTTCTTCATGCTTTATATCCAGTCTATCTATCAGTCATCCCAACAAGTTGATTTGGGTTTCTCCTCAAAAATATATCCACATCCATTGCTTTTACCCAGTTATAAGCCACCATTATCCTTCTCTTGAGCTCCTGAGGGAGGCTTCTAAGTAATTTCCCTTCTTACAGCCTTGCCCCTTTTAGCCTGTTCTCCAGACAGCAGCAAACTGAGCCTTTTATGCTATAAATCAGGCCTTGTTACACTCTGGCTTAAAACCCTCCACTGGTTTCCAATTATGTCTAGAATCAGATCCAAACTCTTACCATGGCCCATAGGTTGTACATGATCTGGTGCGGCCTCATCTCCTCCAACTCTTCCCTTATCTACTGTGCTCCTAATCACATAGTCTAGAACAATTGCCCCTATCACTCTCCATGCCTCAACCCACTTATTTTTTTCATGGATTTGTAGTTTGAGATGACAATAAATGATACCCCTCTTTTTCTGTCATGTTCTGAATTTCATAAATAGGATAATGAGGATAGCCGGATGGTCAACAAAATATATCTGCCTTTTTTTGGGTGGTAAAGTGGTTAGATGAACATGGCTTTAGATTTTTGGCCAAGAAGGGTATAGCAGTGATGGCAACAAAGACCCTGTTCTCAAGATACTTAACATTTGAAGAAGATTGAATTTTTTTTAAAACAGCACACACATACATTTAATTCGTGTAATATGTAATATAGATGTATGCATACATAACATACATCTATGAACTAGAAACATAATATAAAATTCCCTACTGCCAGAAATTCTTTGAATTTATAAACATCGCATGTTTGAAACATTGAATTGAACTATAGGAACAAGTTTAGGACAACTTTTTTTTTAGAGAAATAAAAAACCCAGTTGAAATCATTTGAGAGTGAGGAGTTAATTCTTCATTGGTTTCTTTTTTGAACATGTGTGTGTATACATACATTTATTAGGTATACCTTTTTACTTCTCAACACATACCATGATGAGCAATTGTTTTTGAACAGATTTCTACTCTAAAGGAAATAGATATCTATATGAAGTTCACTGCTGGGAAAATTGCTCCTGTGTGTTGGCGTCCAGTGTGACTATGCTTTGTCAATTGATCTTTCTATGGTCAGAAATCTCCAGACATCTGGAAATGCTGAAGAACCCATTTGAAGGTTGCTTCTACTTAGAAGACCTTTACATTAAAGCATGGATTATTAATCCTTTCCCTGCTGACATCAGTGCATCAGTGATATAGTCTTTGCCAAAGATGATCTCACGGGTTTGAGGACAAAAGAAATAGTACAACGTGAATTCAACCTACATCTTGGAGCATTCTTGTGTTCCTTGATACAGTGTTTTCTGTCTGTCAAGGTGAAAGACATACTTTGATTCTTTGCTGTTGCATGTCTTTAAGCATATTTTTTTTTCCAGGACTAGTTGCTATCAAAATGCAAAGTTGCTTAAATACTAAAGATGACTTGCATTGTATTTGAAAACCATTTTAGAATTCCAAATCAATAACTTCAACCTTCTTATTGAAATTTAGCTTTGAGCAGATTTTCTTTTGTGGAGCAAAATTTGGATTTCAGTCTTTGTTCAGGAAATATCCATTACTTTTTTTCATAAAAAATGAGTGAGAAACATAACTTTTTATAAGGCTGCTTTTATATTCTGCCTAGGTGAAGAAAATAAATTTCCATTTCACAAATGCATTGTATGTGCAGTCTTTTGTGTTTTATGTGCTCCTATTACTCCACGGAGAGCTTATATTAGATTCTGGGAGGGCTTTTTTCCCTGCGATTTATTTTTTTTATTGACGAGTAATAGTTGCAAATATTTATGGGATATATGTGATATTTTGATACATACATACTATGTATAATGATGAAATCAGGGTGATTCAGATATCTATCACCTCAAACATTTATCATTTCTTTGTGTTAAGAACCTTCCAAATCTTCTCTTCTAGCTATTTTGAAATGTGCAATATATTATTGATAACTATAGTCACCCTGCTGTGCTATCGAACAGTGGAACCTATTCCTTTTATCTAACTGTATTGGACTCATTAACCAGCCTCTCCTTATCTCCTCTCCCCTGATCCTTCCCAGCCTCTGGTGACTACCATTCTACTCTCTACCTCCATGAGATCCACTTTTTTTCTTTTGGCTCCCACATATAAGTAAGAACATGAGATATTTGTCTTTCTTTGGCTGGCTTATTTCACTTAAGACAGTGACCTCCAGTTCCATCTAGTTGTTGACAATGACAGGATTTCATTCTTTTTTTAACCAAATAGTATTTTATTGTGTATATATGACACATTTTCTTTATCCAGTCATCTGTTGATAGACACTTAGGTTGATTTTATATTTTGGCTATTATTAATAGTGCTGCAATAAACATGAGAATGCAGATATCTCTTCAACATACTGATTTGCTTTCTTTTGGATATATACCCAGCAGTGGGATTGCTGGATCATATGGTAGGTCTGTAGTTTTTTGAAGAACCTCCATAATGAGATTCTCAGATGGGTTTGTGATCCCAACAAGTGAAGATCACTGTCTTGGAGAGTCCCATCCTTGCATGGATGTCTATTGCCTTGTTTACACAGCATCTATTTTCCTCCTGGTAATTGTACCCTGTCTCTTTGGCCATACTTAGTACACAGCATGGGAGTCCTGTGACTAATCAAATCAGTGGCCTATTCATCCTCTGGGCCACAGGGATTGACTGGTTCACGGACAAGTAAATAAGCCTAGTGGTCCAATAAGAGCCAGTTCTAAGATTTTTTGGGGGGAGCATATTGAGGAAGGAAGCTATCTTCTACTAGACTTGGAGCTATGATCATAGAAGCCTAGTTACCCCTTAAGGGGAAACGTTCCCAACCAAAACATAAAGCCAGTGCAATTGAAAGCAGAGTCAGGAGGTCAAGGAGGGCAGCTTCTTGATATTGTTTGAGTTTCTGGATTTGATTACATCTGATTTTAAGTTGTGTGAAACCACTTTTTTTTTGCTTAAAGGTACTTGAGTTGGACTTTTTTTTGTCACTTGCAAATGAGAGTCAGAACAAGGCTGTTCTAATTATAAATAAACACAGCACTATAAACTATAGGTTAAGTATCCCTTATCTGAAATGTTTGGGAGCAGAGTGTTTTGGCTTTTGGCTTCTGGAATATTTGCATATATATAATGAGACATTTTGGGGATGGGACACAAGTCTAAACATGAAGTTCATTTATGTTTCATATATACCTTATACACATAATCTGAAGGTAGTCTTAAACAATATTTTAAATGCTTTCGTGCATGAAATGAAGTTTGTGTATATAGAATGATAAGAAAGCAAGGGTGTGACTACCTCAGCCATCCATGTGGTGTCCTGTCGGTATTCAAAGAGTTTTGAATTTTGGAGCACTTCAGATTTTTGAATTAGAGATGCTTGACCTGCATAAGGAATCATAAGGTATGGAACTTTTAGTTTTAGTAACCAAAGCTTTGGCAGGAAGGCATTTTCAAATTGATGTATGTTGCTGGCCACTATTAACATTATCAATGAAGGTCAAGTTTGTTGTTCTGTTTTAAACAACTTTTGTCTCATTATCCAGTGTCCTGATTAGAAGGACCCAGAGATCTAAGTAATTAATCATATGGGCGGAAATATGGCATTCTGGAACCAAAGCATCCCCCCAGAGCATCCATGGGGCTAGGAGCCATAAACTGTAGCATGGCTGACCTAAAGCCAACAGGTGGTGATGGCTGCAAACACCTGGAAGAAAAGAGGGGAAATACAGAAGATGGGGGATAAAGGAACAATAAAGCCAAATGTCCAGTGATGAGGGGACTGAGGGAATAAATGATGGTATATTCTTATGTTGAAAATACCTAGTAGCCTGTAAGAATTATATTTTAAATGTTTATATTCATGGAAAGATTCATAATATATTGCCTGGCAAGAAAAGCATGATGTTTTATAAGAGTATGATTCCACTTTTAAAAATAAAATACATGAATATGTATAAATATTAATATAACATTCTCAAAGATAGCTCTGAAAATACAAAAAAAAAGTTATCTCTGGGGGGTGGGGTGATGAATCATGGTTGATTTACCTTCTTTTTCTTGTTTGTGTTCTGATTTTTCTACAATGAATATGAATTACTTGTGTGGAAAAACAGAAGCAGAAGGTACCTCCTGAGAGAGAAAATTATTAGTGTTGCAAGCATGTAGGCAAGGCATTTCTAGGTGCCAGGGAAATGTAGAGGAGAGAATCAGGAGCTAGAAAAACATTTTTATAACTTTTGGAAATAATATAAGACTAAACCCAACATATGGGGAGGATTCTTAGAAGAGACAGGTCCTGGGGTGCAGTCTTAAAAGTTCCTGACTCTTTTTTAACCTGCCTTTGGCAGTAGCTTCCAATTCAATTCATTAGGTAGTTGTTTCTCCAACAGGGATATATTTTAACTTTGCTGCAATACATGTGTTCCATTATTAGACCTGATAAAAATGTGATAGAAATACGTTGCTAGGCACAAGAGCAGGTAAACAGTAGCCACTGTTCCCTACCCTGTCCCATTTTCCTAAGACAGATCATCATCTGTCCTCTGCATGAACGCAACAGCCTCCTAGTTGGGTTTTCTGCTTCTAGTGTTTTACCTCTTAAGGACATTGTGCTAATTTCTTATTGCTGATGTAACAAATTACCACAAACTTAGTGGTGCAAAGGTACACAAATTTATTATCATGCAGTTTGTGGTTCAAAAGTTCGAGACTCATCTCACTGGGATAAATCAAGATGTCAGCAGAATGGCACTTATTTCTGGAGGCTCTAGGAGAGAATCAGTTTTCTTGCCATTTCTGGCTTCTAGAGGCTGCCCACCTTCCTTGGCTCATGGCCTCTTCCTCCATCTTCAAAGTCAGCAGTAGTGGGTTGAGTTCTCATGCTGCCATTTCTCTGGTCCTTCTTATCTGATTCCCTCTGCCAGTTTTAAGAACCCTTGTGATTCCATTGGACCCATCTGGATAATTCAGTATAATTTCCCTATTTTAAGGTCATCTGATTAGCAACCTTAATTCCATCTGCACTCTTCCCCTTTGCCATGTAACCTCTCATATCCATGGGTTCCAGGGATTAGGACATAGACATATGAAGAAAAAGGGCATTATTTTGCTTCCCATAGGCATCATCCAGATAGCTGCTAGAAAAAGCTATCTGATATGCACACTTGGCCAGAACTCTGTCGTGGTGAAAACCTCCTCAAACCTCTGAGATGATTTAGTCATCTCAAATCCTTGATACACATTTTATCACACTCTGTTTTTCTTATATCTCAGTTTTCATCTCCCCACTGCCTCTCAATTTATGCTCAGAAAGTATTGAACTGCTGGAGATTTCTGCATGCTCCAGGCCCCCCGACATACACACATTGCTGTTTCACACGCCTGTGCCTTTGCTGATGCTGGTCCTTTGGCCTCTTATTCATCTGGTTACCATGCACCTGTTTTTCCTCCTACCTTGTTGGTTGCTTCCTCCTACCCTTTTATTTTCCTTTGCTGTTTCCCTTCTTGACCTGAATTCTAAGTGTTTCCACTGTTAAGAACTTGGTTTTTTAAAATTTATTTTACTTTAAGTCTTGGGATACATGTGCAAAACATGCAGGTTTGTTAATAGGTATACATGTGCCATGGTGGCTTGCTGCACCTCACCTATCAAGCTGTCATCTAGGTTTTAAGACCCACATGCATTAGGTATTTGTCCTAATGCTCTCCCTCCCCTTGTCCCCCACCCTCCAACAGGCCCCGGTGTGTGATGAAGAACTTGGTTTTAACCTTTCTTTCTGTCCTCTCTCTCTTCTTAGATGATCTCATCCATTTCCATGACTACAACCACTCAATGATTCCCAAATTTATATCTCTAGGTCCAGGCCTGTCTCTAGAAACATTTACTGGGGTGTCCCGTCGGCACTGTAGACATTTGAGACAATGCCATTTCAACGCAGACTTCCTCCTGATTTCTCTCACTCCCAAATTGTTGAGTTCATTCATTTGTTGAATGAATATTTATTATTCTATTCAGCCATACAAATAGTTGACTTATTGATTATTTACTGGATGTGTCAGACTCTCGTTTAAGCTTTAATCTTTATAACACCGTCGTGAATTAGATACTATTCTTGTTTCCATTTTACAGGTGAGGAAATTGAGGCCCAGAAAGTTTAAGAAGTAGCATGCCTAAATTAAAGAGCAGTAAGTGGTAGAACCAGGATGTGACCCTTTACAGTCTGACTCCAGATGCTCATAACTACTAGGTTAAGCAACTAAAGAGCCTCAGCCTTCAGTAAACTCTCCTCAGACCTCCAGGCTGTTGGAGGAAACCCTTCCCTGTGTCCCCCAGTCCTCTGTGCTCACTTCCAGCTTGGTAGTTTACATGTACTGATTAAACTTAGATTTGTCTCTTGCCTCCCTTTGGAGAATATGCACTGACTTCTTCATCTTTGTTCCCTCAGCATCTAGCACAGAACCTGGCACAGTAAGCCTTGAAAAACAGAGCTTGACTGAATAAATGCTCCTGTTTTGCTTAATTATTGTCATAAAACTCATGTTCCTGCAGCAGTGGGTTCTTTTAGAACCTTCCCCTCCTGCCCGGGGTGTCACTTTGCCTCTTGAATCAGGTCTAACTCCATTGTTCCTTATTGCAAAGGCCATGAGCCACTTCCTCAACCTGACAGCACCTGAAATTATCCTGCCAGGAGCCTTCTGTTACTAATCATAAGCAAGGGGACCACTTTCCCAGTCTCAGTCTCTGTAGCAGGAAACTTCAGTGTTTCTGTTACATTCATAACCTTAGCTCTGGAGGCAGTGTTGATGTTTAATTTCATGTCTGCCCTATCTATGTATTCATTCTCAGTTCTTTCCTTAGAGGTCTATATTCCATATTGACTGGTGTCACCTGGGGTTGTGAGCTTCTGCTCTGAGCCCTGGTAGCTTTGTTGACTTAGAGTAAAGGGCTCAGGAGCCACAGAAGAACCATTTTGTTTGGCCTCTTCTGTTTCAACATTGTCTAACTCAAGCCAGCTACACTGCTAGTTGTCATTAGTCACATGGAGAACCCAGCAAGAGAGAGTGGACAGGTAGCAGGCTGTCACCTATGGGGCAAACACCTCAAAGCACATGCCCTATTGGAAGTGGGATGAAAGAGCCAGTAATAGTGCAGTGATTAAGAGACAGGACTTGGCAGCAGACAGACCTGGTTTCAAGTCTTAGCTTCAATAAAATACTAGCTGTTTTACCCCAAGCAAGTACTTCTATGAGCTTTTTCCCTGGCTTTAAAGTGGGCCCAGGGTTCTTATGTCTAAAATGAGAGTATCTGGCACATATTTAATTGTCAATGCTACAGTCTCAAAAGAAAGAGCACACTTAGGGCTCAACTTAGTGCCTTGTGTAAAGAGAAAAGAAATGCTTTATAAGCAGCGTGGTGATTCCTCAAAGAGCTAGACACAGAGCTACCATTCCACCTAGCAATCCTATTACTGGGTATATACCCAAAGAAATAGAAATCATTCTACCATAAAGTCACATGCATGTGTCTGTTCATTGCAGCACTATTCGCAATAGTAAAGACATGGAATCAACCTAAATGCCCATCAATGGCAGATTGGATAAAGAAAATGTGGTCCATATACATCATGGAATACTACGCAGCCATAAAAAGAATGAGATCATGTCCTTTTCAGGAACATGGATGGAGCTGGAGTCCATTATCCTTAGCAAATTAACTCAGGAACAGAAAACCAAATACTGCATCTTCTCACTTATAAGTGGGAGCTAAATAATGAGAACTCATGGACACAAACAGGGAAACAACAGGTACTGGAGCCCACTTGAGGGTAGAGAGTAGGAGGAGGGAAAAGATCAGGAAAAATAACTATTGGGTACTAGGCTTAGTACTTGAGTGATGAAATAATCTATACAACAAACCCCTGTGACTTGCATTTACTTACCTTGAATTTACAAACTTGTACATGTGCCCCTGAACCTAAAATTAAAGTAAAAAAAAATGGTTTATAAATTTGCATGGGTAGCAATGAAACTAGTGTTACAAAGAAGTGGACTATTTGTAGGCCAGGCGTGGTAGCTCACGCCTGTAATCCCACCACTTTGGGAGGCCAAGGCAGGCCGATCACAAGGTCAGGAGTTCGAGACAAGCCTGGCCAACATGGTGAAACCCTGTCTCCACTACAAATACAAAAAATTATCTGGGTGTAGTGGCAGGTGCCTGTAATCCCAGCTGCTCAGGAGGCTGAGGCAGGACAATCGCTTGAACCCGGGAGGCAGAGGTTGCAGTGAGACGAGATCACGCCATTGCACTCCAGCCTGGTCAACAGGGCAAGACTCTGTCTCAAAAAAAAAAAAAAAAAAATGAAGTGGACCTATTTGTATACTATTCTTTCTGCTCATTATGGCAGGCTGGAAGAGAATGGCTCTTATAAATATTATGTAGAAAATTATTAGGGCAACAAAAGAATATTCCAATTATTTGGGCTACAAATTATGGAACTATGGCACCAAACTCATTCATAAGAAGTAGATCAATACAACTTAACAACTCTCTCTCTCTACCTTTTTTAGCAGAATTATTCATCACTTTCTTATTATGTAAAATGGCAATGATGAAGACTACTTAATATAAATAGTGTATAGATTAAATAAATTCACTGTATCAGTTAGGACTAAATTCAGCCATGTGGCTTGACTTGCATTGTTCTTGGTGATAAATTGTATTGATTTCTACTGCTTGGTTTATTACAGAATCAAGCAACCATTCCAGGAACCCCAAACCTCTCTTCCCCAAATCTCTTATTTCCTGACCTCACCACTAGATGACAATCCCTTCCTGTGTTTTGGCCAGTGAGCGAGCGGAAACATTTCAAGCTGTTTGTTTTACAGTTGTTTCCAAATAGGCGCCCTAGTAATATCTGGAGAGAAACTTTATTTATAGCCTCTAAACATCCTACTGAAGTTATTGGGACGTAGTACAGTGAAATGTCTGTGCCAGACAAATGGAAATGAATTTTGAGTTTAGGGGTTTGACTGTTACAACTTAATTATCTAGTATTTGGTTTTTTAAAAAAAAGTTCTTGAAAATCATGCTGTCATGTCTTTATAAAGATTCAAAACCAACATATTATTAGCAGGAATTTGACCTCCCTTCAAAACCATGTTGACAAAAATGATTATAAGACTACATTCTTCATTAAGATCACAATTAATGTATTTTGTGACTGCTGTCAGTCTTTTTTGTTTGCAGAAATGAATAGTTTCCCTTAAAAGGTAAATCTCAGGCGAAGTTAATACAAAGTGCTATACATGAAAGATTACTATCTATGCTGAATCAGGATGAAAGGAAAGGGATATGGAGACACTGAAATTATTTTGACATTAAAGTTGAAGTGGTGAGTCTTGCATAGTAGACAGTCCCTTTAAATGACTGTTTTTGATGAACTTGGTTACTCCCAGCACTGTGCTAGGGGGCATGGAGAGATACAAAAGGTGGGGTTAAATTGGGTGAAGTTTATTTATTGAGATTATTAAACCAAATCACCCCAGAGCCCCTAATGGTTGGCAGGTCTCTGAGATTATTTGAGGGTATATGAGACCTTGGAGCCAAGATAATCCCTGGGTGTCAGCACATTAGGATATGTAAGGTTTAGAGTTGTCTTTCAGATGAAATTGTTAAGCAAGGCTTGGAAACTTCATTGCAGTTTAACCAGAGAGTAGAAGTGTTTGTAGCAGCAGCAGCAATTTAGGATGTAAACAACTAGTGTGTTATGAATTCAGAACGAGGGTGTATTTCCTTTTCATTATTAAATCAATTACCTGAATGAAATCTTGGTTCGAGTACCTACCCCTCAAAATTCTGTATAAAAACCTTTGATGACAATCTAGTTAGTGCTATCGGCTACATATTGCACCAACTTGTGCTTCTTTTTTTCTCATACTACCATGTTTTTCTTTCCCTGTATGAAACCCTCTTGCTTATGAGAGACCTAGCAGAAATATTCCTCAGTTTCTTATTATGTAAAATGGCAATGATGAACAGTACCTAATACAAATAGTGTATGGATTAAATAAATTTGCTGTATCAGTTAGGATTAAATTCAGCCACAAGTGACAGACAACCCCAAATTATGGTGCCTTTAACCATTAGTTTATTTCTCTATCATGTAAGCAAAGTTCACAGGCACTTTAGTTTTGGGTGATTGTGTTAGCTTCTTGATCCTTAGGGACCCAGGCTGCTTCTGTCTCATTGCTTCACCATCTTTAACACATCTCAAAGTTGCCTATAAAACGTACACTTGCATCTCATTTGCCAATCCTTAGTTATATGGTTTCATCCAGTTGTTAGAGGTGCTGGGAAGCGCCCTCTTGATTTGGCACAGCCATTGGCATAGCTAAATGCTGGTTGTTCTATTCCTAAGGAAGAAGGACAGAATAAACACTGGGGGGCAGTCTCTGGCACGGTAACCTAGCATAGATTCTGACGGTAAGATGCTCTTCGATTGCTTTTTCAATTCTCTTCCTTCCCTCTTTCCCTCCTTTCAGCTATTTACACCTGGGATGGGTCTTTATGCTGAGGTTGGAAAGTGTTAAGCCTGAAAAGAGAGCTTTTTGGCAGTAAGAAAGGAATTCCTGTGGCCAGTTTTAGTTAATTTGTGACTGTAGAGGAAAATCTTGGCATAGATTAGTATCAAATCATGTGTTGTGCAAAGAGTGTCCAACGTGGACACAAAATGGTGTATTAGCATTTGCTTTTAAGTAGCTAATTATATTCTTAGCATTAAAATGTAGAAAACAAATACTTTTCAAGATTACTTCAGAAACTAGCATTGCTTAGTCTCATTGTAATTAATGTACAAAAAAGGGGGTTTCTTCTCTAAGATTTTTAGAAATGCATACACAGTTTTCCTTGTACAGAGAACATGTGTTCTCTTATGAAAATTTCCTGGTTAGGCTTTATTTTGACCATCTTTCACGTTTTGGCCTTATTTTCTTCTAACATCTTATGATGCAATGATTATGTTCCTCTCCCTTTTCACCTAAATTGAATAAATCAGAATCTCTTACCTTGAAGGTGAGAGAGAATTCCTGGAAGAATTATCTGAAAGCTGTGTGTGGGGCCTACACACAACTGGTGGTATTTTTCCCTCAAGGAAAAGGTGGAGATTTCACAAGAATGTAAAAGCCAAAGGAAAACTTGGAAAATCTAAGACCAGGGTCATGGTTCAGATTGTGTAAGACCACTGTGTAAACTCTGTGAAGGCAGAGACTTCTTCTGCCTTAAACCTGGCTGTATGTCTGGATTATGCTTGGTACATGACATGCTGTCAATAACAATATATGGTCTAAATGAATAAATGGTCACCAGGAATGGTGAGTGCTATGACTTAGCAGCATATGTGTGGGAGATATCGGGGTTTCATAGACTGAGAACTCAATAGAAGTCAAGTTGTGACTTCCAAAAAAATCTAGACATTAGATGCTAGAAGGAATTTGCTTTCTTAGGGCTAAAAATAAGGTTTACTCAGCCCAAATTAATGCAAAGAGTCAAAGAGTATGTGTTCTGTCTGGTTGAAACTCATGGGAAACACAGTGTTTAGTTTTTATTGCCACCCCTATGAAGGACATAGACAGACATATGAATATAGTTTAGTCTGGATTCTTGCATCTTCTCTGCAACACCCTTAGCTAGTGAGAGTTCAGTCTCTGTATGGGGAATGAGTGATGGGGGAACTCACTTCAAGGCATGCTCCTTCATTTTCTAGAACATTCTGCTTCTGTGCTTTGGGAAGAAACTCATATGACCAGGAGAATAAGAGTGTAAAAATCATGTTTAATTAAGGTCAGTTGGAAGGACAGCACCTTGGACTCTTTAAAGAGCTATAATGTGAAAGAGATACTGCTTTTCTGTATTGGTCTCGTGGGAGAATTGGACTGAGGCAGTGGCCAGATATTACCTCTGAAGTGGAAATTCTTAACTTGGACTTTGAGGAACTCAAAGGGCTTTTTAGGTGAATTTTAAGGGGACATGAATACATTCTATGAATATATTTACACAATTTCGTTTGTGTGGCCCCTCCCCCTCACCCCCCACCCTGCCAGTAGAGGGTTCAGGGCTTTCAGTTTCAGAGGGTGTCCTTAGCTCCAGAGATAAAAACTACTATTGTGGGGTCTTCTGTAACTCTGAGTTTCTATGCTTTTTAAAAACATGTACAAAAATAAAATACTAGTTTTCTTTTTTACTTAGGTGAAATAGACTAATTAGTAATCCTGTAACAAAGACTCAGCTGTAATTATAGGACTCCTCCTGTATGAAACAGGAAAATTAAAAATCTGTTACAACTCAGCAACAGTGGTCCTTCATCCCACATAACTTCACTTTTTTAGTGTTCACAGAGTAACAGCCCAGCTATTGCCTCTGGCTTCACAGTTTTACCTATGCAAAAGCAGTGATTTTTAGCTTCTGTGACCCTCTTGGTTTTAAATTCCAGGAAGCATGACTTCATCTCAGCCTGAGGCTCTATAAAGCTATTCAGTGAAAAAATGAGTGATGAATACTTGGGAAGTAATCTATTTTTATTCCAGGTTACGATATTCACAGGAGACTAGGCATTTTGTCTTCATCAGCATCCCAGCTGTGATCCTGCACTGGCTATTTATTGTAGGAGCTTTAGGCACAAATAAGAGAAAGCACTTTTTTTATTAACCAAAATATTTATGGCCAGAGTCTGAGTTTAGTCAGGGCAGCAAATTACATCTGTTCCCTAAAGGGAATAATTACTTACAGTTTGACAGCAAATGAATAATAATTTGCAGCAAATTTATCAGGATGATAATTTTTTTTCCATAAAGACAGAACTAATAATGCCATTGAACAGGTGGTTATGTGTTTTTTAAAAAATGATTAAATTATTAAGGCAGAAGGTTGTAATAGCTATCATGGTGAGTCAGACCAGTTTCTCTACCTCCTCGTTAGCAAACATTCCTTTGGTGAGTCTCACACTCAAGTAAGCAGCTGGCTTTCCTTTACCCCTGCTAGGTGGGAACTGCAGTTTTGCACAGTTGGGGTACGTATTATTAACTCCAAGGAGAGCAAGAAGTCATTATGACTTAGAGTTAGAAAAAAGTTAATAACCTAGTGTCAGAAGGGGAGGTGGAGGTGCTTTTCCAGGAAGTACTAGGTAGCCTCAATTGAATCAACTTTCTCAAGGAAATATCATGCCTGGTTTAACTTGCTTTGCAGTCGTGAAAGTTCCAGAGAGCTGGGTAAGTTGGTTGTTCTGAACAGTCCTCAGGCTAACTTTGATATTCTGAGGGAAGGGGCTAGTTTACTTTGAAAATAGTACAAGAACTGTAATAGGTGTAAGTTTGATATTTAACCTATTTGTTTTCTCTTAAATTGAGACTTCTGTTGTTGCATGTTCAAACCCCTTATGGATCTGTATCATACGAGTTCACCTGAGTGTTATAGAAAATGGAGGGGTTGAAAGGCGGAGCTAGACAGAGGCTAGAGGTGGGAAGGTGGGGAAGGGATGTTGACTGGAGCTGCAGTGGAATTGATTTGCTTTGTCCTCCTAAGAGATAGGAATGGACATCAGGGGCACTTACTTAAAGAAAGTAGGTGCTAGAAATCTGTTTGCTGAGGAACAATTGGCAGGAAAAAAGGACATAACTGAAATTTTGCTCTCTTGTTCTTGTTTTCAGCTTTTAACATAGTCTTGACCTTGGCATATATGTCTTTGAGCTAAGTGAGCTTATGTAAAGCTTCCTTTTTGTGTGTCTGAATACCTAGTCCAGAGAGGGTGTGTAGAAGGATTAGTGATCTCTAGTCATCAGAAATCCCATGGCAACATGATCAGGCATTTACCTGATAATTTTATACCTAGGTGAGAAGCCCAGTCTTCTGGGATTGGCAGAAACAGACAGTGGCAATTACATTTTGTTCTCATTTACAGAGCTTGCTTCTTTGCTATTAGAGGGGCTTAAGTCTGTAGATATCGGCTACTCTTCTGTTCATAAGCACACCGGAGGTGTCTGGTTATTTTTTAAATAACCTGGGTTAAGAACTGAGCATTACTTCCTTTTGAGGCTAGGGCATAACACACAGCTTGTTCTCAGGAACACGATAATGAGGATAAGTACATAAATATGGATAAAAGCACGTCCCAAAGCACCATCTCCTGCAGGAAGAAAGGTGATTTAGTAGGCACAAGCCTGACACTTCTTGTGTGCATAGTCATTAGTGACAACCTGTGTGCAGGGGAAAATTCACTTTGTACCATGGAGCAAGAACATTGCTAAATATCTATGAAAAATCCTCATGCTAAACACATTTCTGGTGGTTCACCTCTTCAGCACTGGCTTAGTTCAGTTTTTCTCTCCATTTTGAGGCCCAAAGGAAGAGTGATCCGGGGATTACTAGTAAAGACAGTTCAGGCTGTTTTGATGTAGTCAGTTCATCTAGCTATGCTCAGTGCATCTCTGTAACAGCTGGTGGAGCAGCTTCTGTGAAATTTGTTGGTCAAGGCTGCTCACTAACCCCTCAGGTTTGGCCGACTAGAAAAACCCTGTTGGAGTCGCTGGAGGTTTGAGTTGTTTAAATTTTATGAAATACAATTCTAGGTGTTTATAAAGTTTCACACAGAGAGATGGACAGGAACAGAGAAAAGTGTTTATGTTGTTTGTAGGGGAGGATGCGTACAAGTCAGGTGAAGAGGAGAGATTCACAAAAAGATGTGCAAGGGATATTAACCTGGCGGTCGTGCCTAGCAACACCCCGCTGCCTCTTTCTGGATTTTAAATGTTTCAGGGAAGAATACTTGTTTAAGCAGTAGTTGGGCAAAACCAAAATTGATAAAACTTTTTTCTTTTGCCTTTGATCCGTGAATTTACAGTGAAGGCATGTCTGAAATATCTTAGATGTTTGTTTCTACTGCATTGCTGGAGCATTGATGTCTCTGGAGAATGTGTTGTGGGAAGCTGAGTTTGGGTAATCAAATTGGTTTTCTTATTTTTCTCTACGCATGTTTCTAAAAGGGTAATATCATAGCAAAGGAGTTTCAAAATTTGTTATCAGGGTGATTGAAAACTTTTGATGGCTTAAATATGGTTTTAAATGTTGCTCAATTGCCTTTTTTTAAAACTGAAAGAGTGGGCAAGACCGCTGAAATAGAGTGTAGCCTTTGCATAATCACATAGTTCACTAGGTCAATTTGTATATAAGGCAGTTACATGGTGTGCTTAGGTCACAGAAGTACTTTAAAACTATGGAAACATAAGGCACTTTTCCCTATGGCTTTAATTGAGCAAGGAAGGGGCCAGCTTGCTTAATCCACCTTGAGAATAATCCTTCCTGACCCATGTGGTGCTCACATCTTATCTAGGGCTTCTAAACCTGTGGATGCTGAGTACAAGATGCTTATATTCATAAAGGCAGGCTTTTCTGTTCTTTCCATGTGATTCATACTAGAGCAGATGGCTTGATCTGCTCCTATCTCTCACTTCATCCATGAGTTTTATGCCGCTGTCTCCTATTTCTTTTTCTCCAGCCAGTCCTCCCTCCAGACCACCTGTTCACAGAGCCGTGTGTACCCAGACATCCCATGAGCACCTCTGGTTCTGCATGTGTATCACATTATCTCCCTCTCTCACCTGGTCCTTTGCATGTGTTCCCGGTCTCTGTGAGGGGTCACAGCTGTCACCTGGCAGCTAGGCTGCAAGTCACTTTCCATATCTGACCACCACCAAATCCTAGAAGTTTCAACCTTAACATCTGTTGGAACTGCCTTCTCCACCCCTTCCCTTTGGCCATTGCCATCCTTCTGGCTCTCATCTGGATCACTGTAATAATTTTTAAATGGTTCTAGTAGGCCGAATAGTGCCCCACATCCCCTCAAGATGTTCACATCCTAATCCCCAGGACCCATGAATATGTTAGGTTACATGACAATGGGTAATTAAACTTGCTAATCAACTGGCCTTTAAATAGGGAAAGCATGCTGGGTTGTCCAGGTGGGACCAATATAATTACGAGTCTATGCAAGTGGAAGAGGGAAGCAGACGAAGAGGTCAGAGTAATGTGATATAAGAAGAACTCCACTAGCTGTTGCTGCTGGGTTTGAACATAGAGAAAGGGACCATGAGCCAAGGAATTTGAGCCACTTGTAGAGGCAGGAAAAGATAAGAAAATGGATTCTCTTTTAGTGCTTCTGGAATGGAATGCCGCCCTCCTCACACCTTGCTCTTAGCCTGGTGAGACCCATTTTGGACTTCTGACCTACAGAACTGTAAGATAATAAATGTGTACTCTTTTAAGCTACTAAGTTTGTGATAATTTGCTACAGCAGCAATAGAAAACATACTTGTCTTCCTACCTCTGGAGTGCCCCATTCCAATGCACATGCAGATCTCATATTACTTTCTTGTCTTTAAGGCTTTCAGTGGCTCCCCTACCTCCACACTGTCTATGCAGCACCTCAACTTTGTAAATAGGAGGAAATTAGTAAATAATGAATAAATGAAAACAGCCCATTTTGCAGCACATTAGTCCAAGTCAGGATTCTTTCTTAGAGGAGATAGATTAAAAGTCAATTGGTTATATTTTGCATATACTTTTCTAGGGACAGGATGGAGCCAACATATATTCTTTCTCTTATTTTCTTTTTTTTAAAAATATTCGCTTGTTTTTTAAATTATGTGATAGCATTTTATTGTAGCCAAATTGATAAATGAAAAAAAGTCCACAACGAAGACACTCAGAGATGATTATTTTTATTATTTTGATGTATAGCTTTCTAGTTATTCATATGCCTACATCTGTATTTTATGTTTTAAAATCCATTCTTCATTTTGTATAGTAGTACAAAAGTTTTTCTACAGCCCTTTTAATGGCTGCATGAAATGCCTTTGTGTGACTGTACTAAAACTTAGTGCCTGTCTCATATTGAACTTTTAGGTTGTTTCCATTTTTTCCCTATTGTGAACAGCCCTGCAATTAATATCTTTGCTGTATCCGTGTGTACATCTAGGATCATTTCCTTAGAATAAATTTTTTTTTAAATTATACTTTAAGTTTTAGGGTACATGTGCACAATGTACATGTTTGTTACATATGTATACATGTGCCACGTTGGTGTGCTGCACCCATTAGAATAAATTCTTTAAGTGTCATAACTGGGTCAAAGGCTCTGGAATGTTAATGGTATTTGATATGTATTAGAAAACTGCCCTGAAGGAGAATTGTACCAGTTTGCAGTACCACCAACAGTGTCCTTTTCTTAAGTTGACCTTCCTGCTCTTGGATCTTTTGAATTAATGGGAAGACTAGAGAGCTTGACATCAAAGGTGACCAGAGGACAATTTTACTTTGGAACTGGACACTGCTTTAACCAGTTGAACACACACTGGGCACTGTGGCCACCAGCCAGCACACCCAGCTCCTTCATAACCGAGATACCCTCTTACCATCCCTCCAGAGGACTGGTACCATTGCTCCTCAGAAAAGTCTCAGGGTTGGCCTCGCCTTTCTGACTACACCAAATGCTGGAAACCAAGGGTGGACCCATGGCCCCCTTCAGTGTTTACAGGCTTCTGATTTCTGATAGGAGTCTGTGTTAGTCTGTTTTCACACTGCTATAAAGAACTGCCTGAGACTGAGTAGTTTATAAAGAAAAGAGGTTTAATTTCCCACAGTTCCACATGGCTGGGGAGGCCTCAGGAAACTTACAATCGTGGTGGAAGGGGAAGCAGGCACATCTTACATGGCAGCAGGTGAGAGAGAGCGTGTGAAGGAGGAACTATTAAACCTTATAAAACCATCAGATCTCGTGAGAATTCACTCACTATCATGAGAACAACATGGGGGAAACCACCTCCATGATCAAATCACTTCCTACCGGTTCCTTCCGTCAACACATGGGGGATTATGGAGATTACAATTAGAGATGAGATTTGGGTGGGGACACAGAGCCAAACCATATCAGAGTCTGAAAGGAGACTTGACATGGGGCACACAGATAGATCTTCTCTCTCCCTTACACCCCTTCCCCATCTTTGCTTCAGAACTTATCTGCTCATGAGATTAAGCTACTCATGCCTCATGTATGTAGGTGCTGCATTTTATATGGCAGGGAGTGAGTCCCATAAATGCCTGTTGAATGGACCAGCCTGACATCTCTGCTCACTCAAAATTAAGAGTAAAAATCAACTGCCCAGTCCAGTATAGTTGTGACATGGTCATAGTTAGCTTTGGCTGTTTTTGTAAACACTGATCAGCTATATACAAAAGCATTAATAAGATATCAGGTGTATTGTTAGCTACATTCTCTTTTTTGGTGGAATATCTTTGACAGGTGAGTTTGGGAAAGCCAGTCTAGTTGCCATGGAAACGCAAAAGCTTTCAGGCACTTGTTTGTTTGTTATATTCTTTTGTCGGTTTATGGAGTGTTCCGTGGAGCCCCTTGAAAGAAGATGTGCCACTTAGTGCTGACAGTTAAATCACCATGCTGCCTGTCAGAGATGAGAGCCGGGAGGAGGGGAAGAGACAGACACAAAGCTCCTTTCCCATTGTCTGTTTTCACAAAGATTCTGGCTATAGAAAGAAGGTATCTGAATCTGAAGCAAGAGGTCTCACTTAGTGTCCCTAAAATTACAAAATAAAATCAGTGAAAGTTGGAATAATCAAACCTGACTCTTTCACCCTGTTTTCCCAGCCTCTACCCTATACTCATCCCTGAATGTAGGACTGTATAGTACAGTTATGTGATTTTTCTCTCAAAAGTCCAAGGGTGAAGAGCTGTTCTAATCAATCCATGGACTCTGAAACAAAAGAGATGCCAGGAGAAACAAAACAAAACTGTCCTTTTCAGAGTTGAGCTGTTCTGGTCACCATTTACCTCCTCTTGCCCTAGTCTCTGGGAGAGTGTGCACTCACAATGTGACCCCTTCCCAGCTAAAGGGCTAGTTGTGTGCAGAGGCCAGCACTGTTCCTGTTAGTATGATGGCTCAGGGTAGATAGTGAGGGTTAGGTTATCAGACACAGTGGAGTACTGCCTAGCTGGCAAAGCGTTTGGACATTTACAAAATAAGCTATTTTCTATTTAAGAAAAAAACAGTCTATACTAGAAGAATAGAAAATAAGGAGGATATTTAAAAATACTTATATTCTATTTCCCTAGTCTCCAAATTAGCATTTTAATACAAATTGTGTGTATGTGTATATATACATATATATACACACGTACACATGCATATTTGTGTGTATATATGAGAGTGTGTGTATATATGTATGTATACAAGTACATAGTCATATATATATATGCACACATACATTCATGTATTACTATTGTTTTTGTGGAAATAAAGATTTTGCTGCATATACTTTTTCTGTATAAACTTTTCATTCAACCAGCTTATGAGATATTTCTATGCTTATAACATTCATGATTGTATAAACTTATTTTGTTTGCTTTTTAAATCACATAGATATACTATCATTTGATTCAACCTTTCTTTCATTTTGACATTTAGTTGATTTCTATTTTTCTATTTCTTCAAATCATTCTCTGCTTACATTTTTTTGTACCTATATGTAAATGGCTTAAAAAGTACATGGCAAGTCAACAAGTCCCCATTAAATGTTAATCATCTCAAGTTTCTTTTTTTGTTGTTAAAGTGGTGATTCAGCCTGAGAAAACCTCTGTATGACAAAAAATGTAGAATGCTTTATGAATGTGTAAATCCTAAACTGACATGTAATACCGGAATTGAGGCACTGTTATGCAAAGGAAACTCTGGGAAGAAATGATGTGGTTTGGGACTACACTTGTGGGTAGCACGTGCTTAGATGTATTATTATAGCCAGTGCTATAAGGAGATGACTAAGTTATTTCACCACATTGAGATTTTATTGTGGTGACCCAAAAGCGTTGGATGCAGCATAGTGGGCAGAGATTGGTCTGGACTGAGGCAAGCTCCATTCTAGTTCTGCCTCTCACTAGCTTGTGGAACCTGGGACAAATCCTGTTTCCTTACCTGCAAAGTGATAGAATTGTTCTAGTTGACCTCTGAGGTTCCTTTCAGATCTAAAATCCCATTATTTGAAGATGACTCTTCTCTGTTTAATTCATTTGTAACCCATAGTGAAAACAAAGTGGACTTGCAATACACTTCCCAGAGTTTAAAACTTTGTGGCTTGGGTACATTATGGCAATTTTATTATCGTGAACTCAGTACAGTTTTGCGAAAGAGTATTTTCATTCCTTCTTCCTTTTTATTTTCAAAATTTATTTATTGCATAAATTTAAGGTGTGCAACATGATATTTTGATATGTATGGGAAAATGATTACCACAGGCAAGCAAATTAATATATCCATCACCTTCTACAGTTATTTCTTTTTGCCCATTCCTTTTTCCCCTCTAATTTTACTTGGGGGCGGCACTACTTTCCATTGCAGGCAGTTTGGGTGGGGCTGTCAATCAGATGGCCTTGCTCCTCCAGCCAAGAGGTCAGCATGACCTTTCAATAGGGGAACTCAAGGCCCTGCGGTGATTGAAGCTGATTCACGCCGACAGTGGCTCCCATTAATTTCTCCTACGCAGATGCCCACACTGTCCTCATTCTGGCCCTTTTCATGTCTTATTTGTTCCCTTTTCTTTCTATCTGGTGGTCTTTGCATATTTTTTCATTATAGTTTGGTTGCATTTTTTAGCCAGAGTCATTCTGCTGCCTGCAGAAGAAAAGTCCTAAGCCTTGGTCGCTGGTACTGGCCTAGCCTGGCTCTTCACCTAACTGGGGCTTTGTAACCAATGGGCACCTTGGTCATTCTCTAAGCCTGTGTGTCCTGATCTATACCAGTGAGGGTAAGAAAACCGATCTAGTTGTTGGGGTGGTGAAACGGACCAAGCACAGAGTCGACACGTGGCAGTTTCCCTTCAACCTAGAGTTTCTCTGGGAAAGTGTTTGGCCTGTGAATTTAGGACCTTCACCTGGATGTGTCCCATGTGGGCTCTAAGTCGGTAGAGTTAGAAGGATGTTTCTGGTAGTAATTATGGTTAGTTTGTTCTTGATCTTGCTTTGCATCGTGGTAAGCACATAGTAGGTTCTTTTGAATGTATTTTAGAAATCATTAAATAAGAACATATGAAAACATTTTGTTATGTGTTTTAATAGTACATTTTTTCATAATCATCAATGTTTTAATACATTGAGTAAAGGGCGCAAGTATTCTGACCCTTCAGCCAGGGTTTGTAAATGTTTTAGCTCTGAGAAACTTGTGTCTAACTATATTGCTTTAATGGAATTTCAGTTGTATAGCACTGCTTTAATTATTGGAATCTTCTTTAGAAAAAAAACCTCTGAGATTTGAGATAAGTTTACATATTATTATATGAATCACAATTTGCTTTAAGAGCTTATCTAAATCCCATCTGTTTGATTGGAAAAAGGAACTCGGAATGAATCCATCTGATTTTCAGTTTTCTTCCTTGGAGAGAATCGTGATTGAGAGTCAGAGTGGGGTTATGCGCTGCCTCTTTTTGATGGTTTCTAGAGGAAGTTTTAGGGTTTCCATAGCAATGCATGAGGAGTCATCATTTTCTGCCATGATTTCCCAGCAAAGAAAAAAGTACTGATAACTATGGTTTAGTAGAAATGAAAAAGTTGATACTAGATCATTTTAAATTTGTTCCGGCTGCTGGGGGATAGATAGGGCAGAGCATCATTCTATCAGCTGGAAGTGACTGACTCCCAGTGCCACAAGGCGGCTAATGAGTTCACTAATCATCAGTGGTAACGTCACAGAAATACATTTCTTATTTTGATTAGGAATAACACAGGGAAGAGGTCCTGCCATAATTGTCCCGAGATTCCATAGAGAATTTGCATTTTAGAATGTAATGATGTTGCTGCACCTCCTCTATCACTTTTTCTCTCTTCATTTTCCACATCCCCCGGACTTTCTCTCTGCTCCCTGTGCCACCTGTCTGTCCCCTCCTCCGTTCTATGTCTGCCTCTATAGCCATGTTCCTTTACATGATTGCCTTAGCTCTTTGACGCTCCCAGAGAGAGGGTCACAAGCCCAGGTACCATCCTCGGCAACTTTTCATCACCCTCAGGCTGCTGGGCCTGACATGTTCCCTTCCTTGAACAATTCAACCTGTTTTCAGGTTTTCTAAAAATGGCAGCATTTATACCTGATGTCACAAGGGGTACCCGTGCATCCTTGTTTTGTGAAATCTGAACAAATTGTTCTCATTGGTGAATTTACAAGGACTAAAAATCCTCATCAGCTGTCCAGCATAACCATGAACTTGTCTTACAGACAGCAAAAGCCAGCAAAAAAGACTGTGCCAGGAACGGTGCTATCACTTGCTTCAGTGGAAGCTGGGCTGGCTGGAGCAGGGATTTCCCCGTGGATGGTGATGTCTCTGTGATTCTATTTCTAAGAGCTTCAAAGTTTACATTTGCTTTAAACTGATTTTGCTTTGAAGCAGTAGTTCATCATGATTTTTAAAGTTGGTTATCATTTGTAATTGCTGGAGCAAGGCCAGTGTTAATGGCAACCATGCCTTGCAGTTTGAAATGTTTTCTCTCCTTGTTTAACAGAGTTAATTGGTTTAGTGAGTTCTTGAAAAGAAAAGGCGATCCTTTGCCCTGGGGGAAGACTAACTTCCTTACTTTGCCAATTATGAGGGGAAGTCCTTTGAAAGTAAGGTACATAGGAGCTGTAAGACTTACTTAGCTTTTAGATTTTATTTATCAGTTTCCAACTCCGACCTGTGCTCAATCTCCACTGCTCCTCTGCCTTTTTGGTTAAAATTACTGAAGCGTTTGCTGACAAAGTCTCTAATTATCTCAGGACCAGTCAGGGTAATTTCTTGATGTACAGCCACTGTGGATGGGCAGGAAGCCCCACTTGCCTTTCCATGGAGATCTGGAGAGTGTTGGGACAATTTTCAATAAGAGATTATTGTTGTTTCAGTGGCAGAAATGGAAGTCAGCTTTAGGCACCAGGCTTCCCAGATATGATGTGGCATTTGGCTTTGTTGGGTTAGAGAACTAGAGGAAAGAGGAAGGATGGAAACTTGTCCCTAACTTGGCAGTGGGAAACCCCAGGGACTCCCATGTTTATGGTCAGGCTTATAATTGATCCATGTGTCTATGTGTCAATCACACATATTGACAGAATACCCGCTTGTACAAGTATAAGGGTCAAAATGGCATATGAGTGTCCTGCCTTTGAGGAGTTTACAGTCCATTGAGGAATACCCATTTTAACTTTCATCTGAGGCCTCTTCTGTTGCCCCAACCTCCTACCCCGCAACACACACACACACACACACACACACACACACAGAGTGTTTCAGACAGGAAACTTGGAGGGATGAGACCACATATCTAGACTATAAGTTTAATTTTTCAATTAATTACCGAAGGATAAAGAACTTTTTAAGAAATGAGATACGCAAACAGGGTGGGGATTGCTACAGGCTCTGCTTTCACACGTTTTCCTCCTTATCTGCTTCCCTGGTGTTTATTGAATGATACTGTACCCAAAACCCTGTGATAGACACTGTATGAGCTGGGTGGGGAGGATACAAGGAATATTAGACGTGGGCCTTCAAGGGCTTCACAAAGTAGAAAACAGCTGCCCAGCTTGCCAGATACGAGATGTTTGCCAGGTAAGTAGTGTGGGAGTGCCATACAGTTCACCTTCAGGGTTGGCTGGGTGGGAGGGGACTTGACTAGGAAGGCATTCTTGGGGAGGGGATTGGATTAAAGGTCCAGAGGCCTAGAAATGAATAAATAATGCTCTCTCCAGGGCAATGCGCTGAGGTTGTTAACTCTGTGGAACTACAAGGCTTCCTTTGGGGGCACAGTGGGATAAACCTGGAGTTGACCTTAAGAGACAAGCAAAAGGATTTAAGGGGTATCCTTAAGAGACAAGCAAAGGAATTTGGGCTTTATATTGTAGCTAATGAGAAACCATTAACACCAGCTAAGGGGGACTGACATGGTTAAAAAACAGGTGAAGATGAATTTTGTTTGATGCTAAGAAGGATGAATTTAGGGGACAGAGGGAGTGTGGAAACAGACTCTAAAGGGATTTTGTGGTAATTCCTAAAGGATATAAAAAGGACAGACATGAGGCTGGGTGCGGTGGCTCACGCCTGTAATTCCAGCACTTTGGGAGGCCAAGGCGGGCGGATCACTTAAGGTCAGGAGCCCGAGACCAGCCTGGCCAGCATGGTGAAACCTCGTCTCTACTAAAAATACAAAAATTAGCTGGGCATGGTGGCGGGTGCCTATAATCCCAGCTACTTGGGAGGCTGAGGCAGGAGAATTGCTTGAACCCAGTAGGCAGAGGTTGTAGTGAGCTGAGATCGTGCCACTGCACTCCAGCCTGGGCAACAGAGTGAGACTTGGTCTCAAATAAAAACAAAAACAAAAAAACCAAAAAAGGACATGAACCAGGGCATTATGTGTCTGGGAACTTTGCTATAGAAGTCTGGAGGACCTTTAATTATTCTCTCCTCCTGTTCCTGATGGATGCATAATCCCCCCAAAGCACTAACTGGCAGTCTGTTTTAGGGCCAGGAAGCACATGGTTGTTCAGTGAGACAGCTAGCAAATAATCCTCCTGTGCACACCTACAGTTTACGAAAGACACTGTATTAGTCCACTAGTGCTGCTTTCACAAATGCCACCAACTGCAAAGCTTCAACAGCAGAGATCTATTTTCTCACAGTCCTGGAGGACAGAAGTCTGAGATCAAGGTGTCCGCATGATTGGATCCATTCTGAGGCTTCTTTGCTTGGGCTCTACATGGCCATCTCCTTCTGTCTTCATACGATCTTTCCTTCACGTGTGTACATGCCTGTGGCCAGATTTCCTCTTTTTATGAGGATGCCAGTCGTGTTGGATCTGGGCCCACTTTTAAGCCCTCATTTTATCTTCTCTCTAAAGACCTTATCTCCAAATACAGTGACCTTCTGAGGTACTAGGGGTTAGGATTTCAATCTGTGAATTTTATGGGAGACACAGTTCAGTCCATCACAGTGTCTAAGGGGGAAGAAAAAGGACGAATGGAAGGACAGAGGCCAAGCACCTCCCCTGACCTCTCATCCCAGGCCCTCACTGTACACCTGAGTCCTATCTATGGTGATAAAATGGGTCACCTCCACAGAGAAAGTTCCCTGAGCCAGCTTCCTGTCATTCTTTTCTAGGAGAATTTAGGCTGATGTCATCTGGGGGCTTTTCAACTCCCAATCTTAGAATTAGCAGCCTTTCTCCTTTTTTTTCAAAAAAACTCTGGCAATGCTCGTTTCTTACCATATTTATTGCAGTCAACTGTTTATGTGCATGATAATTTTTATAATGATGTGAGGAAATCTCTGAAGATGAACAGAATATACAGAATAAACAGATGCATTAAGTTGCAACTACATAGTTTTCATTATTGTCCTTTTCACGGGGTTAGCACATATTTTTGAATTCTTTAACCTCAGCTTTTGAGGTGACATTCCTTTTATTTCTATTTTTTTTTTTCTGTTTCCATCTACTGGCTTAGGCTGATGCTTAAAGGTCCTCATGTTATTGCTTCCAAATTCTTGTTCCTCTCTCTTGATTTGAGACTAAATGGCTCTCCTCACGGCCACTGAATCCCTATTGACAGTGTCTGTTGCATTCTAGCTTCAAATAAACAACAACAAAAAAATCCCCTAAAAACCTATGATAAGGCAGAATAGCAGAGTGATTAAAATAGGGTCTTGAGCCAGACTGCCAGGGTAAAATTCTGGCTCTGACACAGCATTCTGCAACTTTGGATAAGTCATTCTCTAAGCCTCAGTATATTTCTCATCTGTTAAGTGATAATAATAATAATTTCAATGTCTTAGGACCCCTGTCAGATTTAAATGAGCATAAAGTGCCTGGCACATAGTAAATGCCATGTAAGTATAAAGTATAATAATTATTATTCTGCTTGTCTTTGTTCTGAGTAGCTTCCCTGGAGATTCAGATCTTGCTTGGCCCCTTCTCCATTTCCCTCCCTCTCAGGTTTTCCTTTTGTCACCCACATAGTGGTGGGGCAGGCTTCCCTGGAATGCTCTTCAGACCGGCTGTTCCTAGATCAGACTGAGAACCGGAATGGTTGACAAGGTCTGTATGTTTTGCTTGCCTGGGGGCAGATCTGCTTGAATAATCACAGATAGGCTTTGCCTTCCCTTCCAGACTCCACTGAAATGAAAGGCTTCCTGGGCCTTAGGGGAGACTGTGACATTTGCCCCTTTCCCGTGCAGAAGGACCACTTATTTGGAAGCAAGAGTTACAATCTAAGGGAAAGTTTGGACGGGCATGTTACAATGGGGAGGGGTAGTGCTCCTTTTGTTATGTTAGCTTGGGATCTATAGACAAACACATGCCTATCAGTGTTGAAGGTGAGGTTCTCTGGCTCAGTAGGGTTAATTGCACAAACGCCAGCCTCTTTCCCTGTGCCAGTGGCCTGCCTTGGGTCAGCCGCTGCCAGGACTTTACCAGTCACTAGCTATCCCTTAGTGATGCCTCGTTAAATGCTTCATCATCCAAGGACTCCAAGGGCTCAGATTCACAGCTCTACCATTCAGGCTTCAGCTCATATATAAACCAGTAATAATTCAGATCTACAACAGTATCCTCACTCTTTGGGCTATTCTTTGCCTTGGGGAAGGGTGACAGTTTCAGTTGTTTTTTTCTAAATCTTCATTCGTAGCCCTCTCATTCTTCCCTGAAATCTGGGACTCTTCTTGCAATCCGTAGTGACTTTTGTGAGACATTCTTGCTACTTTTCCCTCTTTCCAGCACAATCCTGTCCTCCATGAGATAAAGCCTTCTGCTCAATACCTCTCATTCTATCTTCCCTTGCCCCAGCCTGCGGCATCAAAGTCCACTCATTTTTTCCCCTTATCTAGTCAAGTGGAATCTCTCTTTTCTTCTTAGCTCTGCAGCTCCCTTTAGTACTTCCTCCACAGTCCCCATCCCTTTCCCAAATGGACAAACCCCATCGCTATGACCATAGGTGCAAAGGTGCCCCTTCCCACTACAAGTTCTCAATGAAGTGGGGGGCAGGGTCTCAATTTTCAGTTTGTGAACAATTGAAAGGATTTGTCTTAAATACAAGTCAATAAGCTTTTTGGAAAGTATCTGGAGCCAGATGAAATCCATCCAAAGGTAGAAGACATTTTTTGCCTTTGCCTGGCAAGGCTTCTTTGGCCATATATAAAAAAATATTACTCATCAGTCAAACAAATGTATTTATGAATATGAAAGATGTTCAGAAATTGGCAGAATATACTGCTTTTCTGCAACTCAACAATGAATATTATATAATTTACAAGTTTCAGATGTTGGTCTTATTTTTATTTTAGATAAGGCATTGCTTACAGATGTAGATAATGGGATGTTTTTACATCAAGTTGTTGGAGTGATTCTTGCTAAGTCGCTTGGCCTCCTTTAAAATCATTTCTTATTTTATAATAGTTGATCCTTATAGTCCCTTTTTCAAGTCTTGTTTTGTGTGGAATAAATTTCCCACACATAGAACCTTCCTTGAGAATACTTATTAAGCTTCTTGAAGTTAGAAATCAAGTTCCAGTCATGAATGGATGCTCAGCAAGCAGTTAAATTATTGATGGAGTGGTGTCAGGCTAGTTTACCATGTTGGAGAAGAGGCTCTATTCAATCTTCACTCTCTTTAGTAAAAATACCAGTTCTGTTATCAAAGTGACACTCCACTAGGTTTAAATAATGAAAGTTTAGCTTGGAGAGATGTCAGATAAGCTGAGAAATATATTTCTTCTTCTGTTTTTCGACTCACAGTGGGATTCTGAAACAGAATTTCAGCAGGAATTTAGATGACTGTGATCCTGTCAATGATATGTACTGAGTATTTTTGGTTTTGAATTGATATTTTAGTGAGTGCTTTCCTAGACT
Source organism: Homo sapiens (assembly GCF_000001405.40). Taxonomy (NCBI): domain Eukaryota; kingdom Metazoa; phylum Chordata; class Mammalia; order Primates; family Hominidae; genus Homo; species Homo sapiens. The sequence continues at coordinate 61,942,674 of NC_000014.9, forward strand.
AAAGATGGGGGTGGAAAGGAGAAAAACAGGCAAGAATGTCTTGAAATGTTTAAATTCATTCTGTAAAGTTTCAGTTTTATTTGTTTGTGTTCTAGGGTATTCTGGCCCTAAATTTTTTTCTTGGGTATTTCCATCTAATAGTTTTCCATCCTTAGGTTTCTATCAAATATAAATCAGTTGAAAAACAACATTCTCATAACAAAGATCAGAACAGAACTGAAGGAGATAGAGACATGAAAAACCCTTCAAAAAAATCAATGAATCCAGGAGCTGGTTTTTTGAAAAGATTAATAAAATAGATAGACCACTAGCCAGACTAATAAAGAAGAAAAGAGAGAAGAATCAAATAGACACAATAAAAAATGATAAAGGGGATATCACCACTGATCCCACAGAAACACAAACTACCATCAGAGAATACTATAAACACCCCTACACAAATAAACCAGGAAATCTAGAAGAAATGGATAAATTCCTGGACACATACACCCTCCCAAGACTAAACCAGGAAGAAGTCGAATCCCTGAATAGACCAGTAACAAGTTCTGAAATTGAGGTAGTAATTAATAGCCTACCAACCAAAAAAAGCCCAAGACCAGACGGATTCACAGCTGAATTCTACCAGAGGTACAAAGAGGAGCTGATACCATTCCTTCTAAAACTATTCCGAACAATAGAAAAAGAAGGACTCCTCTCTAACTCATTTTATGAGGCCAGCATCATCCTGATATCAAAACCTGGCTGAGATAAAACAAAAAAAGAAAATTTCAGGGCAATATCCCTCATGAACATTGATGTGAAAATCCTCAATAAAATATTTGCAAATCGAATCCAGCAGCACATCAAAAAGCGTATCCACCACGATCAAGTCGGCTTCATCCCTGGGATGCAAGGCTGGTTCAACATATGCAAATCAATAAACATAATCGATCACATAAACAGAACTAGTGACAAAAACCACATGATTATCTCAATAGATGCAGAAAAGGCCTTCAATAAAATTCAATACCCCTTCATGCTAAAAACTCTCGATAAATTAGGCATTGATGGAATGAATCTCAAAATAATAAGAGCTATTTACGACAAGCCCACAGCCAATGTCATATTGAATGGGCAAAATGTGGAAGCATTCCCTTTGAAAACCGGCACAAGACAAGAGTGCCCTCTCTCACCACTCCTTTTCAAGATAATATTGAAAGTTCTGGCCAGGGCAATCAGGCAAGAGAAAGAAATAAAGGGTATTCAAATAGGAAGAGAGGAAGTCAAATTGTCTCTGTTTGCAGATGACATGATTGTACATTTAGAAGACTCCATCATCTCAGCCCAAAATCTCCTTAAGCTGATAAGCAACTTCAGCAAAGGCTCAGTGTACAAAATCAGTGTGCAAAAATCACAAGCATTCCTTTATACCAATAATAGACAAACAGAGAGCCAAATCATGAGTGAATTCCCATTCACAGTTGCTACAAAGAGAATAAAATACCTAGGAATCCAACTTACATGGGGTGTGAAAGACCTCTTCAAGGAGCACTACAAACCACTGCTCAAGGAAATAAGAGAGGACACAAACAAATGGAAAAATATTCCATGTTAATGGATAGGAAGAATTAATATTGTGAAAACGGCCATATTGCCCAAAGTAATTTGTAGATTCAGTGCTATCCCCATCAAGCTACCATTGACTTTCTTCACGGAATTAGAAAAAACTACCTTAAACTTCATATGGAACCAAAAAAGAGCCCATATAGCCAAGACAATCCTGAGCAAAAAGAACAAAGCTGGAGGCATCACGCTACCTGACTTCTAACTATACTACAAGGCTACAGTAACCAAAACAGCATGGTACTGGTAGCAAAACAGAGATATAGACCAATGGAACAGAACGGAGCCCTCAGAAATAATACCACACATACATCTACAACCATGTGATCTTTGGCAAACCTGACAAAAACAAGCAATGGGGAAAGGATTCCCTATTTAAAAAACAGTGTTGGGAAAACTGGGTAGCCATATGTAGAAAGCTGAAACTGGATCCCTTCCTTACACCTTATACAAAAATTAACTCAAGATCGATTAAAGACTTAAATGTAAGACCTAAAACCATACAAACCCTAGAAGAAAACCTAGGCAATACTATTCAGGACATAGACATGGCCAAAGACTTCAAGACTAAAACACCAAAAGCAATGGCAACAAAAACCAAAATAAACAAATGGGATTAATTAAACTAAAGAGCTTCTGCACAGCAAAAGAAACTATCATCAGAGTGAACAGGCAACCTACAGAACGGGAGAAAATTTTTGCAATCTATCTGTCTGACAAAGGGCTAATATCCAGAATGTACAAGGAACTTAAACAAATTTACAAGAAAAAAAACAACCCCATCAAAAAGTAAGCAAAGGATATGAACAGACACTTCTTAAAAGAAGACATTTATGTGGTCAGCAGACATATGAAAGAAAGCTCATCATCACTGGTCATTTGAGAAATGCAAATCAAAACCACGGTGAGATACTATCTCATGCCAGTTAGAATGGTGATTATTAAACAGTCAGGAAACAACAGATGCTGGAAAGGATGTGGAGAAATAGGAACGTTTTTACACTGTTGGTGGGAGTGTAAATTAGTTCAACCATTGTAGAAGACAGTGTGGTGATTCCTCAAGGATCTAGAACCAGAAATACCATTTGACCCAGCAATCCCATTACTGTGTATATACCCAAAGGATTATAAATCATTGTACTATAAAGACACATGCATACATATGTTTATTGCAGCACTGTTCACAATAGCAAAGACTTGGAACTAACTCAAATGCCCATCAATGATAGACTGGATAAAGAAAATGTGGCATATATACACCATGGAATACTATGCAGTCATAAAAAAGGATGAGTTGGGGCCAGGCGCGGTGGCTCACGCCTGTAATCCCAGCACTTTGGGAGGCCGAGGCGGGCGGATCACGAGGTCAGGAGATCGAGACCATCCTGGCTAACACAGTGAAACCCCGTCTCTACTAAAAAATACAAAAAATTAGCCGGGCGTGGTGGCGGGTGCCTGTAGTCCCAGCTACGCGGGAGGCTGAGGCAGGAGAATGGCGTGAACCCGGGAGGCGGAACTTGCAGTGAGCCGAGATCACGCCACTGCACTCCAGCCTGGGCGACAGAGCGAGACTCCGTCTCAAAAAAAAAAAAAAAAAAAAAAAAAAAAAAAGGATGAGTTAATGTCCTCTGCAGGGACATGGATGAAACTGGAAACCATCATTCTCAGCAAACTAACACATGAAGAGAAAATCAAACACCACATGTTCTCACCCATAAGTGGGAGTTGATCAATGAGAACACATGGACACAGGGAGGGGAACATCACACACCAGGGCCTGTCAGGGGATGAGGGGCTGGAGGAGAGATAGCATTAGGAGAAACACCTAATGTAGATGACAGGTTGCTGGGTGCAGCAAACCACCATGGCACGTGTATACCTATGTAACAAACCTACACGTTCTGCACATGTATCCCGGAACTTAAAGTACAATAAAAAAAAGGATGAAATGATGTATTTTGCAGCAACATGGATGGAACTGAAACCATTATCTTCAAGGAAATAACACAGAAACAGAAAGTCAAATACTGCATGTTCTCACTTATAAGTGGGAGCTAAACAATAAGTACACATGGATATGCGTGGAATATCCACTCATGGATAGAGTGGAATAATAGATGTTGGAGACTCCAAAAGGTGGGACGGTAGGAGGGGGGTGAGGGCTGAATAATGACCTATTGGATACAATTTTCACTATTCAGGTGATATCTAAAAGGCCAGAATTCATGACACAATATATGCATCTAAAAAACCTGCACTTGTACCCCTAAAATATATTTTAAAAAAGAAAACATTCTCAGGTACTGTTTTCTGTTAATGGGTCCCACATATTACTCCTCAGACATCCTACAGAGCTGATGGAAATGGCAATTTTGCATTGGAAAGTTAGAGAAATGGGCACTGAATAATACTCTTTCAGAGGCTTTCTGTTCTCTTTTTCAAAGCCCAAAACTGTTTAGGACTAGGTCCTATTCTGTGGGGCAGAGGAGGGCAACTAGTAAAATTGGGAGTTGCAACCATATGTTTTGAGAAATGGTTGAAGAAACTGCAATTGTTTAGATTACAGAAAAAATTGGGGAGGCATAGAACTGTCTTTAGCTATTTGCAGGATTGGTGCTGGCTTTCTTTGTGAGGAAGAATGTCTAAGCAGAAGATGTGGACAAAGAACGGTTGGACTGCTTGGCAGAGCCATGAGCTTCCCAGCCATCAAAAGTATTCAAGCAGATGCCGATGGTTGTCAGACAGGGTGGTATACAGTGAGGTCCTCCTTCATTTGGTGAGTTGTTGGAGGTTCTTGGTTGGGAGGAGAGTACTACTGCTGCAAAGAGTGGATGCTGTGATTCTATGTAAGATGGTCTCAGGGAGAAGCAGCAGAGAATGGTAAAGCCAGTACCGTCAGAATGCACGGAGAATCCTGGGCTCTGGTCTCAGCTCTGCTACAATATTGCTGGGTATTTTCGGTGGATCTTTTGGCCTCTGACTTTAGTCCTTCGTGTGTGTGTGTGTGTGTGTGTGTGTGTGTGTGTGTGTGTGTGTTTGTGTAAAATGAAGGGTTGAGTCAAAGTCCTCCAGGGTTCCTTCTAAATTAACAGTTTTAAGATAATAGTTTTCTTAGCCTGCACATTTGATAGTTGACACAGCCCCAGAACCACTGAGGCACCTAAAGCATAGGACAAGAGCAGCAGAGCCATGTGCTTGTTAGAGCCAACAAGGACACACTACTTATGGGATTAATTTTCTTGAGGAATCTTCCAGAGATATATCTCATTCCATACTCTTATTCAGTGACAGTTTACTGATAGGGTTATTGTGCATAAAATGACTTAAAGCAAAATGTAATCCTGGAGGTTATACTTTTTTGTTCAATTAAAGTAACATGGATCTATTAGGATTAAGGCATCAGGAATATGATGATGAATAATAAGATGCCTTCTCTGGCTTCAATAAACTACAGCCTCGTGGGGATAACAGCTGGATTAAACTAACAATGATGCACTTAAATGAGCTTAGTGTAAAGGCACAAGCATTGTGCAAAGGGTGCATTCATCCCTTCTGCCAGGTGGGACTTGGATAGGCTTTGTAGAGGCGTTGACTTTCCAGAGGGTCCTAACAACATGAGTAGGACTTTACCTGTGGAGAAAGTTTATTCCAGGGACAGTGATTATTATGAGGCAATGCACAAAAGTTTGGAAGTACTTGGTGTGTTTAGAAAAATGAGTAATCTGGTGAGGCTAAGCATAAAGTATCTGGAAGGTCTGCTTGGTAACCAAACTGGAAAGGTGGTCTGGGGCTGGTTTAGAAAGAGTCTTGAATGTTATAATATTTTGAACTTTAAATTTTAGAGGAGAGCCCTAGAAGCTTTTAGGTATAACCATATCTGTGGCTCGTGTACCTAATTCTATTAGGGGTTAGTAGAATGGATTGGAGTTGTGAGGGATCTGGCAGTATCCTGCGTAAGTGTATGTGTGTAAAATAATCATTTTTCAGCCATGTTCGTGAAATCATCTCTATCTGAACCTCACTATCCTGTAAGTTTATCAAAGTAGGTTAGTCTAGCTAAGTCCTCTCCATCAGAGACCCAACTTATATTTTTGAGAAATTAAGGAGGTGAAAACTTGGGCTAGGCTTTTAAAAAACTAAAAAAAAAAAAAAATTCTAAGGGAAAGGAGATGGAGGACAACCTGAAACTGGAGGCTTTCACGGCAGTCGGGCCTCAGAATGGTAAGGGTCTGATTGAAGCACTCCGCTAAGAATGAAGTGGGTGCATATTTGGGAAGTTTCAGAGGACTTTTGAAGAGGAGAGCGAGTGAAGTCCCAGGCTTGATGATGTTAGGAATCCTGCAGGACATCCTGGTAGAGATATACGTGCCAGATTAGAGATTTGACATATTTGGTAGCACTCAATGACAGCTAAAGCCACGAGAAAAATGCAGAAAATATGTGAAGGAATCCTTGTTAAAGTGGGAACAGTACCAAGCTCAGAATCTTGAAGATCATAAAAACTTTGTGAGGTGAGTAGAGAGGTGGAACTTTAAGAAAGTGGTTGAAGTGATAGGAAGAGAACCCTAAACCAGGAGATTCTGGTGATGACTTAGGCATACAGAAAGTAAAGTTGAAGAATAAGGATGTGCAATGTGGGTTCTAGCTCTTCCCAGAGGTTTGGGTCTTCTGATTTTAAAAGGCCATTCTGGAATCTGAGTGAGAGAGACCTTAGGAGGAGACAGCTGAGTCATCTACCTAGTAGATGGATGGAAATAGACCTTGAGAAGATCCAGCTTTTCTTGCTCTTACTCATGGCTCACCAAGCAACCTTTTGATCTGTAATTTCATCTTAAGTGAATCCACCACCAGATACAAGATTGGTTCTAGTTTCCTGGCCAGGAATAATCATTATAGTATAAAGGCTGGTGTTCTGATTTGTCACACATCTATGTGAAGGCACATTGACATCTCCAAGGCAAGACACAACCCTGTCCTCAGCACCTCATATCACCCTGGTTATAGAGTTAGTACACTAGACCAGAATCTCCTAACTCACAGCCAAGTACTCTTTTTATATCCACTATGTTTCTCTGCCTTTCAGCCTGTGGCTGTTTTAATTAGAATGAACCAGTCCACAGAGACTGAGTATCTCTGTGTGAACGTTAAATCTCATATATTTTTTTCTTTTCTTTTCCTTTTTTAAAAAGAGATAGACTTTGCTATGTTGCTCAGGCTGGAGTGCAGTGGCTGTTCACAGGTATAATCATAGTGCACTAAAGCCTTCAACTCCTGGGCTCAAAGTGATTCTTCCACCTCAGCTTCCTGAGTAGCTGAGACTATAGATGCTCACCACACCGCACTGGGCTGATTCTTGTATTCTTAACCAACAAAATCCTAGAATAGAATTTGGACTGTGATGGTGTTATTGGATGCGGCAATAGGTGAGGCTCAGCTTAAAGTCATCCTATATCATTCACAACTTTACAGCATTTGAATGATCTCGGTTAACCCATGTAAGTACTTTAGCCCCCTGTGATTCTGATCTGGTGAGGGTAGCTCCGTACCCTTAGAGGATGTTCCCTAAGGAGGCACACTTTTCTGGTGAAAGTTCAGCACATAGCTTGCTATGAAATCAGGGCTTTGTTTCACAAGACTTTGTAACACGGTGCCTGCAAAGCACAAGAATAAAAACACCACCTTCTGTGCCTCAGAGTCCCAGTTTTTTAGTTCTTGTCTACTTTGCGAATTAAGAGGCTTTGACAACTCCCTCTTGACCTAAATGTGTAAAATGTTGCATGTTGTTTGGGCTGTTCTAATAGCTTTTGTTTGCCCCTTTCTGAAGTTATAAGGTCAAATGTAATTAGCCCCAGATATCCACATCCCCACTGGGAATGATTTCAAGGAGCAATACATGTTAAAATCTATTTAAAAGCCTCCAACCTCTTTACATCTTTCAAAAATTGTTTACGTCTCTAAATTGGCCTTGATTCTGGAAAGGTAAATGGGGGAAGTTTGGGGGAGTAACTGGGTTGAGTCAGGTACTTGTGCTCAAGGTTGGAAATAAAGGACTCTTTTAGATGGGCCTGTAGTAGTTGTGTTTTCAGATCAACACTCATGCTTGCCATATGGAGCCAGACCTATGGCTTTCACAGCTGCAACCCTTTGGCCCCATGTAATCTTCCCTTGATGTGTAGTGATAATCACCAAGTGGAATGCCTGGTACAGATGGCCTCCCATGCTTCAGTGCACAGCCCTTCTGGGTACAGATGATGTGCAGCAGAGTGATGTGGGCACGCAAGTGGGTGGAAATTTTCTAATGTGTCACAATAATAACAATGCTGAATCCTATTGCTGTTCAGCTTCCTCTAGAACTTCGGCCCACGTGGCAGCCTACTTGGTTCACAGTCCTATGTGAATGCTAGACAATTAGCAGCTGATAATGAAAAATGCCATGGGAACCAGTGGGAAAATAATAGCTTACTCCAAGGATATAATGAAATGAAATTAGCACAGACAGTAAAACAGACAATTTATGGTGTCTTTTTTTGTAATTAAAAAGAACCAGTAAATACTTCTAGTAGAGAAATCTGAGAATCGATTAGAATCCCATCTGTTTTGGAAGAGGGTTTTTGTTTTCTTTTCCCCCAGAAATTAACTCTAGAGAAACTTCCCCATAGGAAGAGGTTCCTACTAAGGAACTTGAATAGATAAAGGATGCCGATTTTATTTGAATATATGATAGTTTTGTTCAATGGTTATTACCTAAATGGTTGTTTGTGATCTGAGCTTTAAAAAGGGACACTAACGCTAGATAATTGGTTTTATTGGTTAGGGCTATGCATTTTTGCTCTCATCTGAAATATCTGCAGATTTTGAATGCTCCCAACAAACAAATTCTTAGTAACAGGGTGAACTTATATCTGTGGACAGGTAACCTTTTGAACACAAGAAAATGTGTTGTCTGAGAAGTTTGGGATTGAATGGGTCTTTCAGTATTCTTATTTCTAGATGTCCCATGTACTACTTAGGCAAGTCCTTAAGCATCCAGTTCTACACCTTACTTTGGGGGTCAGGAGTTAAAATTGGGAGAGTTTTATAATCATCTTTTCAAAAATATTTGTTTTAGGCTGCAAGAAAATGGTTTGTCTTTTTAAGGGTATTGGATTAGTGACAAACAATTCTGTTAAAGTTTTAGTCTCACTGTGTGGGCAGTCTTCTGTGAGTTGAAAAATAAAGTTACAAACAAATCAAAATTATATTTCACTCCAAATGTTTTCCAAATGCATTTGTTTTGGAGAGTTGAAGAAAGTCGGATGTCTTTCTTCCAAGATTTTTTTTATCTGTCTGAAGTAGACTTATCTCTCAATCTCTCTCATTTGTAAAAATATTCTCTTTTTATGTGAAAGTTAAATTGCCCCATTGACTCAACAACCAATCCCCCAAAATAATGTGATTGAATATTCTCTGACATTTCAACATGACATGTCTTTATTGGGCATATGTTCCTAATTATTTCTATAATTATATTATATTCAGTATATATATATTTTAAGATAGGGTCTCACTCTGTTGCCCAGGATGGAGGGCAGTGGTGTGATCACTGCTCACTGCAGCCTCAACCTCCTAGGCTCAAGTGATCCTCCCACCTCTGCCTCCCGAATAGCTGGTACTACAGGTAGGTGCCACCATGCCCAGCTGATTTTTGTATTTTCAGTAGAGACAGGTTTCGCCATGTTGCCCAGGCTGGTTTCGAACTCCTGGGCTCAAGCGTCCTTCTGCCTCAGCCTCACAAAGTGTTGGGATTATAGGCATGAGCCACTGTGCCTGGCCATTAAGTTCAACAATGTTGAACTGATACAGTGATATTCATGCTGATTTTTTTTTTTTTTGGCAAATGACATAAATTGTACAAGGCTCATGTATTGCTTAATTAAATTCAGCAACATAAGCATGCCATTGAAAACCCAGCCATCCAGAAATGTTGACTGTGGCCTTATGAACTGACAAATCACCTTTTGCTGGTTTTCTATTCTCTTCCCCATCTGGGAAGATACAGGAAAATGGAGAGGTCTGCAGAGAGTGGAGAATAGCTGAAGTGTGCAGGGAAACTCAGACAAGTGAGGAAAGTCTCAGAGATTCACTCCATGGACTATTGGTGCATCTCAACCATTTTCATCATTAAATGCTGCTTCTGAGCCTACATCTGAGTATTAAAGGAAAGGAGAGCAAGTTTGCTGATAATTTTCAGCTTCTAGAAGTGTATGTGTCTGTGTGTGTTAATGCTAAGAATGTACATTTTAAACATGTAAAGCAGATAGGTTACTTAATTCTCAGAAGATGATGGACTTATTTCAACACACATATTTTATTATATTAAAGATAGCACCCCATGTATACCCCCAAATGTTGTGTTCTCAAGTGTTTTGAAAAATGATTGGTTGCTAGTGACTCCATATGTTGCTATGTTTTATTTTGGAACATGTTAAAATCTCACTTAGGTTTCATTAAGCCACTTTTTTTCCTATTTTTTGAAAGGTCTATTTTTTCCTTCCAAAGAATTTGTTTTAACATGTAGTTAACGTATCTTTGTTAGTTATTAACTAGGAAGAACATTTAAGTGGAATCACCCATTTTCCTAACTTTAAATATATATTTTTTATATTTCACAGTTTCAGAAATTTTAGAAAAATGACTGAGTATCTATGAATATTATTACGCTTATAATGCCTAACTAGCTCTGGATGTAGGACATTGGCAAAATAATATGCTGTGAAGTATCACAGACTTTGTTCTTCTCTTCTTTTAGTTCTAGAAGCATCACATAGCAAAAAAGGAAAATTAAAGCTCTCAGTGTAACTTGTTCTGTTTTAATTTTTAAGTGGCTTATTTAATTTTGTAGTTGGTTGTATAAACAACTAATATAGAAATGAGTCTAATTGTGCAGATATTTTTAATTTGTGTCCTTAAGTTGCTTTTTATAGAGAACAGACACATTGGTTGTCAGTGCTTAAAGGTTTCCAATTTCTTACCTCCTTTTTGTTGATTGCAAAGAAAATCTGAACATAAACTGTAGTATCTGTGATTATGCTGGTCAAAGCAAGAGAAATGGTCCAAATTTTTTTTTTTAATCTCCTCTTTGAAAACTTCAACCTCCATATAATGCCTGCCAAGTAGTTCTAGAGGTCTCCAGGAGACCTCTCTCTTGTACTCTGTGGACCAAGCCTTTTGTTCACAGCATTTGCTCTCTTGCTCTCTCTGGTTCCCCCATGGTGACCTCCTAAATTGCTGGTGACACTGAAAGTGACCAGCACTGTTGCTGGAGCCAATTGCTGTCTCCACCATCCTGTTGAATTCTGAGGTCTAGGGCCTCACCTCTTACTGCTGCTGAAATTGCCTTTGAAAACATCTCCTTGTTTTGCAAAAGCTGCTGATACCTAATGCTATACCTTTGATTGTCACTTCCTTATCCTGGGACTGAAGGAGTCTGGGCTTGGGTCAACCTGAGTGGTAGACAGCTGTGCTGTACCCAGGTCACCTCTACTCTGACCTTGTTCACTGCCTTTCCTGGGAGGCGCTGTGGTCCTTAGGGAAGTGGATTCCTGGAGGAGAATGTAGTCATGCTGAAGCAAGACCAGAATCCAAACAAAGCTTAGGTTTAAGTCAGGGACTTCTGCTGCATGACTGTTTGAAAACATCATAGAATGTTTCAAACTTCTGCTGCTTTCTAAATGGATGAGTGAAACTGAGGTTATTTCATTGGAAGGAGAACTTTCAGGTTAATGGATACTCAAAGATGGGAGGGATCTATAAGTGGCATTTTAGATTTACCTCAGGCTTTCCTCATGTTTTTAATGAGATTCCTCACACTTCCCACAGTGATGGCAGAAAGTTTATAATACCTGTGAAATTATACCTTTACTTTCTAATTGTTCATATTGTTTTTGCTCAGTTATCTGGTTCCCTCCTTACTATTTTGTTAAATAAACTTTCAGCTTCCTTTAATCTTATTTCTAGTTCTTGTTGTGAGTCAGATGGCTGCAATTGGTTAGCCTTTTTTTTTTTTTTTTTACCCCTTCACCAACCATGGAATGAAATTTACAAACATCTAGTGACTGTGTGACATGCTGAAGCATCTCTATTTATGTCGTTATATGTTCTGCCTTCTCCTTGAGCCATTGCTTGAAAATCAACAGATGGGGCTATCCAGTGGCACGCCAGACATACAGTTAACTTTGAGGAAGTTTTTAGCATGAACTGTGTGACCAAACTTTACAGCCATCTGATTTCCAATTTAGTAATTACTGGAATAATTAGACGAGTTACTCTGCAGATGGCACTTAAATTTCTTGACATATGTGCCCTTGTCATCTATAGCAGATGATATATATACTGCTTTTCTTCACTATAGCATTTGTATATAGGGATGCAACATGCCTTTAAAGCTTCCCTGTCAAAGTCTCTAATTTTGTTTAGACTCAGATGCCACCTTGGCTTACACTGATAGAGCTGTTGGCTTGCTCTGTTCGGTGTTACACATTAATTGTAGCACTGTGCTGACTACAATTCTCATGACCTATAATATTTAAACTTTATTTTTAATTCTAAATGTTGAATAATAAAATTGCAGAATCTTTAAATATGAAGGAAATAACTCTCAAACAAAATCTAAGGAAATTATGATTTTAAAAAATATATATATTTTGAATTTAAAACTTTTTTTGAGATAAAATTCATATATCATAAAATTCAGACCCTTTTAATAATGTTTTCAAGGTTCACCCATAATGTAGCATGTATTAGTACTTCAGTTTTTCAGTCTTTACCATAGCAGGATGGTATATAGTACCTAACTGATTTATTGAGGTGTGATTAACATACAAAAGCTGTGGGTGTTTAGTGTAGACAGCTTGATGTGTTTGCAGATAAGTATGTACCTGTGAAATGATCAAGCCATCATCACTATCAATGGTATAAACTTGTTCATTGCCTCTAAAAGTTTCATACTGTCCCTCCCCACTATTTTGGGGGTGAAGTCAAGAGTACTTAACATAAAATCTATCCTTTTAGCAAATTTTTTACATATACAATACAGTATTGTCGATCATAGGCCCTATATTGTACAGTAGATCTCCAGATCTTATTTAGTTTGTATAAATGAAACTTGATATTTGTTGAACTACAACTCCCCATTTTCTGCTCCAGCCGCTGGCAACTAACATTCTCTCTGCTTCTATGTGTTTGACTATTATAAATCTATTGCGTATATGAGATCATGTGGTACCGTATTTATCTTTCTCTGTGTGTCTTATTTTACTTAGCATAATGTTCTTTAGGTTCATTCATGTTGTCACAAATGGCAGGATTTCTTTTTTTTAAGGCTGAATAATATTTTATCTTATGTATATACCACATTTTCTTTATCCATTCATCCATTGATGGATACTTAGGTTGATTCCGTATCTTGGCTATTGTGAATAATACTTCAATGAACATGGGAGTGCAGATATCTTTTTGAGATTCAGATTTTAATTCCTTTTTGAATGTATGTACAAGCTAGATTGCTGGGTCAAGTGGTAATTCTATGGTTAATTTTTTGAGGAATATCCATCTTGGTTTTCATAGTGTCTGTACCAATTTACATTCCCATCAACACTGTAAAAGGGTTCCCTTTTCTTCATATCCTCCCCAACACTTGCTCCTTTTTTCTTTTATTTTTCGCTTTCTCTTTCTTTCATAATGGTCATTCTAACAGATCTGAGGTGATATCTCATGGTGGTTTTGATTTGCATTTCCCTGATGACTAGTGATTTTGAGTACCTGTTGGTCATTTACATGCCATCTTTGGAGAAATGCCTATTTAGGTCCTTTGCCCATTTATTAATTGGGTTATTTGGTATGTTTGCTATTTAGTTTTAGGAGGTCCTTATGTATTTTTAATATTAATCCTTTATCAGATATATGGTCTGAAAATATTTTCCCTCATTCCATAGGTTACCTTTTCATTTGGTTAATTGTTTCCTTTGCTGTGCAGAAACTTTTTAGTTTGATGTAATCCTGTTTGTTTATTTTTGCTTTTGTTGTCTGTGCTTTTGGTGTCCTATCTAAGAATTGATTTGCCCAGTTCAGTGTTTAGCAGCTTTTAAAACTACGTTTTCTTCTAAAAGTGTTATTGTTTCAGGTCTTATGTTTAAGTCATTAATCCATTTCGAGTTGATTTTTGTGTGTGGTATGAGATAAGGGTCCAATTTCATTGTTTTGCATGTGGATATCCAATTTTACTGAACCATTTGTGGAAAAGACTGTTCTTTCCCAATTGCGTACTCTTGACACCCTTGTCAAAGATCAGTTGACCATATTCATGTCTGTTTATCACTGGGCTCTTTATTCTGCTCCATTGAGCTATCTCTCTGTTTTTATGTAAGTGCCATGCTGTTTTGATGACTATAGCTTTGCAATATGTTTTGACATCAGGGAGTGTGCTACCTCTAGCTTTTGTTTTTCTTACTCAGTATTGCTTTGGCTATTAAGAGTCTTTTATGATTTCAAATAAGCTTTAGGATTTTTTTTTTCTATTGCTTTAAAACATGCTATTGTGATTTTGACAGGGATTGCATTAAATCTATAGATTTTTTTTAAATCTGTACATTGCTAAAATAGACAATATTTATTATTCCAATTCATGATCATGGGATGTCTTTCCATTTATTTGTATCTTTTAAAATTTCTTTCATCAATGTTTTGTAGTTTTCCATGTATAAGTCTTTCACCTCCTTAAGTTTATTCTTAAGTATTTTATTCTTTTTGATATTGTAAGTGCAATTGTTTTCTAATTACTCATTCAAATAGGTCATTGTTAGTGTATAGAAGCACAACTGATTTTTATATGTTAATTTTTAAATCCTGCAGCATTACTGAATTCACTGATTAGTTCTAACAGTTTTTTATTATTTTTTTTAAGAGTCTTTAGGGTTTTCTACATAGAAGCTTATGGCATCTGCAGACAGAGAAAGTTTTAACTGCTTCCATTCTGATTTGGATGACTTTTATTTCTTTATCTTGCCTAATTTTTCTGGTTAGGACTTTCAGGACTATATTGGAGCTCATAGTATGGTCATCCTTGTCTTATTTTGGATCTTAGAGGGAAGCTTTCCACTTTTCATTGTTGAAATGATGTTACCTGTGGGCTTTGAATAAGTGGCCCTGATTTTGTTGAAGTAAGTTCCTTCTATACTTATTGAGAGTTTTTCAATTACGAGACAATGTTGAATTTTGTCAGATGCTTTTTCTGCATCTATTGAGATGATTATGTGATTTTTATCTTTCATTATGTTAATGAGGCATATTTCATGGATTGATTTGTGTATGTGGAACCATCCTTGCATCACAGGGATAAATCTCAGTTGATCTTGATGTATGATCCTTTTAATGTGCTGTAGAACTCAGTTTGCTAGTGTTTTTGTTGAAGATTTTTGTATATTCATTTATCAGGGAAATTGGCCTCTAGTTTTATTTTCTTGTGGTGGTTTTGTCTGGTGTTGGTATTTGGTGATAATGGCCTCATAAAATGAGTTTGGAAGTGTTCCCTCTTCTTCTCTTTTTAAGAGTTTTAGGATTGTTATTAATTCTTTAAATGTTTGTTAGAATAAACTTATGAAGCCATCTTGTCCTGGGCTCGACTTTGTTGGGAGTTTTTTTATTATTCCTTCAATATCCTAATTTGTCATTGGTTTGTTCAGGCTTTCTGTTACTTCTTGTTTTAGGTAGGTCGTATATTGTTAGGAACTTCTCCATTTCTTCTAAGTTGTCTAATTCATTTATATGTAATTATTCATAATATTCATTTATGATTCTTTTTAATTGTAGGTTCAGTTGTAATATCTTCCCTTTCATTTCTGATTTTGAGTTCCCTTTTTTTTCTTAATTCAGCTAAGGGTTTGTTGATTTTGTTTATCTTTTCAGAAAAACAACTCAGTTTTTTCAGTTTTTAAAATTGTTCTTCCATTCTCTAGTCCATTTTTTTTCTGATCTTACCTTTACTATTTTCTTCCTTCTGCTAATTTTTTGTTTAGTATTTTTTTATTTTTCTGTTTCTTGAGGTATATAGTTAGGTTTTTTATTTGAGATCTTTCTCCTTTAATGTACGTATTTATTGCTTTAAACTTCTCTTCTAGTACTGCTTTCCTGAGTCACATATGATTTCGTATGTTGTATTTTTTGTGTCTTGATAAATATTAATTTCCTTTTTGATTCATTCTTTGACCTCATAATTATTTGCGTGTATTATTTAATTTCCATGTATTTGTGAATTTCCCATTTTTTCTGTTATTTCAGTTTTATTTCATTGTGACTGAAAAATGTATTTGTAATGATTTCAGTCTTCTTAAGTTTGTTAAGAATTGT
Source organism: Homo sapiens (assembly GCF_000001405.40). Classification (NCBI taxonomy): domain Eukaryota; kingdom Metazoa; phylum Chordata; class Mammalia; order Primates; family Hominidae; genus Homo; species Homo sapiens. Next base: position 61,958,658 of record NC_000014.9, read on the forward strand.
TTTGTGACCTAGCATGTTATCCATGCTGTAGAATGTTCTGTGTGTAATTGAGAAGAATGATTACTCTGCTGCTGTTGGGTGGAATGTTCTGTATGTATCTGTTAGGTCCATTTGGCCTGTAGTGTTATTTAGTTCTGCTGTTTATTGATTTTTTTTGTCTAGATGGTCTATACATTATAGAGAGTAGGATATTGACGTCTTTTATTATATTGCATTGCTACCTATTTTTCACTTCAGATTTGTCAATGTTTGTTTTATATTTCGGGTGTTTTCATGTTTGGAGCATATATATTTTTAGTTGTGATAGATCCCTGTAGAATTGACCCTTTTGTCATTATGAAATGCCCTTCTTTGTCTCTTGTGACAGTTTTTGTCTTAGTGTCCATTTTGTCTAATATGAGTATAGCCACTTTGCTGTCTTTTGGTTACTATTTGCATGGAATATCTTTATCTACCATTTTCCTTTTCAGCCTATGTGTGTCCTTAAATCTAACGTGACTCTTTTATATGTGGCATATAGTTAGGTCTTGTTTTTTGTTTTAATCTATTCAGCCATTATATGTCTTTTAATTGGAACATTTAGTTCACTTATGTTTAATGGAATTATTGATAGATAAGGGCTTACTATTGCCATATTGTTAATTGTTTTCTGTCTCTTTTGTAGTTCTCTTCTTCCTCTCTTTTTCTCTTAGTGTCTTTCTTTGTGTTTTGATTTTTTTTATAGTGGTATGCTTTGATTAATTTTTTTATCTTGTGTGCATCTACTGTACTTTTTTGTTATGGAGTTTACATTGAACAGTTTATAGTTATAGCAGTGTATTTTAAGCTGATAACTTCAATCACATACACAAGTTCTGCACTTTATGTCTTCCCCCAACGCTTTGTGCAACTGACGTCATATTTTGTTTCTTGGTATGTTATGTTTTTATGAACAAATTTCTGTGGTTATAGTTATTCTTACTATCTTTTCTTTTAATTTACATTCTTGTGTTAAATGAGATTTACACACTGCCACTACAGTAGCACAATATTCTGTGTTTATATTTACCTTTAGTAGTGAGTTTTATATTTTCATATTCTTTTTGTGTTCTTTAGCATCTTTTCATTTCCACTTGAAGAATTCCCTTGAGTACTTCTTGTAAGGCAGGTCTAATGGTGGTGCACTACCTTAGTTTTTTTGTGGGGCTCGGGGGACAGGGTTTCACTCTGTCACCCAGGCTGGAGTGCAGTGGTGCAATCATGGGTTCACTGCAGCCTTGACCTCCTAGGCTCAAGTGATCCTCCCACCTTAGCCTCCCAAGTATAATAACTGAGACTACATGTCTATGCCACCATGCCTGACTTTTAAATTTTTTGTAGAGATGGGGTCTCTCCATGTTGCTCAGGCTGGTCTCGAACTCTTGTGCTCAAGTGATCTGCCCACTTCAGCTTCCTTAACTCAGTTTTTATTTGGGAAAGTCTTTATATCTTTTTCATTCTTAAAGAACAGTTTTGGTTTTTTGCTTAGGATTGCCTTCTTCATTCAGGCTCTTTTTTGTTTGCATATGAATTTTAAAGTAGTTTTTTCTGATTCTGTGAAGAATGTCACTGGTAGTTTGATAGAAATAACATTGAATCTATAAATTGCTTTGGGCAGTATGTCCATTTAAAAAATATTGATTCTTCCTACCCATGAGCGTGGAATGTTTTCCTGTTTGTTTGTGTCATCTCTAATTTCTTTGAGCAGTGTTTTGTAGTTCTCATAGTAGAGATCCTTCACTTTCCTGGTTAGCTGTATTCTGAGGTATTTTATTCTTTTTGTGTCTATTGTGAATGGGATTTTGTTCTTGATTGGCTCTGAGCTTGGATATTACTTGTGTATAGGGATGCCAGTGATTTTCATACATTTATTTTGTATCCTGAAACTTTGCTGAAGTTGTTTATCAGATCAAGGAGCTTTTGGGCAGAGACTATGGGGTTTTCTAGGTATAGAATAATATTATCTGCAAACATGGATAGTTTGACTTCCTCTCTTCCTATTTGAATGCTCTTTTTTTCTTTCTCTTGCCTGATTGCTCTGGCCATGACTGCCGTACTATGTTGAGTAGGAGTGATGAGAGAGGCCATCCTTGTCTTGTGCTGGTTTTCAAGGGGAATGCTTCCAGGTTTTGCCCATTCAGTATGATGTTGGGACAGAACTGGGAGGCATCACATTACTTGATTTCAAAATATCCTACAAGGCTACAGTAACCAAAACAGCATGGTATTGGCACAGAAACAGACACTTGTGTCAATGGAACAGAATAGAGAGCCTAGAAGTAATGCCATACACCTACAATCATCTGATCTTTGACAAAGTCAACAAAAATAAGCAATGAGGAAAAGACTGCCTATTCAATAAATGGTGCTGGGATAACTGGCTAGCCATGTGCAGGAAATTAAAACGGGACACCTTCTTTACACCATATACAAAAAATTAACTCAAGATAGATTAAAGACTTAAATGTAAAACCTAAAACTATAAAAACCCTGGAAGGTAACCTAGGAAATACCATTCTGGACATCAATCCTGGTAAAGATTTTATGACAAAGATGCCAAAAGCAATTGCAACAGTGACAAAAATTGACACCTGGGACCTAATTAAAGGAAAGAGCTTCTGCACAGCAAAGGAAACTATCAACAGAGTAAACTAACAACCTACAGAATAGGAGAAACTATTTGCAAACTATCCATCCAACAAAGGTCTAATATTCAGAATCTATAAGAAACTTAAAAAAACTTACAAGCAAAAATGAGCAACCCTGTTAAAGAGTGGGCAAAGTACATGAACAGACACTTTTCAAAAGACATACACGTGGCCAACAAGTAAGTGAAAAAATGCTCAATGTCACTAATCATTATATAAATGCAAATCAAAACCACAAAGTGACATCATCGTATACCAGTCACAATGAATATTATTAAAAAGTCAAAAAATAACAGATGCTGGCAAGGTTGTGGAGAAAAGTGAACACTTATACACTGCTGGTGGGAATGTAAATTAGTTTAGCTATTGTGGAAAGCAGGTTAGTGATTTCTGAAAGAACTTAAAACAGAATTACCATTCAACCCACCAATCCCATTAGTGAGTATATAGCCAAAGGAATATAAATTATTCTACCATAAAGATACGTGCATGCATATGTTCATTGCAGCACCATTCACAGTAGCAAAGTCATGGAATCAACCTAAATGCCCATCAATGGTAGACTTGATAAAGAAAATGTGGTACATATATGCTGTGGAATACTACATAGCCATAGAAAAGAATGAGATTATGTCCTTTGCAGCAACATGGATGGAGCTGGAGGCCATTATCCTAAGTAAACTAACACAGGGACAGAAAATCAAATAACGCCTGTTCTTACTTATAAGTGAGAGCTAAACATTGAGAGCACAGGGACACAAAGAAGGGAACAACAGACACCAGGGCCTACTTGAGGATGGAGAATGGGAGGAGGGTAAGATTTGAAAAACCACCTATTGGATACTATGCCTATTACCTGGGTGATGAAGTAATCTATACACCAACCCCTGTGACATGCCAATTTAGCTATATAAAAAACCTGCACATATATCCCTGAACTTAAAAGTTAAAAAAAAAAGTTTTGCCAGGTAAATATTTTTGTTTTGTAGTTTTTCTCCCAGTACTTATATCATCCCATTGTCTTCTGTCCTGCAAGGTTTCTGCTGGGAAATTATCTGATAGTCTGTTTGGGCGTCTCTTGAATGTGACATGTGGCTTTTCTCTTGATTCTTTCAAAATTTTTCTCTTTGACTTTTGACAGTTTAATTCTAATGTGTCTCGGTATAGATCTTTTTGTGTTCAATCTAGAGAGTTTTGAGATTCATAAATCTGGATGTCTATGTTCCTCCCAGTATTTAGGAAGTTTTGGTGATTATTTCCTTAAATATACTCTTTGCCCCTTTCTATATTCTCCTTTTTGGACTTCCATAATGCATATATTTGTTCACCTGAGAGTGTCTCATGAGTCTTGTAAACTTTCTTTACTCTTTTCATTCTTTTCTTTCTGTTCCTCTGACTGGATAATGTCAGATGACTTGTCTTTGAGTTCACTCATTCTTTATTCTGCTTGAGTAAGTTGAAGCTCTCTCTTCAGTTCAGACATTGTATCTTCAATTCTAGTATTTGTGTTTGGTTCTTTATTTCTTCTGGCTTCTATTTATTAGTTGTACTTCTCATTTTGCTCACATATTGTTTTCCTGATTTAATTAGTCTATTTGTGTTTTCTTATAGCTCACTGAGCTTTTTAAAGATGGTTATTTTGATGTATTTGTCAAGCAGTTTATGTATCTCCATTTCCTTAGGGTCAATTTCTAGAACTGCAATAGTGTCCATGGAATAACTTAATCGATAAATATTGTGTAAGTTCTGACTGCCCCACTGACCAGTTGTTCCTCCATCTCTCTCCCTCTCCTCAGGCCTTCCTATTCCTTGAGACACAACAATATTAAAATTAGGCCAATTAACAACCCTCCAATGGCCTCTGAGTATTTAAGTGAAAGCAAGAGTCTCTCACTTTAAATCAAAAGCTGAAAATTATTATACTTCATGAGCAAGACATGCCCAAAGCTGAGATAAGCCAAAAGCTAGATCTCTTGTACCAAACAGCTAGCCAAGTTGTGAATGCAAAGGAAAAGTCTTGAAGAGAATTAAAAGTGCTACTCCAGTGAACACACAAATGATAAGGAAGCAAAACAGCCTTATTGCTGATATGGAGAAGGTTTTAGTGGTCTATATAGAAAATCAAACCAGCTATAGCATTCCCTTAAGGCAGTGCCTAATCCAGAGTAAAACCCTAAGTCTCTTTAATTCTATGAAGGCTGAGAGAGGTCAGGAAGCTGCAGAAGAAAAGCTTGAAGCCAGAAGAGGTTGGTTCCTGAGGTTCAAGGAAAAAAGCCATCCCCATTACATGAAAGAGCAAGGTGAAGCAGCAAGTGCTGATGTAGCAGCAGCAAGTTATACAGATGGTCTACCTAAGATCAGATCTTCAATGTAGACCAAACAGTCTTCTACTGGAAGAAGAGGCCACCTAGGATTTTCATGGCTAGAGAGGAGACGTCAATGCCTGGCTTCAAACTTCAAAGGGCGAGCTGGCCCTGTTGGTAAGGGCTGATGTAGCTGGTGACTTTAAATTGAAGCCAATGCTCATTGACCATTCAAAAAATTCCAGGACCCTTAAGAATTATGCTCAGTCTTGTCTGCCTGTGCTTTAGAAATGGAACAACAAAGCCTGGATGACAGCACATCTATTTATAGGATGGTTTACTGAATATTGTAAACCCGCTGTTGAGACTTACTGCTCAGAAAAAGGAGACTCCTTTCAAAATATTACTGCTCGCTGACAATGCACCTGGTCATGCAAGAGCTCTGATGGAGATGTATAAGGAGAAAAATGTTGTTTACATTCCTGCTAACACAACATCCACTCTGCAGCCAATGGGTTCAAGGAGTAAGTTCAACTTTCAAGCTCATTATTTAAGAAATATGTTTTGCAAGGCTATAACTTCCATAGATAGTGATTCCTCTGACTCATATGGGCAAAGCACATTGAAAACATTTGGAAAGGTTCACCATTCTAGATGCTATTAAGGACATTTATGATTCATGGGAGGTCAAAATATCAATATTAACAAGAGTTTGGAAGAAGTTGATTCTAACCCTCTTGGATGACTTTGTGGGGCTCAAGATTTCAGTGGAAGAAGTAACTGCAAATGTGATGGAAATAGCCAGTGAACTAGAATTAGAAATGGAGCCTAACGATGTGACTGAATTGTTGCAATCTCATGGTCAAACTTGAACAGATGAAAAGTGGCCTTCCTATAGATAAACAAAGAAAGTGGTTTCTTGAGATAGAATCCACTCCTAGTGAAGATGCTGTGAACATTGTTGAAATGACAACAAAGGATTTAGGATGCTGCGTAAACTTAGTTGATATAGCAGTGGAAGAGTTTGAGAGGATTTTGAAAGACTTTCTGCTGTGGATAAAATGCTCTCAAACAGCATCATATGCTACAGAGAAATCTTTCATGAAAGGAAGAGTCAGTTGATGAGGCAAACTTCATTGTTGTCTTATTTTAAGGTAACAGCCACCCCAACCTTCAGCAACTACCTGTCCTGATCATTCAACAGCCATAACATTGAGACATCCTCCATAAATAAAAAGATTATGTTTCACTGAGGGATCAGTGATTTTTAGCTTTTTTTTTTTTAGCAATAAAGTATTTTTAATTAAGGTATGCACATGGTTTTTTAAAGATATCCTGCTATTGCACATTTAAGAAACTACAGTATAGTGTAAACATAACTTTTATATGCACTGGGAAATAAAAAAATTGTGTGACTTGCTTTGTTGTGATTTTTGCTTTATTGTGATGGTCTGGAGCTAAACCTGCACTATATCCAAGGTATGACTGCATTTTCAATTCTCTTGGGTGCATACCTAGGAGTGGAATTGCTGAGTTACATTTGGAATTTTAAACATGTCTAAACAGGGCCCTTTTTGTGCAACCCTGATTAGGCAATCCTATAAGTCTTGTGTTGCCGCCTTCTGAGTCATTGCTATGACACTCTACTTATTTAGAAAGCATGTAATCAAATCTACAGTTTAACATAGCTATGGCTAAGAGTCCTTCATGCACTTCTTTAGACTTCTCACTAAGTACTCATAAGCACAGAAAAAGATGAAATTGAAATTAATAGATTCCGGAAGAAACATGAACTCTTTTGAAATAACCAAACTTGCCTTTCTCTAACCTCTCTCTAACTGAACTAAGCTTTCTCTTTCCTTAGCTAGACTTGAACTTATTTCTAGTGTTCCCCATCCCTCACCCCTGCCCCAACCTGAAAGCATGGAGAAAGACCATATCTTAACTGTTTGTCTCTGACTCAGATATTCAAAGGTCATAATAGTGCATATGCCAGAGTGGTTATAAGCATGTTTTAACTTCTTTAACTTAGTGAAAATGTGTAGGGAATGTTTAATATCTGTCAGATTGTAGAGGAAAAAACAAATAGGGAAAAATGAAAGTTTGTAGCTGAAGAAATAGTAATGTAGTTTAAGATGGAACAAGAGCAGTTGAAATAGAATAAATTATCGAAGATGCAATTGAAGAAAACTCTCCTAAGCTTGAAAAAAAAATTGTGGATATCTGATGAAATCTGGCTTCCAGGAAAAATGAACAAAAGAGACTCACAGAAGGATACATTCTGGTAAAATTTTTGTGTTATAAAGGAAAAGCTTCTAGTAGCATACAGACTGAAAAATTCTGTTGCCCACAGAGTAACGAAAAGTAAGCTGCATCATCACACTTATTTATGGAGCATTAAGGCTAAAAGGTAATGGAGCAATGTCTGTATAGTTTTGGGAAGAAAAAAATATTGGGACTTACTTAAAAATGTTATACCCATCCATAGTTAAGCCATTACTACAAGAATTGTTATTAACAAAAATGTTTCTTCTCCAAAAAAGCAGAGTTATTTTGAGTAACATAAGGGCCATTTTCTACACTTTTTCTTGTGTCTTTGGAGATTATATTGAATAATCTCTTCATATTACCTTCAATCTGTGAATGTTTTTACATTAAATTCATTAATATAAGCATATGAAATAGTATATCAATTATGATTAAAAAAAGTTAAGAAAAAATTATTTACCAAGCTAAAATATTAACTGTGACAGGTGATAAGATTGAACATTATCATCATTTTTATATTTTCTAATATTTTCCAAACATTCTACTCTATGCATGAATTGCTTATTTTTTCTTTAACTTATTTAAAAATAATTAAAACTTTTTAATAAATACAAATATTTATAAGCCAAAACAGTGAGGTCTTTACAATTTTATATTTGCCATGTAGATAAAGTGACTGAAAGGAAGCACACAAAATCTTAGTAGTGAGTTGTTTTATCTTTTTCCATATTTTGCAGATTTTATGTAATGAGTTTCATGCTGCTTTTATGATGGAAAAAGATCCTTTATTCAAAAATAAAAATTTAATTTCATTAATTAATGACATTATAAGATGAAGATGTTTCTGCTTATACATGAATCCTCTTTTTCCTAAGACCTATCTTAATGTAAATCATATCCTATGTTGGTAGTTTTGCTGACACCCTTGAGGTATGTCTTTCCAGGAGTTTTCACTGACAGGCACATTGGCCAATGTGTTGTAACATAGAAGAGTTCCAACATTTATTCAGGCAACAAATTATTTATTGAATGTTTACCTTTTGCTAGCTGCTGAGAGTACAATGAGTAACTCAGACATAGTCCCTGTTCTTATAAAGTTTAAAATTTAACATTTGAAATTGGTTGAAGAAGCTGTCAAGGGCTTGGTAGGTGGCAACACACTGTAGAAGCATCCAGCTTTGTCTAGAAGAACAAGAAAGGTTTCAAAGGAAGCATGGTATCAGATTAGCCAGAGGAGCAGTTGTCCCAGGGAGTTGAAATATGCAAAGATCTGGAGGTGTGACCTACGTTTGGGGAACCAGAAATAGGTGAACACAGCAACAAGAAAGAGTTTGATGTTGGAGAATGATGAGCGATAAAGACTGGAATCAGTATCCAGGTCATGAAGGGCCTTGTAACCTGAGTTAGGGAATTCAGATTTTGTCCTCTGGGTAATGGGATGCCATTGGATGGTGCATTAGTTTCCTAGGGTTGTTATTGCAACAAATTACCACAAACTTGGTGACTTAAGACAACAGAAATCTACTCTCACAGTTTTGGAGGCCAGCAGTTCAAAATCAAGGTGTTGGCAGGTTGGTTCTCTGGAGGCTCTGAGGGAGAATCTGTTCCGTGCCTGTCTCCTAGCTTCTGGTGACTGCTGTCCACCCTTCGCAGTCCTTAACTCGAGGTTTTGTAACTCGAATCTCTGCCCTGGGCTTCATGTGGCTTTCATCTCTCCATGCCTTCTTTTTTTGCTGTCTCATAAGGACACTCATCATTGAATTTAGGTGCTACCCTAATCTGGGATGAACTCATTTCAAAATCCTTACCCTAATTACATCTTCAAAGACCTTTATTCCATATAGGGTCACCTTCTGAGACTCATGGTGAACATATGTACTTGAGGCCACAGCTCAACCTGCTACAGGAGGCTTTAGAAGGGCAATTGAACAAACTTATAAATGAAATGACTTATACATTTCAGAATGATTGTTCTGGCTATTGTGTGGAGAATGGACTTGAGGGGGCAAGGTTAGAAACAGGGAGGTCAGTGGGAATCTAGGTATAGAGTACCAGGAACTTTAGAGGTAAGAAAGTGGAGATGAGGCTGGGTGCGGTGGCTCATGCCTGTAATCCCAGCACTTTGGGAGGCCGAGGTGGGAAGATCACTTGAGGTCAGGAGTTCAAGACCAGCCTGGGGAATATACCGAAACCCCGTCTCTACTAAAAATACCAAAATTAGCTGGGTATGGTGGCGCATGCCTGAAATCCCAGCTACTCAAGAGGCTGAGGCATGAGAATCGCTTAAACTCAGGAGGCGGAGGTTGCAGTGAGCCAGGATCGCGCCACTGCATTGTAGCCTGTGTGATGGAGTAAGACTCTGTCTCAGAAAAAAAAATGGTGATGAGTGCAGAAAATACTTTGAAGATGGTTGATTGTGGAAAGAAGAAGATAAAGGGGTGTGGTTGAGGAGCATGTGGTGGTGAGGAGGGAATTTTAAAGGATGGGAGACACCTGGTTCATTTCTCATGCAAATGAGAAAGACACTGCATTCACAAGGGAGAGTGGCTGACAGTATAGGAGTGAAGGGCAAAAAGCTAGAGAGAAGAGGAGGATGGGATCCAGACCTCAGACTGAGTACAAAGCAGCTGGTCCATCCCATATTTGACTGCTCCTAGATATTTTAGTAGCTCTGGAAAGTTGGTGATGAGAAAGATGGTTTACTCCTACTTAAGGACTCTGTTTGTCAAGTGCCACATCAATTACTTTCCATGTGTTACCTCTGTTAATCTTTGATGTAGCTGTGTTTATTTTCTCCTTTTATAGTTTAGCACACTGAAGCACAAAGAGGTTAAATAATTTGCCGAAGCCACACAGATAGTAAGTGGTATGTCATTTCAACCAAGCGCTGTGACTGCTGATCCCTTGCCTATAACTACTGCTACCGGGTACTGCTTCTGAAGGGAGAGGGCATAATCAATATGCATGTACTTTATTTTTCATGGTATGTGTTGGTTTTGATAGCAGGCACTGTTGCTATTTTGCAGACTATAAAGCTATTATCTTGCCTGCTATTTTTGTTTTGTTTTGTTTGTTCTTATATTGGCTTGCCACTAGGTTGATTCAGTAAGGCAGTATCATTTATTTCTTTATCTTTTCAAGGTGTTGAGATTGGTTTGATTAATCTTTTCTCTATTTATCTGGATAGTAAGGTTAGGTGAGTATTATCTCTTCATATTATTAAGGCTTTGTATTATTTGTATTATTAAATCATATATTAAACCTGCCCACTGATTAAAGCTGCTCTTAGGAGATTCATTTTCATAAGCGTTCACATATACCCAATTCCCTTGAATCATTCTTGATATTTGTTCTGTAATCTAACCCTTTATACAAGTTAATTTCTGGATGTCTTTACTGAATGTTACTTTGGCTCAAATGTCACTTCCTTAGAGGATTCTTCTCTAAACTCTGAACTAGCTTCTCTGGTCTCCCTGTTATATATACTTATAGCTGAATGCAATGGCTGGGACTCTTTGAGGCATACTGGGTAGTACTTAGGCAGGTCAGTTAAAGGGCAGAGTTTTTTGATACTGATGAGGAGGAGGAGGGGAAGGAAGAAATGGAATTTCATCTGCCAAAATTCTAAAATATTAGTAGTCAAAACTACAATTTGCATTTCTTATATGGATGGCATGAATTATTAATTTTCTTATTGCTGTTGATAACCATGATCAAATTGCACAGCTGGATTTGCAAAAATGTATCCAGGAAATGACTTTCCCTCCAATCGCTAATATTGGTAGAATTATTTATCTGAAAATTTGTCTCAAGTGATGATTGTGTAAGCTTTAGGCAGCTGCATTTTTGGAGACTTGCTTTTATAACACTGGTCAACCATGTCCAGCTAAACCCATTTGATTGAACTCTGTCTTAATTGTGTGTTTGAAGTTGAATACTGGGCTGAGGACAGGAGCAAGAAGAGTTGTACTCCAGGTAGAAGAAACTACACATTCAAAGGTATAGAGGTCTCTCATCTGAGGAGCCAGCATCACAGGATGTACTGGCCAACAGTCCTTTTCCTTTCCCCAGTACACAGTCTTGGGGGATGTCAGCCAGAGTCAGGACTTGTAGAGTGTTTGTCATTTCTCATTAATAAAAGTAAAAATTCTGAATAGCATTGATCACAATTTGTTAGAACTGAAACTTAGGTCATTCTCATTGTGATGATATTTTTTTCTTTGTGTTCTCTCACCAGTCACTCCTGAAGCCATTGGCTTCTTGTCTGCTGTTGGGGTCTTTATTGTTCTTCTGGCCGTCCTCTTCCTCTTCATCAACAAGAAGCTGTGTTTTGAAACGATAGGAGGCCTTCCTTTCCTGGAGCATCGAGGGAAAAGAAAGCATTCTAAAGACAAGACTGGGATTCACAAGGGGCTGGGTAAGCATTATGCTTCAAATTCTCCTGGGCTTGGCAACTTGCTGTGGTCTGGGTCAGGGTGGACATGATGAATCGACTTTACTAAAGAATACATTATCTTTATGAAAGTAATGTTCTCCCTAGAGCTCAAGGAGCAGATGGGAAGAGGCTCTGACTACCACTTCCCATCTTCTTAGCTCTTTAGAAGTCTCTGTTGAGTTTTCCTCTGATGAATGCTTGGAGAAAAAATATGTGTTCTGTTTGACAAGAGCCTTGATGCGTTTTAGTCTCATGATGTTAGAACGATGTTGGCATTTCACTTGTTAGCTGTTTTTGAGATTTTTCAGTGCTCAGGACCATGTCCCACCTTGTATGGCAATGGTCACTTTTCCAAAGGGAGGTTTTTACTCTTTAAGCTCACTGAGTATACCATGTCACTTACTCACTGCCTTCAATTTGATGAGGGAAAAATAACACACTTAAAGAAATAATTGGCTTCCTGCTCTTAAAGGACATATTCTATTTTCAATTACTGAAGCCTAGAACTTTGTGATACAGGATGTTCTTACAGAGGGATGGTTATCATCACACAGATGTGGGACATTTAAAGAGAATACTCTTATCTTACAGACGATAACTTTGCTGTTTTTTTTTTTTTATCAGTCTGATTATTACTCTCCTTTTCCATACCCCACGAGGTATGGGGCATGATGTACCTGGTCAAGGAGCAACCTTACATTTTTTTGAGTGAAGGGAAGGTCTTGAGGAGAGTACCCTCCAGGTATCCTACGTTCTTGATGTGTTCTAAGTATGCCTGGACCAAGGAGAGGATTTGGGTTACTGATATGGCAGCTTTTGTAGCCATGGATAGTTCAGCTTTTTTGCCTTGTTACGAGAAAGGCATAATGTAGGAATAAAGGCATATTATCTACTGCTTATAACAAATTATCCCAAGACTTAGTAACTTAACAAAAATTCATTATCTAACAGTTCTTGAAGTTCAGAAATTGAGGAGTGGCTTAGTTGGGTGATTCTAGATCAGGGTCTGTTGTAAGGCTGCAGTTAGAATGTCATCTCAAGGCTTCAGTTAGAATGTCATCTGAAGGCTGGACTGTGGTGTCAGAGTCCCCTCCAGGATGGCAAAAGGCCTCAGATCAGATCCATGTGGAACCCTCCACAAGGCTACTTGAGTGCTTTATGATGTGGCAGCTGGCTTTCCCTGGAGTGAGAGATCCATGAGAAAGCAAGGAGCCACTGCTCTTTTTATGCCCTAGCATGGGAAGTCTTACAATGTCACTTTTATCACATTGTGTTTGTTCATTGAGCACAGCTCAAGCTCTACGTTTAGGAAATTCACTTCTACTTTTTGAGGGGAAGAGTATCAAAGAGTGTGCAGATATATTTTTAAATATCTCTGTGAGATAATAATAATGGGAGAGGTGTAAATTGCAGATTTGACAATTGCTTTGGCATTCCTGCTATCGCAGTGGCCTTATTTTTTGAACTTCCCATGGGACATATGACTTATTCTGAAAATAGAATGGAATATTTTAATTACAGCTTGCCATGCAAAAGCTGGGACTTATGAATGGTTTAGACACTATTGTCCCAGCTGGGGCATAGGTGAGTGAGACGAACAGATGTCTGTTTGGCCATGGGGTGGTATGAAGGTAGGATTCATCATGATTCTATTTCTCTCCCTTCAGCAGCTGGCTGTCACTCGTTATGTGACCTTGGCAAATTATGGAACCATTATGAACTTCAGTTTCCTTGTTTGCATATTGGGATTATCAGTACATCTCTCACAGGGTCAACCCAGATTAAATTAATTAATTCTGTAGAGACACCAGCATGGTGCCTATAGCAATGCAACAGCAATAGCAAGTCACAGTAATGGCTGCGAGGAATGACATCACACATTAATGAATTGTATTCATTACTTAAATTGGGAGATTAAAGTTGGTGATGTTTTCTCCTTTGCAAACTATAATGGTTATGAGGAACTGAGGTTAGAACTATTTAAAATATTTCCTTTTTGTCTTGTTTGACATTTTATCTGAATATTTTAGAGACAATTATGAATTATACTTGCAAATAAGTTGAGGTTTTAAGAATGTTGAAACAATAACAATAAAGCATGAACAAAAGCTGTTCACTCAGGAAACACTGAAAAATACATGTCTCAAATTCAGAGTGGGGTCATGTAAAGGGAGCTTTAAAAATAGTTTCTTCAGGAGCATCCCCAAATTATAATGTCTAAAAAGCAAACACCTTCACTTTGACATTTCTCCTTTTACAAGTTTAATTATTGTTATCAAAAGTCTTTGAAAAACGTGCTTCTACCCCATATTGTGTCTAACCTTTGATATTTGCCTTAATTATCCTCAGAGTACTGATTTCTCAGTGAAGTTGGGATGTTCTTAACATATTTTGACAAACGTAAAGAAGGAAGGCAGGCAGCCTAGTGTGGTGGGAAGAAGCCCAGTACAGACAGACAGAGCTTACTTTTGCCACTAATTGGCCACGATATTTTGGGAAACTCACTTCACCTCTCTGAGCCTTAAGTCTTCATTTGCAAATTGATGAGTCTGGACTAGGCTTCTCCCATTCTCATTCTGTGATTCTGTTTGGTTCTTAGGGTTACCATAGCAACTTCTTCTCTAGCTTTCAGTCTATGAATGGAAGAGAACTAATAAAAATGCGACCATCCTACTCTTAGATTAAACCATATAAGATTGCCATTTTTGTTGATAAAAAAATGATAGAATATCAGAAACTGAATTATTTTAATTTAATATATGTGAGGTTCTGAAGAATAAAATAATTCCTTTCGATTATGTGGTAACATCAGAGAGGCAAGAGTGGATGTTTATTTTCCAAACCTACTATGCAAAATGATTTGCTTGACAAAAATACCTTGCTTTCCTTTAGGCTATATATATTTTAAAGTTTAAAGAATTTACACATGCCATTCTGTCTGGATTTAGGCAAGGGGACAAAGAAACTGGAATGGTGTTTTCCTAATAACATAGGTAATAGTAATAATAATAATACAGATAATGATCATTGGTAACTATTGTTTATTTAGCAATTAGTATTGCCAAGCATTTTACATGCATTGTTATTCGAAGTATTTTACATGCATTATTTGATTTCTTTATGTAATGTTCTTGTGTTGCTCATTGACAGTGATTGCTTTGGGGAAGGATGGATATCAGTTGGAACAAAAAAGCCAATATTCAGCTTTGAGATAAAAAATTGATTAAAAATAAAAATTTCACAGTGAGACAATAGTTTTTAAAAGAAGCCCAGCTTTGAGAGAAGGCGGGAGAGAGAAAGAATATTTCGGTTGTTTTGTTTTGTTTGCTGCCCCCTTCCAAAAAACTTTATATTCCAAAAGCAAAATTTAGGAGTTGGCGCAAAGAGTTTCATTTTAAGAGGCACATTGTCTATGCTTTTAAGAAAGCATAGACAATGTGACATGAGGGCATTTCCTCCCAGGCAGGGAAGGGAAGAAGAATGCCCTTCCTCTTCTGGAAAGGGCAGACCATAACTTGAAGTGGTGAAAGGAAAGAGGTTTGGAGACCATGAAGTGTTTCCTGGACCAGACCCTGAGAAGGAGGACAGATGTGGGACCCAGTCAGGCCGGTTGTGATAAGAAGGTTGGAATTCAACACGCCCGAAGAAGAGTCAGAAAGGAGAGTGCCGCATGCTTCTTTTTGGAATTGTGGCAGGAGACTGCCTCACTGGTGTCCCATGTGGGCCTGGGGGGCTGTGGTGGGGCAAATATACTGGTGGTGCCGGAGGGAGAGAGAACTTGAGAAGACGCCGCTGCTACAGTTCCTCCAGTGAGCAGGAGAACACTTGTTTTAGAAATTTCTGCCTGACCCTGGTGGTGGGAGCGGGGGCAGAGAAGATAGCAGAGGAATGAGTCAATGTGCCTGCTGGGGAGTTATTGCAGCTTACCATGAGGTGGGCCTGTATTGGAGGCTGGAGGATGAACAATCCAAGGCCTTATGTAGTCAGAGCTGGCTTCCTGGGCATGGAACTGCACAACTGCACAAAGCCTACACTTAGAAGGGCCCTTGTGCTTAGCTTAGTGATGATGTGCTGTTGCAGTCTTGAAATCCTTAGTGATTTTCAAGGGCCCTGCATTTTCATTTTGCACTGAGTCTTGCAAATTATATAGCTTGTGCTGCCTAGGGTCATCACCAAGAGGTACTCCTGCTGTGGAATGCTGTAAGGCAGAGGTTGATTCTCCTGGAGTCAGCAGGAGCCAGCAGGAACAGTGCATCATGTTAAATAAACTCACACCAGTGCCCAGATGCTCCCTGCTGTAAGGGAACATGAAGGTGGGAGTGGAAATCCCAAAGACTGATACTTTATCCAAAATGAAATTGACCGAGTTACTTTGAGTAGCAAGTTTAAGTTTAGTTTCTCAACACTGAGTTGGGAAGATGGAGGATTCTCCAGAGAAAGATAAGAGCACTGAGTAAGTAAGGAAACAGGTTTTGTACATTGAGGCAAAGCTAGTGCTCAGCTGGAGCTCAGAAGGATGGTTGCTAAAATGTGACAATTTCTCCCTACCAGTTGGTAGAAAGGCCCAACTGGCTGGTGCCTGCACAAGATTACTCTCTGCTCTCTACCTGCAACTAAACAGATACCTTCTGATTCAGCAGGGGCTTCTGACCTGCCCCAGCAGGTGTGGCCAGATTCTTTTTGCTTGGGCCATAATGACTGCTGTTATAAAATATTTTTCATTTTATTTCTGCATTTAGGTGAGAGTATGTTCAAGTACACGTGCCCCTGCACTTACAATGGTGTTAATTCCAGATAAACCCATCATAAATTGAGAATATTAGATAAAGACAAAAAAATCATGTGTTGAACCATTGTAAGTTGAGGACCATCTGTGCACCTTTCCCACTCACAATTCAACAAACAGGTGGTAATATAATCTCCATTTTATAGATGAGAAAACTGAGGGTGAGAGAGGTGAATTTTTTTTCAAGCTATTAAATGGCAAGGCTGGGAGTCAGACTAAACATTGCCTGACCCCAGTGGCCAAGATCTTAATTGCCTCATGTGTCAGTCCATTTTCATACTGCTATAAGTAACTGCCTAAGACTGGGTAATTTATAAATAAAAAAGGTTTAATTGACTCACGGTTCAGCATGTCTGTAGAGGTCTCAGCAAACTTAATCATGATGGATGGTGAGGGGGAGACAGGAGCCTTCTTCACAAGGCAGCTGGAAGAAGTGCCAAGTGAAGGGGGAAGAGTGCCTTATAAAACCATCAGATCTTGTGAGAACTCACTCACTATCATTAGAACAGCATGAGAGAAACCATCCCCATGGTTCAATTACCTCCACCTAGTTTCTCCCTTGACATGTGGGGATTATGGGGATCCTATTTGGTTCTTAGGGTTACCATAACAACTTCTCCTCTAGCTCTGGGGATTACAATTCAAAATGAGGTTTGGGTGGGGACACAAAGCCTAACCATATTATTCTGCTCCTGGTTCCCCCCAAATCTCATGTCTCTTTCGCATTTCAAACCAATAATGCCTTCCCAACAGTCCCCCAAAGTCTTAATTCATTTCAGCATTAATTCAAAAGTCCAAGTCCAAAGTCTTATCTGAGACAAGGCAAGTCCCTTCCACCTATGAGCCTGTAAAATCAAAAGCAAGTTGGTTACTTCTTAGATACAATGCAGGTACAGGCATTGGGTAAATACACCCATTCCAAATGGGAGAAATTGGCCAAAACAAAGGGGCTACAGGCCCCATGCAGGTCCAAAATCCAGTGGGGCAGTCAAATCTTAAAGCTCTGAAATGGTTTCCTTTGACTCCATGTCTCGCATCCAGGTCATGCTGATGCAAGAGGTGGGTTCCCATGGTCTTTGGCAGCTCCATTCCTGTGGCTCTGCAGGGTTCAGTCCCCCTCCTGGTTGCTTTCATGGGCTGGCATTGAGTGGCTGTGGCTTTTCCAGGCACATGGTGCAAGCTGTTGGTGGATCTACCATTCTTGGGTCTGGAGGATAGGGGCCCTCTCCTTACAGATTATTAAGTAGTGCCCCAGTGGGGACCCTGTGTGGGGGCTTCCATCCCACATTTCCCTTTCTCACTTCTGTAGTAGAGGTTCTCCATGAGGGCTCAGCTCCTGCAGCAAACTTCTGCCTGGACATCCACACATTTTCATACATCCTCTGAAATCTAGGCAGAGGTTCCCAAACTTCAATTCTTGACTTCTGTGCACCCACAGGCCCAACACATGTAAGCTACCAAGACTTGGGGCTTGTACTCTCTGAAGCAACACCCTGAGCTGTATGTTGGCCCCTTTTAGCCATGACTGGGATGCAGAGCACCAACTCCCGAGACTGTACAAAACAGCAAGGCCCTGGGCCTGGCCCACAAAAACATTTTGTCCTCCTAGGACTCTGAGCCTGTGATGGGAAGGGCTGCCATGAGGACCTCTGACATGCCCTGGAGACATTTTCCCCATTGTCTTGGTGATTAACATTTGGCTCCTTATTACTTATACAAATTTCTGCAGCCAGCTTGAATTTCTGCCCAGAAAATGTTTTTTTTTTTCTATTGCATAGTCAGGATGCACATTTTCCAAGCTCATGCTCTGCTTTCCTTTTAAACATAAGTTTTAAATTCAGATAATTTCTCTCAAGTTCAAAGTCCCATAGATCTCTAGGACCCTAGGGCAGGGGCAAAAGGCTGCTAGTCTCTTTGCTAAAGCATAGCAAGGGTGGCCTTTGCTCCTGTTTCCAAGAAGTTCCTCATCTCCATCTGAGACCACCTCAGCCTGGACTTCGTTGTCCACATCATTATTAGCATTTTGGTCAAAGCCATTCAACAAGTCTCTAGGAAGCTCCAAATTTTCTCACATCTTCCTGTCTTCTTCCAAACCCTCCAAACTGTTCCAATCTTTGCCTGTTACCCAGTTCCAAAGTTGCTTCCACATTTTCAAGTATCTTTATAGCAGTACCCCACTCTTGGCAGTACCAATTTACTGTATTAGTCAATTTTCATACTGCTATAAAGGACTGGCTGAAACTGAGTAATTTATAAATGAAAGAGGTTTAACTGACTCACAGTTCAGCATGGCTGGAGAGACCTCAGGAAACTTAATCATAGCAGAAGGAGATGGGGAGGCAGGCACCTTCTTTACAAGGCAGCAGGAAGAAGTGCCAAGCAAAGGGGGAATAGCTCCTTATGAAACCATCAGATCTCATGATACTCACTCACTATCATGAGAACAGCATGGGGGAAACCACCCCCATGTTTCAGTTACCTCCACCTGGTCTCTCCCTTGACACATGGGGATTACAGGGATTATGGGGATTACAATTCAAGATGAGGTTTGGGTGGGGACACAAAGTGTTACCATTATCACCCCATTTTTTTGCCCACCTAATCTTCCCAACTTAATCCACTACTTCATAGCTTTGAAGTAAACATCTGGGTTGAAAAAAATAGGAGAATGGAGGATTTGGGGGATGTATTAGTTTCCTATGGCTGCCATAACAAATAACTACAAATTTGTTGTCTTAAAACAACATAAATTATTTTTGCACAATTCTGGAGACCCATATTCTGAAATCAAGGTGTCAGCAGGGCCACGATCCCTGGAGACTCTAGGGAGAATCTGTTTCATGACTTGCTCCTTGCTCCTGGTGGCTGGCAGTCATCCTTGGCATTCTTTGTCTTGTGGCTGTATCATTCCAATCTCTGCCTCTGTCTTCACCTCACCTTCTTCTCTGTGTCATTAGTCACTGGTGGTAATCAAGGAATCTAGTCTCATCTCAAATTCTTCATTTGATTACATCTGCAATGAAAGACCCTTTTTTCAAATAATATAACATGCATAGATTCCAGGGATTAGGACATGGACATATCTCTGGGGAGCTACCATTCAGCCCACTATAGCAGGAGAAGAAGGTGGAAGCCCAACTTGGCAGTGGTTTCCAATCCTTTCAAATAAGGAGAGTTGATGAAAATTGGAGGCAAGATTCTCTTTTCTCAATTTTCCTCCAGCACTGGTATTCCACACTCCTCAACTGGGGTTATAATGATTCTTACAAAGAAAGATGTAACAAAAGCTTGTCAGACACTTATGATAGAGATTGTAATTAGCAGTCAGGGTATTTTCTAACTGTAACCTCAGTTGAACCACACAGGATCTCAATTCTGGGAAGCTTTTAAAAACTACAAGTGTGAGGCTCACTGCAAATTAATTACATCACAACAGGGAGTGGCAGGGCAAACTTACAGCTTTAAAAAGAATGCCAGGTGATTTAAAGGTGTGGCCAGGTGGAGAACCATTGATGAAAAGGGGTAGACCTATTGTTAAGTTCCCCTTTTAAGTCAGGGAGGGAAGTGCTTGACCAGAGTGTTAACACTGGACCAGTGCCCCTTTGCTGCTGCCCACACAAAGTATCCATCTGGTGGTTTCTCCACCTGGCTCCCTCCCTCACTGCTTTAGTCCACCTTGTGAGCAAACAAGGTTTTTCCTTCATGATGCTTTTCCTCCCCACTGCCCCATATATATTGGGCAGTTGACTTCTGCACAGGGAATAAAAAATAAGTTATTTACGAAAGTTGTCTATTCCATAAGATTATTCAAGATTGTCAAATTATAACCAACTTTAATTTAAATTCAAGATTTCGAGACTTTTAGAAGTTTTTGGTGAATTTGGCCAAAACAGAAGAGTCTGGCTGTCCCATCTCTGTATCTTTCAGGATCCTCTTAATGATTTGGATAACATTCTGTTTTCCTTTTATGCCCATATAAGGAAGAATAATGACAAATTTTGTAAAATGGTGTGAATCAGGATCTGAAACAGATGTAAAAATAAAAATAGATAGTATAGTAGCCTGATATAGGGATGTAGGAGTGGTCTTATTATTATTATTATTTTTGGCTCCTTGAGATGGAGAGGAACATTTAGCCATGTGCTCATCTTATAGTTGTAAATAACCATCGTCAGCTTCCTCATACTTCATATTTAGTATGATTGATGAATTAAATATAGGCAGAGAAAGACATTTTTCAGGATAATGTAAAATCAGCATAATCTATAGTCTTCTTTCCTGGGGCATTTTGTTGCCTTCTTTAGCAATGAATTTTCTTTTACCTGTACCCAGAGTCTAGGTTCCATCACCTGCAGGTCTGTGCAGTGGCTTCCTTTTAGGCATGGCCTACTCAGATGAATCTTAAGTGAATCAAATATCTTGGAATAAAAAAAGAGTACATATTCCCCTCCTTTTCTTTTTCATTAGATGATTAAAAATAAATTCTGGCCAGGCGTGGTGGCTCATGCCTGTAATCCCAGCACTTTGGGAGGCTGAGGCGGGTGGATCACGAGGTCAAGAGATCGAGATCATCCTGGCCAACATGGTGAAACCCCGTCTCTACTAAAAATACAAAAATTAGCTGGACGTGGTGGCGTGCATCTGTAGTCCCTGCTACCCAGGAGGCTGAGGCCGGAGAATCACTTGAACCCGGGAGGGAGAGGTTGCAGTGAGTCGAGATTGTGCCACTGCACTCCAGCCTGGCGACAGAGCGAGACTCTGTCTCAAAAAGAAAAAAAAAATTCCACTGGGATAGTTTTTGACGGTCTATAGAATTGCACAGTAAGTTTTAGAATTAAGTTTTCAATCCCCAATTGTTTTAGAATTAAGGATTGAATGCTCTTTAGAAAACTGATATCTTCTACATTCCCCAAGCCCTCCACTTTTATAGTTTTTTGTCCTGAAATAATAGGATACATAAAATGTCCCCTTTATACTTCTTTTGTCACCCGTCTCCACTGGGGCATATATAAAACAAAACCCAACTGGAAAGGTGGTCCCTAGTGTGGAAGCACACTTGTGAGTAATCTAAGTTGCAAGGTATTTTCTCTTCTGATTTTAATATCTTAATTTGCATAGAATATACATTTCTCTCACTATGGGTTACATTATATTGCACTATGAAATTGCTGTTTTTGTAGGTGAGAAGTTTCATATGGTTCAACCTAATATATGATATTAAACATTTGAAAATTGAGGAACTGTGAAAGTTTATTTCAACATCAGGACAAGCCTTGATATATCTCATGGCAATGCATAGTCACTGGTTTTGGTTACTTGACTAAGGCACAAATAATTGAGAATTGATATTAATCTTATATTTTGCTTTAAAAATATATAGGCTTATAATAATTCAGATGGGCCCATCACCTGTTTGGTGTGTGCAAATTCCAAAAAACTCGGCTGAGAGATTACTGGTTTGAGAATATTTATTCATCCATTCAACATTATTCGTTGTGAAGCTATGTCATGCCACACATTGTGCTAAGTGCTGGAAATAAAATGGTGAAAAAGAGAGTTGTAGTCCCTACTCTCTTAGAAATTACATGCTTTTGGTGAAGACAGGGAAAAACAAAACCAAACGTAAAGAGGCAAATAAATAAAATAATTATAGATTGTTATAAACATGGTAAGGGCTTAAAAAAAGACTAATTGACATGACAGGGAGATGTACTTTAGATAGGACTGAGACCATCTTGCTCATTGCTGGGCAGAAAAACTGAAAATTCTGTAATGGCTATAGGGAGCTCTATTAGGGAGAGTTTTTCCAGAGAAACAGTACCAACATTGTGTGTGTGTGTGTGTTTGTGTGTGTGTGTGTGGTTGTGTGTAGAGAGAGTTTAAGGAATTAGCTTACATGATCATGGAAGCTGGCAAGTGTTAAATCTGCAAGTTGAGCTGATAGACTGGAGATCCAGGGAACAGCCAATTTTGCGCTTGCAGTCTGAAGACTGTCTGCTGCACAATTCCTTCTTGTTTGTGGGAGGTCAGTTTTTGTACCATTAAGGCCTTCAGTGAACTGGATGAGGCCCACCTACATTATGGAGGGCAATCTGCTTTGCATAGAGTACACTGATTTAATTATTAATCTCATCTACAATAATATTCTCACAGAAACATCCAGACTAACATTTGACCAAATATCTGGGCACCATGGCTTAGCCACACTGATGCATAAAATTAATCATCATAGAATCTTACCTTTCATCTATCTGTATTTGTGTTTTTGTTTCCTTCAGTATATTATGGTGGGGAGGTTGGGAAAAGAAAATCTTCACTAAAAAAACTTATTATGGAAACGTTCAAACATACAAGAAAGTGGAGAGAAAATCATATAATGAACCCCATATATCTATCACACAGCTTCAACAATTATTAACAAAGACAATTCATTTCCAAATGATACTCTCTCGTCTCCATTTTCTTGTTTCCCTGGCTCAGAGAACATTCCTTTAAAATCTCCATCCTGTACTGTTTGTTTTCTTGCAACTTAGACACGGGTTATTGTCCCCTGCTTGAGAATTTGACCCAGCAAATGAACATGTTACACAGCCAGCTGATTGCTGGAGATGGAGGCATTAGGTTCGAGGTTGGGAGGGAACTAGAAGTCATTTGACAGACCTGTGCACGTTTACAGTTGGAATATGAGCAGCCCTGCTTTCTGAGTTATTTACATAAGGGTGCATGGTGAGTTTCCTTAGAAACAGATTCTTCTTGGGGCATTTGAGCTTCCTCTGTGATGCTAGGATGGTAATAAAAACAAATCTGAAGCTCTCTGTAAGTATGAATTGCTGTGGAAATGTTTAACACCTAAGTTTGAGAGCTCCCTAAACATACATCACTATTTCAAAAGCTGCAGAAGATTTCCTTCATGCTTTTTCACTTTACCAATGACTGTGTAACATATGGATATATATATATTTAACATATATAGCTCTGAGTCTTATTTTTAGTAGAAGCTCTGGAGCCATTCTATGTTTGAAATAGTCATAGCATGGAATTTTATGACTGAGAATTCTAGGCAGCCCTCAGTAAACCTTGGTAGTCCACATAGAAACACTCAGTAAATGCTTTTTGCCTGGTTGATAGTTCTTCCTTCAGTCTTGCAGCATGGGTGTATTAGTCCGTTTTCACACTGTTGATAAAGATATACCTGAGACTGGGTAATTTATAAAGAAAAAGAAGTTTAATGGACTCAGAGTTCCATGTGACTGGGGAGGCCTCACAATCATGGTGGAAGGTGAAAGGCACGTCTTACATGGCAGCAGGCAAGATAGAGAGAATGAGAGCCAAATGAAAGGGATTTCCCCTTATAAAACCATCATATCTCATGAGACTTATTCACTACCACAAGAACAGTATGGGGGAAACTGCCCCCAAGATTCAATTATCTCCCACCAGGTCCCTCCCATAACACGTGGGAATTATGGGAGCTACAGTTCAAGAAGAGATTTGGGTGGGGACATAGCCAAACCATATCAGTGGGTCTCCAGGATGATCTCAGGCAGCATGAAATGCACATCTTCTTGCTGGAGACAGTAAAACTATCTCCCCCTACTTTATGGGAAGTTTTGAAGGATTTTTGACGTAGTGGAGATAAATATGTCATTTTCAATTATAGATGAGGCAATTTTTTGTAAGTTTAAAGCTTGTGTGCTTGTCTGCACATGCTAAAAACTGGCATCATTAACAACAGCTCTTCTCTGGATGTCGTCTTCCAGAGAAATCTCTCTCCAAGATACATCCTGTCTGGAGGATACCACAGGTGGTAAAAGTTGCATTTATCAGAGGACTATTGGGGTTTTGTGCTTCTCTTGTCAGCAAGATCCTAATATTTATTACACTTTAAAGAGATATATGCCTTAAATTAAAATCAGAATTAGTTGATAGGTGGGAAGCAAGGAAAAGAAATATTTGTGTTGTTTGAACAGAATGAATTAGTAGAGGTGACTGTTTCTGCATTGAAGTGGGTGTCTACGAGTTTATATGCTTAACTAGCTATTTGAGTGATCAGTTTTAAACTAGTTTTTGGAGTAATAGGTTTAAAATTTCATTATTTTTCTTAGCCTGACAGATTAAAGTAAAAGAAAGAGCATGTCTGTGTTTATACACTTCCATTAAAAATATATGTGTTCCTCTAAAGCCTACTTAAGGAGCAAATACCTTATTCATAAAAGCTCTCATAATAATGGCAAGCTTGTGTTATTTTGGGCACTTTGAGGTTTAATGAAAAGATGACAGGTATTATTTGAAGTGTGTGAATTTAGAAATTTGAAAAACATTTTGAATCTTATTTTCTTATAGTTTTTCTACTCTGGATCTCCTAAACAGTTCTTGATACTTTTGAACAAATAATTTCAGGTTTTTTTTGTTTCTGTTTTTGTTTTTAGAGATAGGATCTTTCTATATCATCCAGGCTGGAGTGCAGTGGTGTGATCATAGCTCACTGTGATCTCAACTTATTGGGCTCAAGCAATCCTTCAGCCTCAGTTTCCTAAGTAGCTTGGACTTCAGTTGCAAGCTACCACACCAAGTTAATTTTTCTATTTTTTCTAGAGATGGGGGGTCTCACTATGTTGCCTAGGCTGGTCTCGAATTCCTGGCCTCAAGGAGTCCTCCTACGTTGGCCACTCAAAGTCCAGGGTTAACAGGTGTGAGCTACTGCTCCTGGCTTAATGTCAGCTTTATTGAATGAAATTGCTATGTGATTAAAAACTGCTTATCTTTTTTGTTTTTCCCCAGTAAGCATTGACTACAGAGTGGTAATTTATAGTTGCCACTCCACAAAAGTGCAGAACATTTGATGGGAACAGGGTGATGAAGAGAACCTACTTTTAGGGCATAAACCCTTTGAATGTTTCTTTTCAAAATTATCTTGAAGCAAAATCCAAATCATAGCATTACAAGACATTACAGAAAGTATGGTGAAGCTTTCAATATTTTACCTTGACTGTTTAACAGAAAGGTTTTTTAAAGGTTTGCATTTGATCTTCCCAAATGCCTCCACCCCTTCTGCCCCTAAACAATTAATGCCTATTAAAGCTATACTCAGTGCTTCTTTAGTCTATGTTGGAAAGATGTCAGAGTCCTTTTAAATTTTTATTTTTCCTATTGTTTGTTTTTGTGGTTGAAGACCTAACTGGTATTAATTTTAATAACATTTTAGGGCAAGAATTCCATTTAGAATTTCTCCAAAGAAGCTGAAATGAATCAAATGTGTATTTTATGTGGGACTGTGCTTAGAAATAGAAGCCAATGTGAAATGTCATTTTCCTATCACTTGGAAGATTTTCCTTTCCATTAGCTGCTCTATTGCAGGACTCATATTTATATTAAAATTCTTTTTGGAATGAAATTTTAGTATTTTGCTATCAGAAAGTAGAATCTTATTCATTATGGGTGATGGTAGTAAATTTTAGTTGAATATAAACTGAGCTATGCTAACAGAAGACTGCAAGGTATTTGCTGTTCCTCAGTAAGTAAGATTCCATGTCTTTTAGTGAGAAATTGGAAGGATTCAAGGAGAAAGAGAAGGAAAAAGCAACAGACAGGCATTGTTGGCTTAAAATAGAAATATAACTAGCATTTTGGTTTAACTGAATAGATACAATCTGTATAACTATATATAATGCTATAAAATAGGTCACACATGTATGTAGAATTAGTTAAGAACATTTGGCTCCACTATCATGCCTAGAAAACAGTGCTTCCCAGTTCTTATGTGAAATTCCCTGCCAGTAGAAAGGGAAATGTAAAAGGAGTGTTTTCAAATATTCTTTGATTGGGGTCACTTTGGCTCGGTAGACCTGAGAGACATCATGTACCACTCATGTAACCTACTTATGTTTGCAACCACAAAGATCCCATTAAGGCTGCTGTTTTTGATGGGATCCCAAGAGGATCTGATTATTAATGTTTGCCAGACACAGAAGCATTGAGAATGTCATATTATTAGCATTACTATTCTAACAGCCCAGTCATCAAGGACCCTAGGAGACCTCATTTTGATAACCACTAATGAAGAAGATAAAATGTGTAGCAATAGTCACTTCAGTAATGAACAATTTTACTACCTGTTTAGTTTGAAGCTTGTGTAAACAAATGAGGAGAGAATATAAGGAAAATATCAAACAGTTGTTAGCACTGATTTAGATAGAGACTTTCAATTTATGAATGCTGATGTGTTCATTCACAGGAGGGGGCCAGTATAAATAAGAATGTGAGTCTGTGCCCTAGGATTTAGAAGAAACATTTGCAATGAATTAGTAATTTGTGGTGGAATGGTTTTCTGCCTATCAATAAAACTTTCATCAGATGAAAGATTTATATTTTCCTCATCCCAGAGTGGGGACCAGATTAAAACCTGTTGTGTAATTGTTGGTTGTAGGGTATCTTTCAGAGACAGACCAATTTCAGCAGTCTGCGCTCTTCATAGAAGTGAAACTGGGAAATAGAGATCCTTTTAAGACTCTGAAAAAGGTATGAAGATGATCTCCTGGAAAAACCTCATTCATTTGACATTTTGCAAATAGTTTAAAATTTATAAAAACTATCCCTAGATTTTTTAGGAGGTTGACCTCCTGATTAAGCAGATCTAATTTATGGAGGCCAGTCTCAATTGAGTTCAAATTTATTTGATATAAATATTTCTTGAGTGACTTCTATGTGCTAGATATGGCTGCTAGATGCTACAATTTGTGATATGTCTATATCATAGTTATGTTTGAAACAAAATGAATTATATGTGTATTGGCTACCAACAGTAGTAACAAGTCCAATGGAGGTGGCTAAGGGGAGCTCCCCAAGATCCTGCTTTAGAATGTTATCTTCAGAGAACACTGACAACTTACCAAGTGTAATTCTATCATTTGCAGGTGAAAAAATGGAAGTCCAGGATATTAAACATATTTTTTGAGTTCATAAATAGTACAGCGGTGGAACTGGCTCATGGTGCCTGATACCTATTTTAGTGTCATTCCACTGTCTCTCCTAATCTCTTAATGAAAAAAAAATAAAAGTAATTATAAGGTAAACAGACCCCTGATTATTATTGTTATTTATTAAGTTGTTTAACCAGCTAAACAACTTTTTTTAATATAGAAAATACAGAAGTAAGCTTTAGCGTAGCTCCTATCAAAAGACTAATAAATGCCAAATTTATGATGTCTGAATTAATACAATTTATAGACATTCTCATTCTGATGGAGAATACTGGATATTTTGTCTTGAAATGTAAAGGATTGAATATTATTATTAGAACAGGTACTTTTTTATTTTTTATTTAAAAAATTTATATATATATATATTTTTATTATACTTTAAGTTCTAGGGTACATGTGCACAACATGCAGGTTTGTTACATATGTATACATGTGCCATGTTGGTGTGCTGCACCCATTAACTCGTCATTTACATTAGGTATATCTCCTAATGGTATTCCTGCCTCCTCCCCCCACCCCACAACAGGCCCCGGTGTGTGATGTTCCCCTTCTTGTGTCCAAGTGTTCTCATTAGAACAGATACTTTCATAGATTTGAATGTGGGAAAAGTTATTGAGGCCCTAATTGAAAATCTAGTTTTTAAAATATTAAATCATTTAAAATGATAAACATAAAAGACTGTAGAAACATGCAAAATGTGTTAAAATGTTAACTGAAAGAAGCAGTATGTAATATTTGTGTATGTGTATATATGTGGAGCTGTGTATTCAAATATTCAAAAATATTGATGGCCTATTCTATGGTAGTCAGTTACTCTGCTTGGTGCTGACAACATGGCAAAGACAACAATTAACCTACTCTGTGATCTCATAGAAAGTCTTGTTTAGTGAGACAGATGGGTATTAAAAGAAATAATGTTATAGGTCATCAATAAGCTACAATTATAGTAAGTGTTAATAAGAAATAAGGGGTGTTATGGGAGAATATTTCAGCGACATCATTTAGTGTGGATTATGGCGGGGGGAAAACATTCTGAAAAGTGAAGTGTAACCTGGGACCTGAAAGGAGATGGATGGGCACTGTCAGGGTCAGGGAGCCTGAAGGGAGAAGAGCTTTCTTAGCCTGTGAGAGGAGCCTGAGCAACTAAAAGGAGGAGGTGAGATGCCCCAGCCTGGAGAGCAAATAGCACTTAAAGACAAGATGGAACCAACCAGGGATGGCCTTCTGAGTCTTGTGAATTTTGAACTTTGCCATAAGTGCAATGGGAAGCCATTTTAAACACTGAATGACGTGATCAAATATGCACCTTAGAAAGATCATGAAGTTCATTTTGTGGAAATGAGGTAGGAGTGAATGCAGTGGGGTCATTTAAGAGACTGTTGAAGTGGTTCAGTTAGGAAATAATGGTGACTTGGACTCAAGTATTACCTGTTTAGGTGGCAGAAGGCCATAGAGTTTAGAGTTATTTAGATGAAAGAATGGGTAGGCCTTGGTAAGCAATTCTAAAGGAGAAAGAGTTGTCAAAGGTAATTATTAGTTTCCTATATAACCCGATGATAACTGTGCAAATTACAAGGAAAACGATAGAAGAAATGTGCAAAAATAATTGGAGTTGTGTTATGGTGGAGGGATTAGGAATGATTTTTTTCCTTTTTTTTTTTTTTACCACATTTTTATAAGGCTGATATTACTTTTATAATTAGTATAAAAAACTTTAACAAACACTGAATGATTGCTGATATTTAGAATATTTTAAAATCTATCTCAAGAGGGTTACAGTGACCTTAGTTCCATCATTTTTGGCCTACTTTTGAGCCTAGTGCCTTTTCAAGTGATACAAATGATGTTTCCATCTGTGCTTTGGGGACAAAAATCAGTAATCTGCTGTATCTTATAGTCTGGATGTAATTCCTATTGTGTCTGCATTTTGCCTTCTTCAATTTTATTACATTTCCTCCTAATTATATTGCTTCATACTGTGGATGTTATTTGAGATTTCAGAATCTCCTCTACTGGGGGCCAGTAGATGTGCGCCCATGGCCCTGGAGCACAGATGCCCTTTTGGAAAAGGTCTGTAGTGATTGCTTTAGATTGGATGACAATAAGATTCTTCCTCATTTTGGTTGGGGTTTTAAAAAGGCAAGTATAGTCTAATAGAATTCATTCTTTTTTCATAAAAATTTTATTATGTGTGTATCTGAAAATGGATTTCTGTGCGAGAGCAGTGATAGTCTCTTTAAAAATATTGTGTCATTAAAGCCATGTTAAATAGTCCCCCTGGAGATGCTGAAGACCTTATGTGTTTATATAACCACTGAGTATTTGCGGAACATGTTTAAATCTCTGCCTTGGATAGAATAAATACTCACAAATACTCAATGGGCTTATGAAATTTAAGGAATACTTACAATGTGCTGTTGCTATAATGTTATAAACCTTGAGCAATGTACAACTTTTATTGAGCCAGTCCTAGTTTGTTTGAGATCATCATGCTCCAGAGCTATTTGTTGGGTAGAGTTTAAAAATATATTTAAATATAACCCTCACTTGACTTAAGCAGAAGTTTATAATTTTTTTAAACTTTATTACACTTATTTTCAAAAGTAACTGTGACATTTTACATTTTTTGAAGAGTTCCATTAGTGAAACAGGCAACTGTGTTGTACTAGAAACAGTGAGAATAAACTTCAGAGCCAGACAAAACTGGATTTGAACCCCACACTTGTCACTTACTAGGAAAATCACTTTACCTTTTTTTATTTCTAGTTTCTTCACTATCTAATCGCATTTTTTTTTTAAAGATTTGGAGTAATGGTTAAAGTAAGAATTTGGAATTCAACAAAGGATTCCGTTCCTTTGTTGAAATACCAGATCCACCTGTATTACACATATAAACCTGGGGCAAGTCACCTACCCTTTCTGAGCCTCAGTTTTTTTCAACTGTAAAATGGGAAGGCCAATATCTTCCACAAAAGTTTTTATTCATATAAGTTGTCAAAAAGCATTATATACTATATAGTGTTTGGAAAATGCTTGATATAATGATAGTACCATTTTTTCCGTGGTATTAGCTCATTAGGGAAAGATGATAGGAGTTTAATGTATTTTTACCTTTTGAAATATGATGAATTTGGGATTAATATTGAATACCTGATGTTGAGTGCCTGTTAATACTGGGCTCTGTTATAGCTGCTTTAAAAACATTGTCTGTGTAATCCCAGCACTTGGGAGGTTGAGGCGGGTGGATAAACTGAGGTCAGGAGTTTGAGACCAGCCTGGCCAACATGGCGAAACCCCGTTTCTACTAAAAGTACAAAAATTAGCCAGGCCTGATGGCAGAAGCCTGTAATCCCAGCTACTTGGGAGGCTGAGGCAGGAGAATCGCTCGAACCTGGAAGGTGGTTGTTGCAGTGAGCCGAGATCATGCCACTGCACTCCAGCCTGGGCAACAGAGCAAGACTCCACCTCAAAAACAAAACAAAAACAACAACAACAAAAAATTGTCTAATTTGATTTCCATGGTGAGTTGCAAGAGTAGTGATTTTCCTGAGATCTTACTAGGATCTCATTCTCCTAGATGAGAACATTTAGATGCACTCAGCTAGTATGATTTGCCTTGTGCCATGGAGTAAGTGAGAAGCAGATCCAAGACAGCCTTGTTTTGTATGATTCTAAAGCTATTAATATTTCTTTCCTTTGTATTGTCTCATTTTTCTGTGTCTAATGATGAAAGCATATTTTGATTATAGGGCAGCTTCACATTTCATTTTATATTAACTGCCTCCCTGAAGTCCAGTGTAAAAAGGCCTGTTGGATTGCTCATGCCCCGGCAGTGACAATATGGCTGTACTGTATCCGTATTTTTGCCAGAAAGAGTCCTGAGTAGTCCCTTTTTATATTTGTTGAGATGCCAACGTTTAGAACACATTTTGGACAAATGCTGTAGAAGATATTTCATTTCAATGACACATATTCCAACCCACATAAGAAATTTGCTCTTAACGGAAAACACCTGTAGACTCCTTTGAATCATGTTAAAGATGAGTTGCAGCCTATTTTATAGTTCTTATTTTGACTCCATGCATTATTCATCTTCCTAAGCTTTCTTATTTATACCAGGTCTATGCAAAATGTCTTTCTCCAAAAGGCATGATAATTGTCATAAAAATAATTAGCTTTATGACTACTCTAGTAAGTCAATAAGAAATAACCAACGTTTTATAGGTGACACAAGAAAGTTAACTGAAAGCTATGAGAAGACACTTGAAATAAACCCATGGTTCTTGACTTTTGCTTGTGACTAACCTATGAGTCTTGGTGAAGAATGAGAAGAGTATATTTTTCCAAGTGATTTCTCCTTCAAGAAATGATGAACATCAGCACACTTTAGTAGATGAACTTGTATACAATTTTGATTTGATGTTTGGTTACCTGGGGACCATATTATTGGAAACATGTTCTTGTCTTTCAGAATGTGTCTGACTTTCTCCAGGAGTTAGTTGATAATCCTTTGAAAATCACACAGGCATACAGGCTTCTGCTTTAGCTTTCACCAAAATAACAGATTTTTAAAGCACAGCTTCTAGAATCTGGTATTTCTTCTTAGGTCGTAACTGTCCCCCAACCCTGCAAGCAACCCCATCAGATAGAAAATGGGGTTGGAAAGATTTAACTAACAACCCTTAAAGGACTATGAGCATTGTTATTCTGGGATGGAATACCTCTTCTCTGTTCACAGTTAGCTTTGGTGAGAACAATCAAAATATTTGATAAAACATATGGCTCAGGAATTTGACAGTTTTTCTTTCTACAGAAACACAACTCTTTAATATTTACTGCTTAGTCATTTCCTATGTACAAAATGATCTTAATTAAAATAGAATTCCAATTAAACCAAGATTTTAAAAAAGTAGCCTTTAAGAATATATTTATTTATGGCTTTTTAAAATCTTTATCAATTGCTACTAATTCTTTCTTAGATTGTCAGTTTATTCTGAGTACTTCAATACTTTGTAAATCTTCCCAGGTCATGTTTGTGATAGAAGCTTGTATGGTAAACACACACACACACATACACACACACCATCTTTTTTTGTTGTCTCATTTTATACTTCCATAGTGATGAGATATCATGAACCATTTCAATTGTAATAATGGGCCTTCTCAGATATGACAAGACCTTAAATGTATTTTTCCTTCTAATCCAGGGAACTGGACTTTTTTTCTGTTTTTCATTTGTGTGTGTGTGTGTGTGTGTGTGTGTGTGTGTTTTCTAAAACACCAGAAGCTACTTTGTCTTCTTGTTAGCTGTAAGAAAGCCACCAAAGAAGTAGGATACAGTATATATCTGGCATTATTATCCTTGGTGTGCTCTACCAATCAAGTTGAAATTTACCTAAGCCCCAAAGATATCTCCATGGTTACCCTGCCAGTGCTGGGCCTCTTTGGCTTTAGGCTGATTTAGCATAAAATGAAAGATCTCTGGCGTTGCTAACTAGGTAGTTTTTCAGATTCTAGCTGTAGGTTTCATTTCTTTTTGAGTATTTTAGAATATAGCAACTGGACACTCTTTTATATAAAGACTGAGATTTGGCTTCTTTCCAATTATTCTGGGATCATCTCACAATGGTTATTGACAAAAAAGTACAGAACTATTCCATGAAAAGGCATCTTGCTTCTGGTTGTATCCGTCCTCAATATTACAATGTTCTGTGGCACACAATGGCAAATTCTTGGATTTAAGAGCAGAAAGGGTGTTAAAAGTCATCTAGTGCGTTAATGCCACTTTAGAGATGAATAAATAGAAAGGAATCAGGTTTACTTAGCTTTAAATGTTTTCACTAATAACTTTGTTCGTTCATTCATTCATTCATTCATTCATTCATTCATTCATTCATGGAACATGGAGAGCCCCTGCCCTGTGTGGATTCTGGAGCTACAAAGTATAAGCACAGCCCTAGCACTTGTGGACTCCCAGTCCATTGGAAGAGGAAGACTGACAAATATCCATTATACCGAGGGAAACGTTATATCATAAAGGCACATTCAAAACACTCTGAGGCCACACCTTTGATTGTAGATGAAGAGTTGACAGAGGAAGCAATAAACATTTCCTCATAAAAAATGAGTATCGGGCAGTTTAGGGAGAGAAGTCATCCTGGGCAAAACAAACAGAAGTCAGGAAAGAGCACAGTCACTTTGGAAAATGCTTAGTGTGTCAGTGAGACTGGCACATAGGACTTTACAGCGAGGAGTGGTAAGGAAAGGCTGAGTTCTCATGGCGCGGCAGCATTATTGCGGACAGCTCAGACAGCTAGGTATTCAGTGAGGACAAAAGGCGGGAGCTCCGTGAGTTGCTGTTGTCCTGAAATTAGTTCCAAGCTGGTTGATAAATAGCCACCGATCTGAAGCCCCTTCCAGTGTCCTTTTGTACCTCTAGACCTCCTCAGACCCAGTGATACAGCAATTAAAGTGTTTACACTTTGCAGGAAGCCTTTAGGATCCCCCCAGCACTAAGCCCAGTTGGATGGTGCTGATAATTATTATTATTGTTTTTTTGAGCACTTCTCCTCTTGTATGCCACAGTACAGAATTTGAACTTTATCCTATAGGGTGGGGCTTGGAAATTCAAATGCATCCAGGGGTCGGGCAGGCTACATAGAAATGAGTGAAGCGAGTGGATTGTAAACAACAGGGAGAGGTGAAGATTATATAGAGTTGGAAACATTCAAATTAATTTTTAAAAAACGCTATATCAACAAACATAAATGAGTAGTGATTTTGACAGCACCAGTGCTCAAACTTTGCAGTTTAAGTAACAGGGAATCATAATGGCTTTTTTTCTTTAAAACTAGGAGAATGATCAAAATTCATTTTTTACAAAATTTGCCATTTTGATGAACTGTCAATTTTTGTAAAAAATGAATTTTTTCATTTTCGTTTTGATGAACAGAGATTATAGAAACCAAGGGGATATGAGGCCAAGAATATGAGCTGTACTAATTTGAAGATTTGGACAAGAAGATGCTGGCTCAAATTCAGAGATTTTGGGTTGCATATGAAAACAAAGTTTTCTACCAAACATCACATATGCTCACTCAAAAGTGGGAGTTGAACAGTGAGAACACATGGACACAGGAAGGGGAACATCACACACCGGGGCCTGTGGGGGTGTGGGGGGCAAGGGGAGGGAGAGCATTAGGACAAATACCTAATGCATGTGGGGCTTAAAACCTAGATCCAGATTGATGGGTGCAGCAAATCACCATGGCACATGTATACCTATGTAACAAACCTGCACGTCTGCACATGTATCCCAGAACTGAAATAAAAAAAATTAAAAAATTCAGAACAACAACAACAAAAAACTCAAAGTTTTTTTGTGTGTAATAGAATGATGGAAGAATTATTAAGGAAAACATGTCATTTCTGGCTTAAAAAGTTTAAGGTACCAAAAAGATGGCCGTGGGAGCTAAAGCCACTGGAATCTCAGAGAGAACCTTGTAAATCTGTGACGCACTGAAGCTTAGTAACTTACACAAAATATTTGCAGAGAAAAAAAAAACCCGAAAAACTTTGAGTGGCGAAATGGGATGTAACAAATGGCAAAAGGATCTTTACTGTTGTTACTATGCAGGGAACTTATGTGATAACATTGTTTAACATCTTTTTAACAGTTCTGGATAGAATTTATCCATCAACTTAACCAATTTACTGAGTACATAATATATGCTAGGTGTTGTTTTTTGCATGATTTTTAATAGGATTTGTTATTGAGAATTCACTATGTGCTCAGCACACTTCTAGGCAATGGGGATAAAATAGAGAACTAAACAGACAATCCCTGCCATCCAGGGAGCCTCCATTCTAGAGCAGGAGACAGGTGTAAACCTCATATAAAATCAGGTTATGGTGAGCAAACAGAATGAATTGAGTCTGGGTAAGAAGAGCATATGAAGCGAACTAGGTATGTAGTATGTGAGGGAACTAGGGTGTGGGGAATGAGATAACTGTACAAAATATGATGAAAGAGAATCTTTGGAGACCAAAAGCTAACGGAGTTTGGAATGGAAGAAGGTAGTGTTGAAGAGAGAAATTCACAATCCCCCATGTTGTGAGTCTAGAGTGATGAACGCTTGTAGCAAAGTGATACACTAGGTTTGGATGAGCTGAATTTGAGATTTTAGTGAGACATCCAAGTCTATCAGTATTTCTCAAACTTCCGTGGGTGTCAGACTCACCTGGAGTACTTGCCAAAAATCCCAAGGTTCAGACTAGGCCCTTTTCCTTCAACCAGCCTGGGCCTTTGTGTTCTTTATTAGCTCACTAGGTGTTTCTGACACACCAGAGTTTGAGAATCATTGGCTTTGACAGCCACAGATACAAGCCTGGAAAGAAAAATTGAGCAAAGGCTGGAGATGTATATTTTGGAGTTTCAAAAAGGTGTTAATTGAAATGTAGGGATGGGCCTACTCTTGCAGCTGGTGAATATAACAGGGAAGGGAAGCCATAGGACAAGTTTTGGTTGTATACATGTAGGTGGTGGGAAGACAAGGAGGAGCCTGAAAGAGCGACACATGAATTATTCAGCATAGGGGGGAAATGTGGAGAACTCAGTTCCCCTGTAACTGAAATGTGGGCTGTATGGAGGCAAAGCCCTCAGGATTACCTTATCCCTGGCATTGTGCCAGCATTTAATAGATAATCAATATTTGTTTATTGAATAAGTCAATGCATCCATGAATGGCTAATAAAAAATTTTTAGAATGTAAGTAGTCATATCACATGCAGTGGCTGAGGTCAAGAGACTAAGGGATAGCTAGTAGATTTAGTTAAAAGGAAGTTATTGCTATACAAGATATTGGGTAATTAAGTTTAAGCAGTGTGTTAGGCCCTCTAGTCATTTGTAACGTTCATCTTGAGCTGTTGATGAACACTGTAATAGCAATAAGATATATACACACATAATATACACACATATGTGTATGTATACATTGTATGCACATATACATGTAAAAGTATAAATATTTAGCTCTGGGGTCTTCATAGTGTCCTGTGGTTCTGTTGATATCCTGGAGCTGCTTCCTTCAGGCTGTAAATCTTGTGGGATGAAGTGTGATTTAGGAGTCTGAAAGATTGTGGAGAGCTATCTATCTTCGGGAGGTTGGAACATAGACAAAAGCAATGAGATTCCAGGGACATGTCTTCAGTAAGCTAGATAATCCATTTGCCACCCTCAGTTTTTCAGCGATTGCTCCCCAAGAATAGATATGATTTCTAGAGATTGCATAAAAATATAAAATCCTATTTTAAGATTTGTTTAAAGCTTTTTAATTCCAGACACATACTTCCTTTGCAAGTATAAACTTTAGTGTCATAAAGCAGAGATGCTTATTAGTCAGCTCTTTGGGATCTGCAGGTTTGTAGATGAAACATCTGACCTTTTTTGCGTTTTGAAATGTCATGCCCAATTGGATCTTAATGAAGATTCATTTATCCTTTTCACACTGTTAAGGATGGTCTATGGGGATAGACTTCTCTCAGTCCACGTGAACAGAACCCATTACTGCTAATGGAAGTTTTCCACATGGCTATGGAGGTGAATAGGCATTGAAATAATCTACATCTAGACTTTCACAGTCATTTTTATGTAACTATTTTAAGATTTTCCTGATGATCCCTTTTTGTGCCCAAATGCTGTTTGACATCGTCTGTAGGTATCTGGTGATGGGTCTGAGGTTGTAACTTTAACAGGTGTAAGTATTTCTTTCCTCTGTTTCAGCTGGAAGTTTTGAGAGTGAAATATTCACAGCCATTAAGAGACCTCCAAATTAATTTCTCAACATGCTTATTCTATAGTTCACATTCAATCCAGAGCACTGAAGGAACTGAACAACTGGACACTGTAGACATCAGATAGCTGGCCATGGTGTTGGCCATGGCGTCTCAGGATGTTCAGAACTTCTTCCAGCCTTTCTCTTCCTGGATATCTCGGGTTTATGAAGCTCTCCAGCAAGCAGGAGATATGTTATCTGCTTCGCTGGTTAACATAAGCAAACAAGACTCTAAATTGAGTGACAAACTAGATCAGGACTTAGATAATATTCAGATTCAGGAAACGTACTTTGAAGATGAAGAACAAGACAATGATTGGAGTCAAGAGGATGCAAATTCCTTGTTTCTTGAAGTGGATCATTTCTCATGTTGTAATAGTGATTTGCAGGACTCTGCCCAAAATTCAAGCCCAAGCCTTAGCCAACATGCAAAGGACTCATGTTCCACAATGTCCCAGTGGCCCAATTGGGCCAGTGATGACCGCAAGTTACCACATGTGCTTTCTTCTATTGCGGAGGAAGAGCATCACCTTGAAAAGCAAAGAAGTGGCCTTCAACATGGCTTTGACAGCCAGCTCCCTGGTACTTTAGAAACTGTTAATGGAAAAAAGCAAGGTAAGCTAGCCAGTCATCATTTTCTCTGCGTTCCTCCAAAGAGCATTTCTACTTATTTTATTTTGACTTGTTTTTAGTTATCATGTGGATTTTATTTTTCTCTCTCTTATACCTTCCCACATACTGGCTTCTGATTGAGAGATATAATCCTTAGGAATATTTTCAATATATAAAGCTTTGGAGGATCCACGTTTGGGAGTTCCATATTTCAAAACAATAGTTCTGAGCAAGTGAAATGGTGAAAAACGAGTCTGTGGATTCTGTTTGAGAAGCCCCTTGTGCACATGTCATGCTTTTAAAAATATCTTGCAAAATGTTCTTTTTTTCTTCTAGGTTAGGAATTTCTAGATGTTACTATATTATTCAGTGTGAAATCCTGTGCAAAAAGCCGTACTTATCGCAGAATTTTTAGTTGATAACACTCCAAGAACACTTCTCACAGTGTTTCACTGAGACGTGATGTGAGATGACAGTGGATAGGAAATCTCTGAAATAAGAATAGCTTGATTTTCTTTTAGCTCTGAATGGTAAGGACACATTTAATAAAAACTGCCTATAAAGATTTATGCTGTGAGAACTGAGCACATATTGGGCCTTCAATAAATGTATATTGAATATGATAAAAATGTAATTAACTCTCTAAAAGTAGCTGAGGTGTGTTCCAGCATGAATTTCTCATGCCTCTAATACTCTAACCTTGAAGTAAGGACATTCCACCTGGTTAAGGGACAGAGGTAAATGATATACACAGAAGGGATTTGGGTATGTGTGCATGGTGTGTAGTTGTAATGCACATATAAGTCACACAGATTGGTGAGTCATTTATGTGATCTAAAGACAAAGTTATTCAATGTCCCTCTTGCTGGAGAGAGCAGACTTTTCTGGAATACCTCATAGTCCCTTCATTCATTTTCCATGATTCCTATTAGCTTTGTCTTTTTAGGGAAAAGTTTTATCCAGATATATGAAGTCTTGGCATATAAAGAAACACAATTTCATATTCTTCTCATAATGCTCTCTTGATACTTTTATTCAAATTAAGGTAACATTGAAATGCTAGAATAAATTGGTGAAAATGAGGTAGGCTGATATTCTTTCTGAACCTGATAAGCTGTAGCTAATTGCAATTTTGAGTCTTTTAAATTGGCTATAGAAATATTCTAGAAATATCTGGGCCAGCAGTAGAATTTCTTAGATTTGAGTTGAAATTTCGATTCCTATTTTAGAACATTCTTGAAAAGGTTGAACTATATTTGAAATTGATATGAATTTGGCATACCACTAATTTTGCTAATTTTTGTAATTGTAAAATCTAATGGCAGTAAAACAATTGTGTTCATCTGGCCTTTCCAGAGATGCTTATTCACTAGATTGGAGCCTCCAGGAAGTCAGGGACCATGCCATAGATTCATCTCTGTTTTCTTAACAATGAGCACAGTGTTGGGTAGGAGATCAAATAATAATTAACGATGGAACAGCAACAAGGAAAGCTAACAATGTTAAGAGGTAGATGCTGTTATTACTCTCACTTTACAGTTGAGAAAATTGATGGTGAGAGAGTTTGAGAACCTACCCAATATCCACATTTATTATAGGAAGAAGCAGAGCTCAGGCAGTCTCATACTAACATTTACACATACACATATTCTTTTTTTTCCTCTTAAAGGTATAATTTACTATAATAAAATTCATCCTTAGTGTATAGTTCTATGCTTTTTGACAAATAGACACAGTCTTGTAGCCACCACAACCAAAGTATAAAATGGTTTTGTTATGTCAGAAAATTCTCCTACATTCCTTTTTAGTCAGTCCTTTCCCTATTCCAGCCCCAGACCTGTGTGGATACATTTTTAGCCTCTCTTGTTTTATCTTTTTCAGAATGTCATATAAATGGATGTACACAGTTTGTCGTCTTTTGAGTCCAGCTTCTTTCACCTACCATAACGCGTTTGAGATTCATCCATGGTGTTGTGTGTTTCAGTAGTTTTCCCTTTTTAATTGCTGAATCATATTCCATTGAATGAATGCACCAGTTTGTTGATTGATCAGTTGAGGAATATTTCTGTTGTCTCTAGTTTTATTTATTTATTTCCAATATCAATGTCTATTATTTCTTTTTCTTGACTGATTACACTGGATAGGGCTTCTATTATCATGTTAAATAAGACTGGTGAGAGTGAATATCCTTGCCTCAATCTTAAACAGTGTTAAATCTTTCAGTCTTTCTCTATTATCCTCAGTAGTTAGGTGCAGGCTTCTGTAGATGCTCTTTATTATGGTGAAGTTCCCTTGTATTCTAGCTTCCTGAGAGTTTTATCAAAAAAAGGATGTTAAATTCTGTCAAATGCTGTTTCACATCTATTGAGATGATCATATGATTTTTGTTGTTTAGTATGTTGAAATAAATAACACTGTTTTGAAAGTTGAGCCAATTTTGCATAGCTTGGATAAAATCCACTTGGTCATGTTATGGTATTCTTTTAATGTATTACTGGATTTGATTTGTTAGTCT
This sequence comes from Homo sapiens, assembly GCF_000001405.40. NCBI lineage: Eukaryota > Metazoa > Chordata > Mammalia > Primates > Hominidae > Homo > Homo sapiens. The sequence continues at coordinate 61,999,055 of NC_000014.9, forward strand.
TTGCTAAAGATTTTTTTCCATTTTTTTTTTAGGGATATTGGTCTGTAGTTTTCTTGCAATATCTTTGGTTCTGGGTAATGTTGACTTCATAAAATGAGTTGTGAAGTGTTTTTCCTTTCCTATAAACTAGAAAAATTTGTGTACAATTATTATTTTTTAATGTTTGCTAGAATTTTTCAGTGAAGCCTTCTGAGCCCGGGATTTTCTTTGTGGGAAGGTTTTGAAACATAAACTCAATTTATTTAATAGGTATAAGGGTAACCTAGTTTGTTTTTTTCTTAAGTGATTTTTTGGCACTGAGTTTTTCAAATTTTTTCATTTCATCTATGTTGTTGAAGTTATGGACATAGTAGTTAATTACTACTTTTTAAATGTTGTTAGGATTTATAGTAATTTCTCCCTTTATTTCCTGATATTGGTACTTTTTGTCTTTTTTTGTTGTTGATCTGTCTGGCTAGAGGATTATTTGTCTATCCACCTACCTATCTGTGTTTTTTCCAAATATCTCATTTTTGGTTTAATTAATTTATCACTATTGTTTTTCTGTTCTTGAGTTCATTAATTTCTGTTATTATTATTTTCTTTGTTTTTCTTGCTTTGGGAATAATTTGTTCTTTCTTATTTTCTATTATGGATGTATAATTTTCCCTCTCAGCAATGCTTTAGCTGTATCTAATAAGTATGAATGTATTTTGTTTTTATTTTCATTCAATTAAAAATATTTTCTAATTTCCCTTGTTACTCCTCTTTACTTAATTGGTTATTTAAAAGTGTGTTGATTAAGTTCCAAATATTGGGAATATTCTATATATTTTTCTGTTGTTGATTTCTAGTTTTATTCCATTATGGCTTGAGCACATACTTTCCGTTATTTTAGTTTTTAAAAATTAATTAAGGTTTGTTTTATTACCCTGTCCTGAATTGTTGGATATTTCATGTGCACTTGAAAAGATTGTATATTCTGTTACTGGAGAGAGTATTCTATAAATTACAAGTTTCTTGAGGCTATTTTTTCTGATTTTCTAATACTTATTTTGTCTCTCGATTTTTTTTTTTTTTTTTTTTTTTTTTTTTAGCGTACTGATTTTGTTCTGTTGATCACTAAGGGAGGAGCATTGAAGTCTGTAACTCTGTGGATTTGGCTATTTCTCTTTTTTATTTCTGTCAGTTTTTGCTTTACGTAGTTTGAAGCTCTGTTAAGTACGTACATGTATTAGAAATATGTATCTTCTTGGTGAATTGACCTCTTTGTCATTATGTAATGTACCATTTTTACCTCTAGTAATATTTCTTGTCCTAAATTCTACTTTGATATTAATACAGCTGCTCCAACTTTCTTTTGATTAGTGTTGACATGATATATTCTTTTCCATTCTTTAAACCTATTTTATGTGGTAGGTTTCTAGTACATAGCATATAATTGGGTCTTACTTTTTAATCCAATATGACAAGCTTCCACTTTTAATTTGTTTTAACTGTTTGTATTTAATATAATTGTTGATATTGCTGAATTAAAATCTGTCTTCTTGCTAGATTGATTTGTTTGTTCCATCTGTTCTTTGTTTCTTTTATCCTAATTTTTCTGCTTTCTTTGTACTGAGTATTTTTATGATTTCATTATATATCCACTCTGGGCTCATGTTAAAAAAAGGCTTAATGGTCATCCTAGGATCCCTAATGCATGGATCTTTAATTAACTTCAGTCTATCTTGAAATAATACTGTACTATTTCATGTATAGTTTGATGATGTTGCAACAGTATACTCAATTCTTCCTGCTTATCCTTTGTTTTATTGATGTCATATATTTTAGTCTTATACATGCAATAAACGTATAATACGCTGATACTGCTTTGCCCTAGACTATTGGTTATCTCTTAGAATGGTTAAAATAAGACAAAAAAAGGCTGAGGTGGGAGGAATGCTTGAGCCCAGGAGTTTAAGGCTGCAGTGAACTGTGATTGTGCCACTGCACTCCAGCCTAGGTGACAGATTGAGACCCCATCTCTAAAAATAATTTTTAAAAACCCCTCCTCAAAACCAAAAATTTAAAAAGATAAAAAGATTATATTTACCTCATTTATGCCACATGAACATATACCACTTATGAATTATCTCAACTTTTCTTTGAAAAATGCGTGACATTTATGTTTAAAAATATTTTAATTATTTTTATTTATTACCTTCATTTATTCAATTTGAAGCATTCTTCATTTTAACATTTCTTATACTGTATATATGCTGCTAAAGAATTATGTCAGCTTTTGCTTGAAAAATTTTCTCAATTATTTGAAAAATATTTTAGCTAGGTATAGAATGTTGGTTGACAGTCATTTTCTTTCAGCACTTTAAGATTGCCATTTCACTATCTTATGGCTTGCTATAATACTTTCATTTATTTTTCTGCATGTAATATGTGTTTCTTTCACTTGGAGCTTTGAAGATTTTGTCTTTATCTTTGGACTTCAGTAGAGTGTGTCTAGGAGTGTTTGTGCATGGACATGCATGCATGTGTATGTTTTGGTATTTGTTTTTCTTGTGTTTTCTAAGCTTATTAGGTCTGTGGGTTTAATGCTTTCATTACTTTTGAAAAAGTTTTGGTGATCATGTCTTCAAATATTTATTCTACCCCATTCTCTCTTGTTCCTCCTTCTGGTATTCAGTTGTACAAATATTAGATTGGTATTATCCCACAGCTCTCAGATATTTTTCTTTGTTTCATCACTTTTTTTTCTTCTTCGTAGTTCAGCTTGGGTAGTACCTACTAACATATCTTCAAGTTTACTAATATTTTCTTTGACAGCATCAAGTCTACGAAAGCCTTTTTTATTTTTGTTACCGTGTTTTTCGTGTCTAGCATTTTGATTTGATTGCATTTTAAAATAGTTTCAGTCCCTCTGCTCATCACTTCATGTACATTCCCCCCTTTTCATTATGGCTTTTAACATATTAATCACAGTTATTTTAAAATTCCTTGTCTGATAGTTCCAATATCTGAGTCATATTTGAGTTTGGCTGTCTTGGTTGTTTTGTCTCTAGACAGGATGTTTTTCTTTGTTTCTTTTTTGTTTGTCTTGTAATTTATGACTGAAAATAGAACATTATATGTAGGGAAAGTATGCGATATTTTTTGCCTGGAAGTGAGCAAATCTTTTCTAATGCAGGATGTTTAGTGTGAGGGGGTTGAGTCAGTTTAGTCAGCATTTGAGTTGGGTTTTTGTTTTGTTGTTATCGTTCATCTCAGTGCAATACAGGCTTCAAAATGCTCTATTACTACATTGTGTTTAGGGTAGGGGCTTGTTTGTTACACAGTTTTGTCAATATTGGCTCCATCTTTAACATCGTCTCCTCTTTTTGCCTATGCATCAGAGAGTGTCTCTCCTTTCAGGCTTTTGCCCCTTCCCAGGAAAAGCCTGTTATTATGCATTACTTATTGTTTGCTAGTGTGATGTGGTTGAGTTGGAGGTTGTGTTTCCTGCTGTTGTAGAGTGCTCTCGGTCTTAGGCAATTGCTGTGTTCCTATGTCTTGAGGTTAGGACGTTCTCAGTAATCCTGCCTCTCTCCCCGGAGACAGGGGAATCTGCAGTGGTCTGACCCCAGGAGTTTTTCCTGCCCCTTCCCCAGGGATAGAAGTGTTTACTCTGTTCTGCTTACTCACCTTAACGTGTCTTTACCTGTGGTCTGAAAGCAACAGGATTTGCTGTTGTATTAGTGCATTCTCATGATGCTATCAAGAGCTGCCTGAGACTGGGTAATTTAAAAAGAAAAGAGGTTTAATTGACTCATAGTTCCACAGGGCTGGAGAGGCCTCAGGAAACTTAAAGTCATGGTGGAAGGGGAAGCAAATGTATCCTTCACATGACAGCAGCAAGAAGAATGAGAGCTGAGTAAAGGGGGAAGTCCCTTGTAAAACCATCAGAGCTCATGAGAACTTACACATTATTATGAGAATAGCATGGGGGAAACCACCCCCATGATTCAGTTACCTCCCTTTGGGTCCCTCCCACCACATGTGGGGATTATGGGAACTGCAATTCAAGATGAGATTTGGGTGGGGACACAGCCAAAACTTATCAGCTACCCTTCCCCAAGTGGCCTAAGGCTTTTGTTTCATAGTGGAAATTCAAGAGCAGAATCTTGGTGGGGCTTCTTATTTTGCCTGTAGTAGCCATTGTTCCCCTTCCTCATGACTGTATCACGACAGCAGCTTTCTCTGCCCCTGCTCTCCACCCGTCTTTCTTGTGAGTGCCTGGTGAGCTCTGTGAAGAACTTCTAAGTGGGCTTGAATTTCCATTTGGTTTGTGACTCCCATGGGTTCTGTACTTCTGTGCTAGTCCACTGGGCCTTTACAAATAACTGGAAAATATTCATTTAATTCTTACCAGCTTGTATGAATCTAGTATCTGCCCCTTGCCAGCAAGTGCTTGTGTTCTTTCTCTCCTTGAGATAAGTTGCCTCTTTTTAACTTTTGGACTAGTTGGTTGCTGAGTTTAAGAAAATATGTGATTTGACCACTTATATAAATTTTGTTGTTGTTTAAAGAGTGGGAGCATTATTTCCAACTGTCTACATCTTAAGTGGAAGCTGGAACATAGAGTTTATATGCTTAACACTACACTGTGAAATTGAATTGGACATTCTTATTAAACTGGGTAGCATGTTTGGGCTGAGGGATAATTGTGTAAAGAACATATTGGTCTTCCATTAAAGAGTTCTGTGATGTGTAAGATATATGTAACCAATCCTATAAAAAAAGTTTGTGAGAAGTTATAGTTATGTACGTGATAACTTTTGTGATGATTTTGCCAGAGGTGATCAGATAAAGTTCTTGTCAGGATGAGTCAGAATTTAATAAGTGAATGAAAGGAGAAAGGCATTCCACCTGGAGGAAATGTCGTGAATGCTGACATGTGAACAAGCCTGACATTTTCAGGGATGGATCATGAGGCTAGAGCTAAGGCTGTGATTGGGAAGGTCTTTGGTTTTTGTGTTAAGAATTTAGCCTTCATCCTGTGTATTAGTCCATTTTCACACTGCTATAAAGACATACCGGAGACTGGGTAATTTATAAAGAAAAAAGCTTTAATTGATTCATAGTTCTGCATGGCTGGGGAGGCCTGAAGAAACTTACAATTATGGCAGAAGGTGAAGGAGAAGCAAGGCACATCTTACATGGCAACAGGAGAGACAGAGAGACAGAGAGAGAGAGCGCACAAGCGAGAGTGAGCAAAAGGGAAGCGTCACTTTTAAACCCTCAGATCTCATGAGTACTCCCTCATTATCATGAGAACAGCATGGGGGAAACTGCCTGCATGATCCAATCACCTCCCACCTTGTCCCTCCCTCCACACATGGGGATTACAATTCAAGATGAGGTTTGAGTGGGGACACAGAGGGAAACCGTATAATCCTGTAAACAGTTGGGAATCTTAGAAAGATCTTAATCAAGGGTAGCACCCACAGAACTCTGATATAGAAGGATAACTTTAGCATCAGTTTGGAGGCTAAATTGGAGGGGAGAATATTGGAGAACTATTATAGTAGCTTGTAAGAAGGAACCTAAGAGAATATGAACATATAAAGAGAAATAATTGTCATTATTTTGTCATTGTTCCACCAAAAAGACGTGCCATGAAGAGTCTGTGACATGGTTCTGGCATGCAATGGGATACCACCTCATTACTGTGGAGGCAGAAGACGAGGTTCCCCTCTTGGCATCTTTGACCCTTGAAGAGGTGCTCTTCATTAATGCTGAGTTAAGATGGGAGTTCCATCTCCTCATGTGGTTTCCACTGACCCTGCGGTGTGGGTGGCCTCATTACCACTGGGTTGTGGTGAAAGTCTTGGGTCTCTACTAGACCTCCCTTGACATCACCTAAATGGGGAGGGGGAGGTGTGCCTCATGACTTCCAGGCAGGGGTGGTAGATGAGGCTTCCCAGATGGTCTCCAGTGAACACTGTGTGGGTGGGGGATACTCACCTCTGGCATCAGGGATAGAAGTTCCAGTTCCTAGCTTGGCCTTGTCTGGCATGCCTTGTGAGAGTATTGGGTTGCCTCATTACAGATTGGTGAGGATGGAAGTCTAGGTTCCCTATGTGGCCTTGTCATGGGTGAAGATGAGGACACAATTTTTTTCTGTGCTGTTTGGCTGGAGTAGAGCAGGTCCTATCTAAACATTTTCTGGCTTACTAGGCTGCCCTTTTCCTAGTCCTTTGGGAAGAAAGAGCAAGCCTTTATTGAGACTTTTGTTTTGGTCGGTGTACATTGACATTTTTGTGTTGCCAGCTTCTTCAGCTTCAGGTCTGGGATATATGAGGTAAAAGAGCCCAGGGAACTCACGACTGTGTTGTTCCTTGAGTCCCAAGGTTCCTATCCATTCTGCCTTCTTCTCTGTACTTCTCAGTCTTCTGATCTCTGTTTTATAGACAATGTCTAGGGTTTAGGGTGGTACTTAGAGGGAAGAAGAGGGAAAAGTATGCTCCCTTTAGCTTCCTGGAAGTTTTCACATTAGTCCTTAAACAGCATTATGACTTTGAATTCCACCCACTTCTTTCCATTTCACAGGCAAAATAAGAGCAGTAGAAAATGATAAAGAGTGGTGTGGGTGTGTAAGTAGATATGAGGAGGAACATTTCTCTATAAAGAGAGGTGTTATACTATGGCCCCTTTTAACCAATCAAATATGTATTGAACACCTACCACGTACAAAACATTGTGGGGAACAGACAAGTATACACAAGTATAAGCCACAGGCCTCTCCTTCAGACTGTGCAGAAGCCTATATCACTTGTTTATTTGTTCCAGAGGATGCAAAAATGTTTTTAATGCCCTGGCTCTGTGGTGGCAGTGGGAATTGGGAATGCACCATGGGCTTAGAATGAGGCAGCCTCAGCCCAATTCACTCACAGCTTTATAGATGGAGGAGGTTGCCTAAGTTGCCTCTAGGGAACTTCCATTTCTCTCTCTCACTGATGTGATAGAGCCCACTAATTTACTTCAAATGCCTTTTAGCCATTGAACAAAAGCTCTTATTTCTCTTTCTTCAAAATATTTAAATACCCTGAGGGCCCTATAAAACTAGGATATGTGATTGGACTCTCAGCTGTATGGGTGTTAAAACAGCTGTTTTTTGTTTTGTTTTGTTTTTGTTTTTGATTTTACTGATGGGTTAACAGTCTGGAAGACTCCTCATGCACTCATTTGTTCCTTTATACTATGGGGTGATGTAAGCCATAGTACATGGGCTGCTTTGCAGTCTGTTGAAGAGCAGTATTAGGAAATACGCTAGGGAAAAGCAGCATTTTAATCGGTGATTTATGTGCACGTCTTAAAAAGCCTTGTCAAGCTCGCTTTTCCCATTTAACCTTGAATTCTTTTCATAATGTTGTATCTTGATTTTATGTTTCTTAATGTGCCATATTTTTCTCCACAATAGATTTTAAGCTAAATTGGCCCAAAACAAGAGGGATGCTGAACGCTTTTTGTAACCATGGAAACATTTCTGGGCACTTACTAAGGACCTGGTTGCCAATAGTAATGTAACAGAGAAAATAGATACACTTCATTTAGCAGTTGCCGATGATTAAGAGGCAGAGAGACTACTTATAGTGTCATCCCAAGATAGGCTTTTTGGTTTAAAGACTCAAATCCAAAACACCACCTTCTCAGTAGAGAAGCAGCTATGACACCTTTGATATGTGATGGGAAGGAGTTCTAATTGCATTTAAAAATCATTGTTTTCAGTTTTTTACCTCATGCTTTTTTTGAAGCTGTTTTTTAACCACATATATTTGTTTCCAAGAAATATGCTCACTATTTCCTGAAATAGCCTGCTAATGGAATTAATGTGTTCCAAGCACATTGGCATATAGAACTTTAGAAACAATCTCGGAACGTACTTAAAATATAGAACAACAGGCTTTGAAATCATGGTGATATTTGACTTTTCAACCAGATTACTCTGCTATGCTAATGTAACATGGAAGGGAAAATCCTACAGTGTTCTTAGTTGTTGATTGATTTCAACCCTTTGCAGATTGAAGGTATTTTCTTCTGTCAGTATTATTGGGATTGCTTGTGGCAATTGAGACTAAATGGTATCAGATAATATAGCTGATCCACAAATCACAGAGGCCTTATCTTTTCTACAGGATATACTACTGCATGTCAAATGTTGCATTCCACCTTTCCTTCCTTTGCAATACTGGAACTTTGCTTTTCCATTGCATAAGTGCTTTCTTGAAAGTAAGCCTACACCTAGTTAAATTTATCTTCATTTGTTAGTCCTTCATTTGATAGTATTTGCCATCATGTTCCTTGGTTATGCAGAAGTGTCCAGGGAAAAAGGTTTAATATTCTGTGGCTGATTCAGAATCTGTTTTCTAAAAGCTTTATACAGTTAATTTTCTTGATATTTTGATTTGCATGTTTTAGCAAGGGTAGATATTAATGAACATGTTAGCAGCTGACATACAGTTTTCAAAGCCTTAACGTTTAAGTTGAGAAGATGATTATTCCCATTGTTACGTATTTTGCAGTTTTGTGTCATTTTTGGAGGAAATTTCAGGCATATAACAAAATCCTATGTGGACAGAAGTTAGAATATGTAAGATACAAATGATCAGACAATTCAATCCTTACTTTGACTTCTGGATGTTGTTATGATAGAATACTGGAACATTTTGAAGGACAGATTCAAAATAAGAAAATTAAGTCCTTTTTTTTTCTATTCTTAACATAATTAGGAATGGATTAGAGGAATTAGAGGCAAGTTATCCTCCAGATAAGCTTAAATCCCATTTTAACAATTCTCAAGGAATAAAAAAAATTTTCTTTATTAGTGGAATCACTTGATAATTTTTTTTTAAAAAAGCTCAGAAGTTTTCCTTGCCCTATAAAAAGTAAGAGGAGGGATATCTTTTTTTCAATTACCCAGCCAAAAGGGGAAGAAGCCAGAGCTAGACAGGAACTACAAAATCAATAAGGTCTTTTTTCATGTATCTTATTTCTTCTTCCTGAGGAATATTCTTACCTGTGTGTTTGTGTGTTGTTTATTTATTTATTTATAAAAATATGGAGATATTATCCTCTTCTTCCCTCTTCCATTCTTTTTTCTTCGGTAAATCTCCTTTCTTTCTTCGCTGGTACCCTCTTCCCATATCTGCCCCTGAGGAGAGCGAGTCTTGTTTCTGAAAAGGAGCCTTACAGTGGGAGGAGTTTCTAAAATGTGATTATAAGTTCCTCTTCCCTTTGAACTCATGTTAATTATGCTAAGGGCTGGTCTAGGTCATTGCTAATGGAGTTCTTAGTGCTCTTTACATTTCCTAGTTTGTAAGTTTATGAAACATTTTTAAAACAGAAAAATATAGAGTAATATAACAAAGAGTCACAGATTGCCACTTTGCCAGATCTTAACATTTTGTCATATTTAATTCAGATTTATTTTAAAGAAGCCATCCAGGACAGAGGGAATTGAAATCCCCTAAGAAGCCCTTTTTGTTTTCTTTCTTTTCTCTACTCACTGGGGTAAAACAAATCTAAATTTGGAAATTATGATTCCCATTGTGTTTCTGTTTTCTTTTTTTTTTTTTTTTGCTGCAAGCATATGTAACTGTAAACTACATATAACATAATTTTGCATGTTTTAAAACTTTATACAAGTGATATAATGCTAAACATAGTATTTTGCAACTTTTTTCCTTCCTTCTCAATGTTATGTTTTTGAGTTATGCAGATACATGTAGATTTGTTTTATTTTTACTGCTACATGGTAGTCAACTGTATTAATTAATATACCATTTTCCATCCTTCAATTGATGAACATTTAGTTTGTTTCTAAACTTTCACTATTAAAAATAATTCTGCAATATTAATATCTCTTTGAGCACATATACTGGAGTTTATTTAGATGGTATGTATGAAGAGACAGTCCTATTCTACACCTCCTTCTTAAAGTAGGTAGTTTCTTTCCTGGTCGAGGTCCCTTGAATAAATTTCCTTCCCTTCCCTTGCTTTATCTTTAGATGGTTCATATTGGCTTCTTCTCTCTGTCACCAAAAGAGTCATAGTCAATAGTGAACTTAAGGCATTAAAAGAATCTAAGTATTAGAAGTTGTCTGTTTGTTTAGTAGCAAGTTTAAATAATGAACAAATGAGAACATGGGCAGTGATTCCAAATCTTAGGAGGTTTACAGGCTCCTTTGAAACTTTAATGAAAGTTACAAACTCACTTGTCCAGAAAGATACATCATGACATATCAAAAAAATTTATAATGACACTTCATGGGTTCATGGACCTCCTGAATTTTATCTGTCTTACTCTAGATTAAAGTCAACCAAGTTTACAAGAGGAAACTAGTAATAATACAGTCAGGAGTTAATCATTGTACATTCATTTTTGGCTTTTCTAAGAATATAAAATTGGAGAAATGTGTTGGAATCTGTGCTGGTTCTCAAACTACTATCTCTCAGCTCAAATCCATTCTTCTAGATTCTGCTTTGGATGTTGGGTTTAGAATTCTGCAAACTACGGTTCTCCTATGTTGGCGGGATCCTCCTAGGTTCTCCTATGCCCAAAAGAGCAGTAAAAAGACATTGAAAGATGGGAGGAGGTGAGAAGGGACTTACTGATTCCTGTTTTACTCACTGTTCCTATTAGGGGTACTCCAGCACAGCCCCTCACTCTGCTATCAGCAGTTTGGGTTCTCGTCTGTAACTTCTTTCAGTGTTCCAGAACCAGCCTCATTGCAACCCACTCAGAGGAATAGCACCTGTCAGACAGTTTCTCTTCCTCAGATGCCTGAGCCCAATTCTGTGGTGCTTCCGATTTCTGATATTTCTGATAATTTGACTGCTTCCCTTTGGTTCCTCAGTCCTAGGGGTGCTAGCTGCTTCATGCAGTTGTAATCTCTGGCCTATTTCCCTATTCTTCTTCCTATTCATTTGACATCCAGTACCTGTGAAACCAATACCCTGTATTAAATAAATTGCCTCTGTTGAAATAATTTCTGCTTCCCTGAAATTTGACCAATAGTGTAGTGAAAGTATTGTCAAAGCATTTGTATAGATTATAAAATAGTCTATGTTAAGTGCACAAAACTTAGATTCTGCAGGTAAACTGCCACTTTCTGGAAATTATAGGTAACTGATGAAGCAGACATCTATGTCTTACCCATATGTGATATTCACCAGCCAAACAAATAAATATAACATGTCAGGTGATGAAAAGTGCCATGTAGAAAAATAAAGCAGGATAAGGGGATACAAATTAATTAGATGAATGCTACCTTAATAGGGTGGTCCTATATTTTATAGGATGATCTCTCTGAGAAGGCAGCATGTAAACAGAGACCTGAATGAAGTGAAGATGAGAGCTGTGCAAATATTTGAGGGAAGAACATTCTGGGTATAGGGAAAAATAACTGGTCATGCCCTGGGGTGGGGTGAGGAGTGTTTTGGTATTCGATTGATTCACTTTGCCCGTGCTTATTAGCATCTGGTCATCGGTAATACCATCCAGTGGTTACTCTGGAATTTCTGCTATCCTAGAAATTTCCTAATATTTAATACATTTTTACTGAAGGATGTCAGGTATAGGATCATCACAGGAGACATTGCTGTTCATGGAAGGACTTTGAGAACTTTTATATTATTTCAAAAATTGTTTGTCTTTTTTTTTGCGGGGAGGTGGGGGTGAGGATAAACAAAGTTGAAACATCAAGCAGTATCTTCTTAAGCTGTAATATCAGAGCCTATTTCAAAACCAAAATAAGAACTTTAGGTTTTTCTGGGACTACTTGGTTTTTATTCTGTTTCGATCTCACAAAAAGTAGCCACTGCAAACCCTATGTGCAGAAAGTTAGAAAACTGTTCTTCAACATTTAGATGCATGATGACCAGCAGTTACTTCTTTTGGTGTCTGCTAAATCAGTTTGTACATGAACCACAATTTCTTACCCTTAATATTTCCCTTTGCGAAGTTGGATTTATTCTTAGCCATAAAGTGACATAGAGGCAATATTGCTTATGTCCCAGAAACCATGCTATTTACACAATTGAACTAAACTCAAATTAGGAATTTCTCGGTTTCTTATAAGCAAAGATAAAGGTGTGAGCTCAAGTAATGGATGAATCTGGGAGTAAATCTGGTTTCATGGGGAGTTCTATCCAGAAGTGCAAATGTTATCTTTGGGACCCAGTTTCTCCCCTTCAACTCCAGTTTCTAATCTCTACTTCCATCTGAGCTGGCTCCATTCTCAAGCTCCATGTGTGGTCAGATGGTTACCAGAACCTCCAGGTTTATATCCTCCTAGGTTACAATCCAGTGGAGAAAAATAAAAAAAAACACCACCACTTTCTGGCAATAAGAAGAAAATCCTGGGATTAGCACTAATTGGCTTGATTCACGTGGCTTGACTTAAATTATGTGACAAACTTTAGCAATCTCTGAAGCCAGGGAAATGTGATGTTCTGATTGGCCAGGCCTAAGTCACCTGCTACTTCTGGTGTTTGGGGTAGAGAGCTTTTCCAGAAACTACCTGAGAGTGGAGGAAAGGTGATTTACTGAAGAAAATGAAGATTCCAGAAGTGGAAAGAATAGATGATGGGTGTCAAAAAACCCCACAGCTCTATTAGAGGAGTCAATGCCATTCATAGACCTCTCCACTGCTTTGACATTGAATGCTGTTTACAAGCCTGTTTCAAGGAAAAGCCTAGATTTGTTGTGTCACCACATATGCCGTATATCACCACAGGACCCCAAACACCTATTTCTCAGTGCTTATGGACACATGTCTACCACAAGTCAGGGAACACTATATATACACACACACACACACACACACACACACACATATATATACACACACACACACATATATATATATATATTTGATGCTGTGCATCATCTGTCACTGCTGATTTAGATCATGGCTTTTCTCCTGCATGTTAAAAAAAAAACAACCTCTCATGCACCTTTTTAGAATAGTGTAACCATATAGGATCTGTATTAGTTATCTATTCATGCATAACATATTACTACACATTTAGTGGCTTAAAACAACACACATTTATTATTTCACAGTTTCTATGGATTAGGAGTCCAGGCATGTGTTAGCTGAATCCTTTGCTTAGGGTCTCACATGGCTATAATCAAAGTATCAGCTGGGCTGCATCCTCATCTGGAAGTTTGACTGGGGAAAAGTCTACTTCTAAGCTCTCTCAGGTTGTTGGCAGAATTGATTTCTTTGTAGTTATAGGACTGAGGGCCCCAGCTTCTTGCTGGCTGTTGGTTGGAGGCCACCCTCAACTGCTGGAGGCTGTCTGTGGTCCCAGAGGCTACCTTGCCACGTAGGCTTCCCCAACATGTCTGCTTACTTCATCAAGCTAGAGTCTGATAGCAAAAGGAATCTCATGTAATGTAATTGTGGTGTGACATCTTATCACCTGTGCTATATTCTACTGGTTGGAAGCACAAGTGCCATCAGTGCTGAAGGGGGAGGGGCACCAAAGGCATGGACACTAGAAAATGGGGCTCAGGGGGGACTACTTTAGCATCTTCTTACCACAGGATTCTATATTGTCCATTTAAGTAAATAGAGAAATTGCACAAAAGGTGGGAGCTACTTACATGCCTTCATGTGAGTTATTTACTCTTATAGATTTTTTTTTAGGTGAGGAAATTATATTTTTGTCTTAAAAGGCAACTTTTACTTTACCTTGGCTATTCTGCAAATGGTGCATCCAGGAATTGTTCTTAAGATGATTTTGGTTACAAGCTAAATCTATATATTTGAATTGATTTTGAAATTATAAAGAGAGTAAAAGGAATACAGACTGCAGGGAAACTCACATTAGCATGAGCTTTCACACGGAAAGTGCCTAAGACAAGAGACTTGCCAAGAATCCTTATTGGTTTTGTAGATCACTTCAGGTGAAGAACTTCTTAATTGTGAATGTTAGCAATAATAAGTAGAGAGTGACATCCTTAACTATATAGTAGTTATCTATATAGTAGTTAACTACGTTGTAACCTTAACTTATGGTAGACTTTTTACATATATTATTTAATCATCATTGAAATGTTATGAGGTATATCCAGAGTGGTGGTAGATTATTATTCCTATTTTTAAATAAAAGGTGATCATTTTAGGGAGGTTAAGTAGCTTGTTCAGTGTCACTATATGGTAAAGAAGCTGGGTTTTCAAGCCACATGTATCTGACTCAAAACATCAAGGCATTCTCCTCATGGTGATGGTTGTCCCAAAGGGGGTTGAAGTGCCCCCACTTCCAGCCCATGCCTTTGCTACAAGAAATTCAGCTCAACAGCGTTTACTGGCAATGAAAAAATTCCTGGGCATTATGGTTTCTGAGAGTGGACTTACACATTCCTAGGTCGAGTTTAAGGAGTTTATGGGAAAATAGGCTGTATTTGCAGTCTCCATTTCCTCCTGCCTGCTTCTTCATTCACTGTGATTTGGCTTCTCTTCTGTCACTCCCATGGGCATGTTTTTTTGTTTGTTTGTTTGGATTGCCGTGACCTCCTGAATGGTTTAGTAGCAAAATCAGTCTTCCTCCCCACCTCCTTCAACTTTACCTGACTTATTTTGACAGTTAAAATTGTTGACTATTCGGCCAAGTGCGGTGGCTCATGCCCGTAATCCCAGAACGTTGGGAGACCGAGGCAGGCAGATCATGAGGTCAGGTGTTCAAGACCAGCCTGGCCAATATGGTGAAACCATGTCTCTACAAAAAGCAAAAAAATTAGGTGGGCATAGTGGTGGGCACCTGTAGTCCCAGCTACTTGAGAGGCTGAGGCAAAAGAATTGCTTGAACCTGGGAGGCGGAGGTTGCCGTGAGCCGAGATTGTGCCACTGCACTCCAGCCTGCGCAACAGAGCGAGATTCCATCTCAAAAAAAAAAAAAAATTGTTGACTATTCCCCCCATGAAATGCATTCCTTACCTGGGTTCTGGACTCCACTTGTTCCTGGTTTTCTCCCTGCCACTCCTAGTCATTCCTTTTCATTCACCTTCCTTTGCCCGTTCCTTAAATATTTGGTTCCCTCTTATGCATCCTTCCATGACTTCCATGACAAATCTTCATCTCTAGTCTGGACCTCTTTCGAACCGTGGGTTCACAGATCCAACTGCCTTCACGTGGATGACAGATATCACATACATGTTTAAAAACATAACTAATCATCTTCCTTTCTTAGTTATGGACATCCTGTTATCAAAGTAAGATATAAGTCCTTCTCAATCTCTTATCCTTCACAGCTCCCCCACCTTGCCTATATTTTGTTCAGTATATACCAAATCCTATTGATTCCGTCTCTGCTGCTTATCTTGTATCTGTCCAACTCCTCCTTATCCCTACTACCTTAATTCAGATATGCATCCTCTTCTGCTTGGTCTATTCCAATAATGTCCAGAGTGTAATGGTGCAGTCTCAGCTCACTGCAACCTCCACCTCCTGGGTTCAAGCAATTCTTCTGCCTCAGCCTCCTAAGTAGCTGGGATTACAGGTGCCCACCACCATGCCCAACTAATTTTTGTATTTTCAGTAGAGACGGGGTTTCACCATGTTGGCCAGGCTGGACTCAAACTCCTGACCTCAGGTGATCCACCCGCCTTGGCTTCCCGAAGGGCTGGGATTACAGGCACGAGCCATTGCGCCCGGCTGGTTTCTCTATTTTTATGTTATTTCCATCTTTTATTCATTCTTGAGTTTCCCCCTCCGAATGTTCATTTTAAAGTCTGCATCAGATTTCATATTTTCTCATACAAAAAGCCTTCCAGTACAACTTCCTTTGAAAGATACATAGCCTTCAATGATTTATGTCTACTGTCTTCTAGCATCCTGAAATACTAAGTACACTTTATACCTAAAACCTTTGGTTTCATCTCCCCCAACCTTGTGCCTTCCTCGTGAAAACTGTTCATCTTTCAAGAGTCATCTCAAGCAGCATTTTCTCTAGGAAGCCTTCCTTGTCTTCTTTCTCCAGCTTCTGTTGCATTCTGCACATTCCCTCTCCCTGCCTTTTTCTGGCAGTTAGCTGCTTCCTCTTCTATGTTCCGATAGCATGTTACATTTCTCAATAATATAGATTTTATATTGTATCTAAATTTTTTTATGGATGTACCCACTCAAATCTGTAGACTCTTTGAGGGGTTTATGCTTTCCCAATAATTTTTACATTGCCAGCATTTAGCATGGCATCAGTTTCATTAACAAAAAAAAAAATGAATGGCTAAATGAAGGAACATAAACCTAATCTTAGCTGTCACCACTGTATTTCATCATCTCCAGAAAGATGACCAGTGTAAATATCCTATAAATACTTTTAGATTACAGATTATTAGAAGAATGCAGCCGAAGTTCTTAACATTTTTGACAGTCTGTGTTTGCCTTATGAAGACATTTGCCTTGACCTTCTCCTCCCAACATTAATGAGGACTTAAAAAACAAGTGCTATGATCTGAAGGTTTTTGTGTCTCCTCCACAGATTCACATGTTAAAACATAGTCCCCAGTATGATGGTATTAGGAGGTGGGACCTTTGGGAGATGATCAGATCATGAAGGCAGAGCCCTCATGAATGGGATGAGTGCCCTTATAAAAGAGGCCCCAGAAGCCGCCTTGCCTCCTCTACCATGTGAGGACACAGTGAGAAGACTCTGTCTCAGAAGTTGGCCTTCATGGGACACTGAATCTGCTGACACCTTGATCTTGAATTTCTCAGCCTCCAAAACTGTGAGAAATAAATTTCTGTTGTCCATGAGCCACTCAGTTTATGGTATGTTGTTATAGCAGCCTGAACGAACTAAAATAAGTGAAAATAAATCGTGACTATTATTGTGTCAGCCTTCACTCTTAGTCCTTAATTGTTTCTTTGAGATATAAGGCAAGACATATGAGTCCTTCCCCCAGGATAGTCCTGGGAGCTCTGGTTGCACAGGTGTGGCTAACATGGTATCACCGTTACCGTGAACAGCTGTGAATGGGTCTGTTTCAGAAAACTTGTCAATAGTGAAACCATTTACAGTGTCTCTTGATGTGTTCTGGCAACACCTCCTGAGCATGCTCCAGGAACAAAAGATCAAGGGAGCAGTAACTCTTCTCTGGCACTCCAGCTATGGAAATGAAGTCATGATGTTTCAGTTTCCATGGCACAGCTCCAAGTCATTTTCACAAGAGGTGTCCTCCTGTTAAAAGATTTTGTAGCAAAGATGAGAGAGATGTTATACATACCAGAGAGGCACTATCATTCAATATTAGTGCTGAAGAACATTTAATAAGATCATCATCATTTGAGTCTTTGAAATAATTCAAGTACATTTTGCTTTAAAGTTATGGCATTGGCCGGGTGTGGTGGCTCACGTCTGTAATCCCAGCACTTTGGGAGGCCAAGGCGGGCAGATCACAAGGTCAGGAGTTTGAGACCATCTTGGCTAACACGGTGTGAAACCCTGTCTCTTCTAAAAATACAAAAAAAAAAAAAAAAAAAAAAAATTAGCCGGGCGTGGTGGCGGGTGCCTGTAGTCCCAACTGCTCGGGAGGCTGAGGCAGGAGAATGGCATGAACCCGGGAGGCAGAGCTTGAAGTGAGCTGAGATCACACCACTGCACTCCAGCCTGGGTGACAGAACTAGACTCTGTCTCAAAAAAGAAAAAAAATAAAGTTATGGCATTGCTTATAATGGGATTCTTGTCAAATTATTTGATGCCTAAGTATGTTTTTATAACTGCTATGATTTTATCTATGTTAACTTTATCTCTATTTCTGATGTACATATTTGAGCTCTCCTGCTAAACTGTGGACTCTTTAGAACAGGGACCCCATATTATTACTCATCCCTGTATCCCATCACCAGTGTGTTTAGTACTGTGATTTTCCTGTGCTAGATTCATAATAAATATTTCACAACTTAAGTTAGTGGGAAGGTTAGTTAAATTTTGCTGAAATTCTGCCATAACTTTGTCAGGCAAAGTAGAAGACTTGAGGAGAACATGCCCAAAGAATCTTAGTGGCATGCTCTTTTGGGTTGCTCTGTTTTATTGAATTGCGGGGATTTAAAAAAAGAAAATTTGTGAAAACTGATATTCATCAAATACTGGTTTTATTAATAATTCTTTAGAGATCCAAAGTTTCATTGTTGGTGTAGGAAATAAATGCTTCCTCCTACTTACCTGGTCACTTTCTCTTAGTTTCCTTTGCTTGATCTCCAATGCCTCCCTGACTTCTAAATGTTACCGTGATCTGGGGCTCAGCCTTAGGATTGGTCTCTCTTCCTGATATCATCACATCCTAATCTCATTCACATGCTGACAAATCTATAAACTATGCTTGAATTATCCAAGCATATGCTTATAACTCTGCTTGGATGTCTAACAGATACCTCAAAATTAGTGTGTCCAAATCTGAATTTCTGACCTCCTCTCAAAATCCTGTGCTTTCCACAATTATGCTTATCTCTAAATAGCAACTTCATTCTTCTAGTTTCTCAGTTTAAAAATCTTGGAGTTATTCATACCTCTCCCTTTTATTCATGCATGTAATCCATCAGCAACTCTGGTTGGCTCTACCATTACAATATATCTAAACTCAGGCTGCGTCTTCCCACCATCACTGCTATCGTGGTGCTTTAAGCAACCATTATTCTCAGTGTGTGGTTTTTTTTTTTTTTTGAAATGAGGTCTTATGCTGTCACCCATGCTGGAGTGCAGTGGTGCGGTCATAGCTCACGGCAGCCTTGAGCTCCTGTGTTCAGGTGAACTTCAGCCTCCTGAGTAGCTAGGACTACAGGTGCACACCATGACACCTGGCTAATTTTTTTCATTTGTTTGTAGAGACAGTGTCTCACTATGTTGCCCAGGCTAGTCTTGAATTCCTAGCCTGAAGCAATCCTCTGGCTTCACCTTCTCACAGTGCTGGGATTATAGGCATGAGCCACCTCGCCCTGTGTTATTGAACTTACCTCCTGATTTCTCTGTATCCATCTCTCCCTCTCATGTGGTCTGTTTTCGACATAGTGCATTCC
The DNA here is from genome assembly GCF_000001405.40 of Homo sapiens. Classification (NCBI taxonomy): domain Eukaryota; kingdom Metazoa; phylum Chordata; class Mammalia; order Primates; family Hominidae; genus Homo; species Homo sapiens. The sequence continues at coordinate 62,018,092 of NC_000014.9, forward strand.
TTTTAAACTTACGTCAAAGCATGTCATTCCTTTGCTGTCAATAATTTCCAAAGCATTTAGAGTAAAAGCCAGAGCCCCTGTAGTGGCAATAAGGTCCTGTGTCATCTAGCTCTGTTGCCTCTCTGACCTTATTCTGTTCCTTTCTCTTTGCTCACTCTGATTCAGGAACTCTGGTCCCCTTGGGTCTTTCTCTTCTTCTTCTTCTTCTTTTTTTTTTTTTTTTTTTTTTTTTTTTGAGACTGTCTCGCTCTTGTTACCCAGGCTGGAGTGCAATGGCACGATCTCAGCTCACTGCAACCTCCGCCTCCCAGGATCAAGCGATTCTCCTACCTCAGCCTCCCAAGTAACTGGGATTATAGGCACCTGCCACCACGCCTGGCTAATTTTTTGTATTTTTAGTAGATGGGGTTTCACCATGTTGGCCAGGCTGGTCTCGAACTCCTGACCTCAGGTGATCCGCCCACCCTGGCCTCCCAAAGTGCTGGGATTACAGGCATGAGCCATCGTGCCTGGTCTACCTTGGGTCTTCTTCTAAAATGCTAGTTATGCTTTTGCACTAGCTGTTTCCCCTATCTGGAACACCCAAACTCCACATCTCCCCAGGGCTGGATTACTCACTTCCGTTGGGTCTTTGCTCCAATGTGGCCCCCTCAGAGGTCTCCCTGACTACATGAATGTAAACGGTACCTCCCTCCACTCTCCACCTGTCCCCATCCCCTTTCCATGCCTTATGTTTCACTCTACGGTGCTTCTTACTATTGGACCTGTTTTACTTGTTTGTTTGTTTCCATGAGGGCAGGCGTTTCCATCCACCTCTTTCACTGGTGTTGCCCCTGCATCTGCGCTTGCCTCATGGTGGTAACAAATCTTTGTTGAATAAATGAAAGAATACTTTAAAAAATTTGGTGTACTCTGTTTCCAAACAGTTCATTGTGACAGCATTCACAAACTAAGTGACTGAATTTACTGTGAGACATTTTTAGTTTTGTAATCAGTGGAATTATAAGCTATTGACATGTAAGGAAAAGTGAAGTTTTTCTTCACTTCACAATGCCTTAGAAAGAAGTAGGCCAAAGCTTGAACAGAAGGAATAACACTGTAGTAATACAAAAGATTTTATTTTTAAGCTTGAATTTTAGCAGATCATCTAGCAGAATTAGAATGCGCCTTTCTCTTAAAAGAATTGGGGAATGTGGAACTAAACACAGAAATGAAGATATTTGATATGTTTTTTTCATGAAATGAGTCAGTCCCATTTTTTAACTTATCACAGTGAGCGTGTGTGTGAAGACCCTGGTTTTTGGAGCCATCTGGGTTCAAATGCTGACGCTGCTACTTTCTTGCTGTGTACCTGTGGGAACAGGTAGAGGCTCTCTTTTCTCATCTGAAATGCGAGGATAATGGTATCTAGTTAGATGTGAGAAGCTGTACAAACCCAGGCACAGAATTAGGATGAAACAAGCACATTTTCTGTTTTCACATATTGCTGTACTTTTTTTTGTTTTATCTTTATGGTCTTTTGAAATGTGAAGTTTGGCCTAGAATCAAAGGAGATGCTTCCAGGTGTTTGCTTCTTCATGGGGTACGTTTGCAAACACAGTGAGTCCTCTTTTGCTAGCCAGCTATATTATCAGACAATAGGCAGAGTGTAATCTAAGTCATGGGAAGTCCCTGTTCCACCCTATGAGGTGTGATTGCAGTGCAGCGGGCACTGACCGCTTTTCCTGGGGCTCCTGTGAAGATGAGCTGCCCACTACATCATTTAAAAGCGCCTATCTGACACCTGATTCTAAATGGTGGCCTGACCACAATCCCATCAAACACTAGTAATGCTGCCAGAAGGCCTGGAGATAGGCGGTAGTCAGAATTAGTCAAGGGAATTGTTCTTTTTTAAATTTTTAAATAAAGAAATCCTTTCAGGTTTTTTTCTAACTTACTAGTTAGAGATAGGTTTAAATTCATGAAGGAATTTGATTTTATCTGGGTCACTTCATAAATCACATGTAGTGGTTCCTGAAGAAATTTGCCTGACAGTCTTGATGGAGTTCTCATGCTGAATTCTGATCCCTTATTTTGTGACACCTTATTTCAGTGGGATGGAAAGAAATTCAGTGAGTGATTCCAAAATGTTTAAAAGCCTCAATTATTTCATTTTCTTAAAGAATTTTTTCACCTCAATAGTAAAAGTACATTAACATGCCACCTCACTCAAGTTTACTACTGTGTGTGTATATATCTTGTATAATATAATATATAATAATATCCATCTTTGTCACTTAATTTTAGGAAAGCACATGTGATCCTACCGCATACACCTCTCCCTCTCCCTCTTTCTGTCCTCTTCTCTCTCCGTCTTTAGAATAGTTCCTAAAGTTACCCATACATTTGCCCAGGAATTGTTGAATTGAATTTGGAGGGTTCAGTTGCAAAGTTTTCCACATTTTCCAAGGGAGGAGGGGGACAAAAGGTAACGGAGATTCCCTTTCAACTCTTAAAAAGTTGTCCATGTTTTCATTTCCCTCTCTCCAATTCGTTTTCACCAGCCAGCAGTGGGCTCTTTCCACCTGGTTCTGACTTTGGTTAAACTCAGGGAATCTCGGCGAAGCTTAGCTAAAATTCCTGGTGGGCGTCAGGAGCCTCCTAGGATCAAGCTGGAGATTTCTAAGCGAGCATAACCACTGTGATGGTTGGGGCACCGCATGTCCCCAGTGCTGGCACACACCACCTATGCTGCTTGGCAGTGACCATGGGCATGATCCATGCAGCCACATGGCTTCTCAGGATGCAGGTGGCTTGAGAAAGAGCAAAGCTGTGAAGGTTCACACTCATAAGTGGTGACATTTTATTCTTTCTTGGAGTGTGAGCTGTTTCTGATTTTTAAAAAACCTGTGTACCTGCTCTCTATGTCGGTGCCCTGCTCATGGTTTTATTCTGTGTTGGAAATTTTCTTCTTAATTCCTCTCCTAAGAACTCATCTTGTATTATAATAATTATTAAGGCTTTTTGTGATGTTCTGTAAATATTTTTCCAAATATGCTTTTATAGAGTGTGAGTTGATCATTTTGAGGGGATGATTATTCCATTGCTTTTACGGTCACAATCACTCCAGAAGGCAAGAGTAAAATCCAAAATAAGTTTTATTGCATTTTCTAAGGCATTGCTTGGAATTTGCCTAGTGGGCAGAATGGAGTGGTGGTCTTTGTTGTTCTGGTGTAAGTGTGGTCTTAGGTGGGTGTTACCTCCTTGGCTGTCATGGGTGTGGCCTTCTTATTAATCCTTCCTCTTTCTCAGATGTAGGAGACATCTCATGACCTGGGCCCAGGCTCTATTCCTGCCACTCTACAGTGTTAGAGGTTGAGGTTATTTTATTTTATTATTATTATTTTTTTTTCGGTTGTTGTTTTTTTCCTGTTCCCTTTCCCCAGTTGCAGAGGTCTTCAACTGTGCCCAAAAGCCAACAGGATTTTCTGTCCTTCCCCCAATGGCTTAAGTCTATTTTTTCCTAGGAAAGATGGACAAGAATCTGTGTAGATTTAGTGCTGTTTTCCACAGTGCCTGCTGTTTCCCTCTACCAAGAATGGACTAAAAGGGAGGCTTTCTCTAGTCTCTCCCTCAGCCCCCAGTCTTTCTCATTAGCATCCAGTGAAGGTGGTTGAGAAGAGTCTGTGAGTGGGTGTAAATTTCTATTTTGTCTGCAGCTCCTAGAAGTTTTGTGCTCTCTTGCTAACTCATACTTGGTCTTTAGCAGTCTGTTAAAACTTTTAGCTGAAATTCTTCCTAATGGCTTGTCAGGGGTCCACTGTCTGTCTCAGGTAAGCAAATTCTAGTATCTTGTCTCCCTTTGGAGGCTCCTGTCTTTTCTTAAATTTTGGGTTATTTTGGTTGCCCTAAAAGCCAAGTGCTTTCTAATGGGTTCAATAAAAGTTATAATTTTGCAAATCTCTTCTTTTTCTTTTTTTTTTTTAAGGAGTGGGAGACAATCTTTTCCAATGGGAAGAGTATTATAATTCTTGTTAGTCAGTATTTTATATCTACCTACACATGTACTCAATCTTCCCTTCTACATTTCCATAATTCCATATGAGACTGTTTTCTGTTAGCTTCAAAAATTCCATTTAGTACTTCTCATAGTGCCAGTTTGCTGGTTATGAATTTCTTAGCATATATGTGTTTGAAATGTATTTTCCTTTATTTTTGAAGTAAAATTCTGAATTGGTAGTTCTTTTTTTGTTTCAGCACTTTAAATATATCATTGCATTGTCTTCCAGCTTTGAAATTTTTTGTTGAATATTTAGACCTCATTCTTATTGTTCTTTTGAAGCTAATATTCTGTTCTGCACTGGCTGTTTCTGCGAGTTCTCTTTGTTTTCTTAAGCAGTTTTACCATGATGTATTTAGGTGTGATCTGCTTTTTATTTATCTTGATTTCGTGTTTGATGTTTCATTCATTTTGGAGAATTTTTGGCCCCTATTTCTTCAGATATTGCTTCTGCCACATTTCCTTTTCTCCTTCTATAATTTGTATTACACACACACACACACACACAGACATATGTATATATGTCATACACTATTTGTGCTTTTTTTACTATCCGGTTTTAAAAAATGTACTTCAGTGTAGGCATTTTCAGTTTGCTTATTTTCTGCTTTGCTTTGTCTAATCTGCCATTGGGTTCATCAATTGGATTATTTCACTTAGCAATAATTGTGTACTCATTGGCTATGATACTGCCACTGTGCAAAGCTATCAATTGGATTCTTAATTTTAGTTATAGAATACTTTTAAGTTCTAGATTTTCCATTTGAGTCCCCTTATAAACAGATTCTACATCTCTATTTAAATATTCATGCTTAAAAAATTTTAAAAACATATTAATCTTAATAATTTTAAAGTCCTTGTCTGATAACTTCATTGTTAGAATTGCTTGTGGTTCTATTTCTGTTGACTGATTTTCTCTTCGGTTTTATGTCATTTGGTACTGTTTTTTCAGTAAGCCCAGTAATTTGTGACTTACTGCCAAACATTGTGCATCAAAAATTGTTGAGGCTGTCCATGATTTTTTCTTCTTTTTCCCTGCTGGCTGGGAGCTGGAATACCAGTGGATTACCTTGACACTTTCAAGGGCTTATTTTAGGCTTTGTTTGGGTAGGTTTATTGCAGTCTTACCTTTGTTCTTAGAGATGGCTCTTATTGCTAACCTGCAGTGCCTCACATCTCAATGAAAGTCCAAGTATTTATCAAGTGTACTTTACCTTAGTAGAATTTGACCACCAAACTCTGACTTCCCCCAAACATACAGGTGATAAAATCTCTGCTTAGCTTTTTAGTTTCCCAGCTGCCAGCTTAGGAATTGGCCAACAACTTGGGGGAAATTTTTACTCATATTTTTGGGTTCACTCTTCTGTGCTTACCTACTCCCAGGAATTTTGTCCCAGCTGCTTTGGCTGATTTTACCATTTTCTCTTCATCTCTAGTTCCCCATGGTGGAATTTTGAACAGTGCTCCCAAGGAAATAGTTGAAGTGAATGTGTAGATTACCTTCAGTGCTTTTCTTCTCTCAAGGATCATAGATTCTTAAGTCCTACCTGTGCCAGTTGTTCTTGAATAGCTTCAAAATTTTGTTCAAACAATTGTGTATATTTTTTCATTCAGCTTTTAGAGGTGGCTTTTGTGGGATGGTTATTCTGATAAAAGGTACTCCATCCTTAGTTTTTTAATCGTGTAGTCTTGCTACCTTGCAAACATGTCCTGTTTATCTTATCTTTAACCAAACATTGGTAGTGTATTCTTTTTCAAACATGTGCTAGTCTTGGCTGTTTGATTCTAAAGTTTATATGGGAAAATGTTTTATCAATTTCCCATAAAAACCTTATTGTGTTTATCTAATATAAAAAGTAGAGGAAGAAATGGTGTCTTTAAAATATGCCTTTCCACTTAGGAATGTGGAATATTTTCTGAATTTTTTCCTGTTACCCTTTTACAAATATTAGTAAAACAGCTCAGATATGAACAATATCTTTATGGTCATAATAATATAAATAGCAACTGTTGACTTAATGAAAAATTTTGTATATAATATTTGGACAAAGGTGGAAGAGAATGGAAGTCGTGCAAAATAGCTAGAGTTTCATCTACCGCAGGAATTCTATAATATTCAAACTTGATAAGTGAAAAGTAGTAGTGTAAATATACTTAGAAAAATGAAGGTAAATACCAGAAGAATCAGCTCTAAGAGTTTAAAATATTGGCTGCAGAGGAGCAAAATTGCGAGGTGGGACAAAGGATTGCTATTTTTATTACTGATTACTACTCTTTTATTTAAGAAAAGTGATGTATGTGTATTATCCTTAAAATAAAAATTATGGAAAACAGATAGCTTTTTAGTTAATAGACTTTCTAGAGCAGTTTTAAGTTCCCAATAAAATTGATCGGAAAGTGCATAGTTCCCATACACCCTGTGTTCTCCATTTTCCCCCCACTATCATTCTTCTCCACCAGAGTGGTAGATTTATTACAATCAGTAAACCTGCAATGAAACATCATTATCACCCAAAGTCTAGAGTTTATATTAGCCTGCACTCTTGGTGTTGTATGTTCTATGATTTTTGACAAGTATATAATAATATGCATCTACCATTTATAGCATCATACATAATATTTTCACTGCTTTAAAAAATCTTCTGTGCTCTGCTTATTCATAACTCCCTCCTCACTAACCCCTGACAACCACTGATCTTTTTACTGTTTCTATAATTTTGTCTTTACCAGAATGTTATATAGTTGGACTTATATAGTATATAGGTGTTTCACGTGGGCTTTTTTCACCTATAGTATACATTTAAGATTTCTCCATATCTTTTCATGGCTTGATAGCTAATTTCTTTTCAGGGCTGTATAATATTCCATTATCTAGATGTAACAGTTTATGTATCCATTCACCTACTGAAGGACATCTTGGTTGCTTCTAAATTTTGGCAATTATAAATAAAGCTGCTATAAATATCCGTGTACAGGTTTTTGTGTAGACGTGTTTTCAATTCTTTTGGACAAATACACAATTGTTGTATCATATAGTGAAATCTTAGTTTTGTAAGAGGCTGCCACACTGTCTTCCAAAGTGGTTATACCATTTTGCATTCCCTCCAACAATGAATGAAAGTTCCTGTTGCTTCACATCCTTGCCAGCATTTACCATTTCTAATAAGTATGTAGTAGTGTCTTATTGGTGTTTTAATTTGTAGCCCCTGAATGATGTATGAGGGTGAGTGTATTTTCCTATGCTTATTTGCCATTGGTATATATTTTCTGGTGGGTTATCTATTCAAACATTCTGCCCATTTTTAATTGGGTTTTTCATTTCCTTACTGTTGAGTTTTAAGAGTTGTCTGTATACTTTAGAAAACAATCGTTTATCAGATATATCTTTCACAGATATTTCCTCTCAGTCTGTGGCATGTCTTATGGTTCTCTTGACAGTGTGTTTTGCAGAGCAGATGTTTTTAATTTAATGCAGTCCAATTTATTATTTATTTCATGGATTGTGCCTTTGGTGAAATGTTTATTTTTTTCATAATTTTTTGTATATTTTTATGTTATCCAGCCCCAAAATGTCAAAAATATTTCTAAGTGTTTCATTTTGGGGGGTGCTAATGTAAGTGGTATTCTATTTTAAATTTCAAATTTATTGCTGGTCTATTTTAGTTTTATTGTTGGTATATAGGAAGGCAGTTGACTTTTGAATACTAACCTTGTACTCTGCACCCTTGCCATAGTCACTTGCAAATTGTTAAAAAAAAAACAATAAAATATTTCTCTAATTACATTTTTCTATTGGATCAAATGATACATATTAATTGCTAATATTAAACTATTCTTGAATTCTTGAGGTAAACCTTATTTGGTTATGTGTGGTGATTCTCCAAGTTTGCTACACTTTGCTGTCTTCATTAAAAAATTAGGTAGCTTTTCTTTTATATGCCTTATAGTAAATTATTACATGTAATGTAGTATCTGAGCCCTCAAAGTTTGGAGTAGCTCTTTGTCCCTGTCTTTTTGTTTGCTTAGCAACCTGCCCTTTTCCTTAAGTATAGCATGGATCACAATGAGTGGGGGGAATGTCTCCCATGATCCATACAATTGTCATATCAAAGTATATTTCAAACTGTTGCAATTACCCATTTTCTTAATCTGTTTATGTTGCTATAACTAAATACTTGAGACTGAGTAATTTATAAAGAAAAGACATTTATTTCTCACAGTTCTGGAGGTTGGGATATCCAAGATCAAGGCACTGGTATCTGGTGTCTGGTGTCTGGTGAAGGCCTTCTTGCTGCATCCTCACATGGCAGAAGGTGGAAGGGCAAGAGAGCAAATTCACTGAGTGAGCTCACTATGTGAAGCCTCTTTTGTAAGTGTCTTAGTCCTATTCAGGAAGGAGGAGCCCTCATGGCCTAATCACCTCTTAAAGTCCCCACCTCTTAATACTACCACTTTGGCAACACCTGGATTTTGAAGGAGACACAGTCAAACCATAGCCCCCATTTTCTTTTCTCTTTCATTTGCTAGTTTCTAAGCTTTGTAGAGGCAGCAGCATGTCTGTCTTGGTTACTACTGTAACATCAGAGCCAGTATACCGCATAGCATGTAGAAGGTACTCAGAGAATATATGAGAATAAATGAATAACAGCTTCTCCTTCTAGTAATGTATTGGCTTTTCCTTTAAGACCAAGTATAGGTACTTTGACACTTTAAAATTAGGTGTCCTTTTTGCTTTTAAGAGATGAAGTTTTATGTACCTGAAGCTATTAGTTATATTTTTATTTTCAACTACTTTTTTGCCTGCTTGATCTTTCAGAGACTTAAAATGTTTTTTTAATGCATGTCTTAAATGTTTTTTATACATTTCAATGCTGTGTGTCTCCGCAAAATTGTTTATGATGCTGATGTCTTCATTGCGAATTTTGTCTTTTATCCTTTGTAAAACTAACTTCTCTGTCATTTAATGCTCTTTGCCTTAAATTTATCTTTTTCTGAAATTAGCCTTTATTTCATTAAAAATAGGTGGGAAAATGAGAGAAAGTTCCCTGAGAGCTTCTTACTTTTCCTGTTTCCTCCCCTTAGCATCTGTGACTGCAGTATATGGCTTCCCATCCTAATTCAGCCTTGACCATGTTATGTCTCTGATAGCCATGCTTTCCAAAATGAATGTAGATCCAATGATATCGATGTAGGACCAAGAAAGAGAATGGCTGTAGCCATCTCAGAAGTAGAGCCCAAGAAGAGAGATGGAGAGGAACCTCAGTTTCTGGTTGGTAGCTCTAGACCTAGGTCTGTATAAGGGCACATGGAAGGGATGGGTATAAGCAAAGCTTTTACATCCAGACAGTATTCTGACAGGTTGTTACCTATGTTTCATTGACTGTTTAAAAATGTTTACTATCATCCTTCTCTCACTAGATATTCCATTTTTTATACTGAAGCATGAGTTGGTTGTTCATTGTATTTCAGTCCAGCCTTACATGCACCACAGTAATACTCTCAGAGGTGACATATCACTGATCACTATCCTTTGGTTCCTGCAGCACCAAGACCTTGCATGTTTTATGTTATGTTGGGAGTTTCACTGTCTTTGACCTGCCCATTGAATCAGACATGGATCCCTGATTGGAAATACATCTCAAGTCTGTAGTCAGCCATGTTTAATTTGAGTCTTGTGTTCTCCTTTTTTGCCTTCCCCAAGCTGCTTGAAAAGAGCCTTTTTATTTCAGAGGGAACTTTATATTTTGTGCAGGCGGTGTATTTCTGAAATGTTGCTCATTTTTATTGCAGACTTCTTCACTGCTGGGGGTTGTGCCAAATGTGGGATTTGATTCCTTGGGAAAGAGAAACCTCTGAGTTTTATATGCCAGAAAGTGTTATTACCCTTATCCTTCTTATCACTGAAGGCTGTGATGTTCCATCTGAGGTTCTCTATATTGAGAAGACAGCTCTGTGTCCTTCCTGGCCTGGCTGGGTTTTGGAAGGCAGAATTTGCTCAGTTGTGTTATGCCATTATATGATGTGCTGACTAGTCATTTATGTTTGGCTTCTACCTTCAATTGATTGTCTTGCAATGGTTTGATTAGAGCCCCAAACACAGTGGGTTGTGCATTTACTAAGTTGTATTGGACAGTGTTGTGGTTGGGATGACAATGATTATAATCACTATCGCTTCCTGAAAGCCTGCTTACTGTACGAGTTCTAAATGCTTTATGTACACTAAATCATTCAATCCTCCCAACAATTCTGTAAATACTATTAACTCCATTTTACAAAAGAGGAAGCTGAGGCACAGAGCATTTAAACTTACCAGGGTCACACAGCTCATATTTGACAGACCAAGATTTGAATATAGGCAGCCTGTCTCTTAACCACAATGTTATGGTCTCTCTATACAGAATTAACTGTGAAATTCCTCTGTTCATTTAAACTTTTAGGTGAGTTGGAAAAATTTTTATATTAATTTATGTGTTAATTATAAGTGTCAAAGTAGGATTAAGGTTTACCTGAAAAGGCTAATTAAGGAGAACAGGTTTATGACTGAATGGGAAAAGACATTAAAATGTTACCATTCTGAGAGACCAAAGTCTTATGTTCTTCTATTGTACAACTAGTGCTGAAATAAATACTCTTTTTTTAAAAAAAAGTAAACCCCATACTATTTTTAATTGAGTTTAAAAGATAATTGTAAAAGAAAATTTACAATTAATTTATAACTATGAACTTGAAAGTATTGTGCATAATGACAGTACCTTAAAGTGTAATTCAGAAAAAGTAGGAGAAACTGAGTGGAATTTATCAGGTGAAATCAAAGACAAATGTGGAATGTTTTAACATTAAGTTCTGGGAACTATTTCTTAATACTGAAAGTAGCTATCCTATCCCTCAGTGCAAAATTCAGAATGAGGCCAGAGTAGCAAGCTTTGCATAACTACTTTTCATCTGAGTGGTTCCCATAGGGCCAGCCTGAGCATCACAGTTAAGAATGAAATGGTTCTTTTTTCTCCCCTGCAACTTTGAGACAGTCCCGCTCTGTTGTCCAGGCTGGAGTGCAGTGGCATGATCTCAGCTCACTGCAACCTCTGCCTCCCCGGTTCAAGTGATTCTTGTGCCTCAGCCTCCTGAGTAGCTGGGATTAAAGGCACCCACCATCACACCTGGTTGTGAAGTGGTCCCTTTGGAGCACAGTCTTGGGTGAATGTGGGAGGAAAAGGAGATAGAAAGAGCATCATGTTCTTCCAATACTTGGGGCAGCCATGTTTCATGCTGGGAATAGGCGTCGGGCTTTTCCACTGCACCTGCTTGAGCGAATAGCGGTGCCCACTGGTGGTTTTCTGTTGATTGTGAAGACTCTTGATGAGTGTATGGAGATCATTTGGAACTCTAAAAATGACATGTTACACTTCCTTTCGGGAGTTCTATTCCCAGAATAGCACAGTTCTTTGAAATCCTCATTTAAATGAGCCTCATGATTTGTGGAAGGTGAGAATGCACACACCTGCTTTGCAAATTGATAAACTATGCCCTAAATTCATAACAGGTGGTTTGCTTGAAGTAGAGTAGTGAGTCAGCAGTGGGGCTATCAATAGAATCCAGTCAATAGTTCTGTCGCTCACCCTCTGACCTCGCTTTTGATGTTAGTCTAGTTGGAAAAAAAAAAAAGTAGTAGGAGGAGATTGATGGTTTTATCAGCTGAGGCCATTGCCTTTCTCTGTGTGTATGTGTGTGTACACATTGATATGTTTGTGTGTGTTTCTGTGTTTGCCTGTGTTTTCTGAATCATTTTTGCCAAGTGGTATCTTCTTCCTACTTCCCAGATGGTAGTTCTGATTTTTTTTCTTTTGGAAATTGCTCACAAATCAGAAGGCTTCACTTGCCAGTTGACAGATTTTAACAGCAGCTGGTAGCTGACCACCCTCCACCACCCATCCCTCCCACCTTCTTCCATGAAGAGGCATCAGGAGATAGCACAGATAAGCTGTAAGATGTTTAGCTTTGTTAAGGAGGTTAGGACAGTAGGAAAATTTGACCATTATTGAAAATATTCAATACAAAGCCAAACTGAAATGTATCTTTCTGCTCAGATTAAAGCCATTTTTGCCAATGTCTCTGACTCCGTATTTTGATCAATTCCTTTTCAGTCGCATGGTAGTTTTGTCCGCTTATATCATCCTGCCGGGAAAAAAATTAGTTTTGAAAGTGTTTTAAACAGAACTTACTCAGAGAATATTGAAAATGCAACCATTGTGATGTTGATGTTATGCGATGGATCCTCTGTGTGGAAATCGTTCTGAAATGTCTTTGGATGATGAATTGTACGGAGACAAGTGTGGCCTCAATTTACCTTAATTTGTTGGGAAATAAGAGATACATAGAACTACACCAGTCCAAATCCCATCTAGATTTGTGCTATACATTTTGTTTATTACTCTCACTTTCTCTTTCACACAATTGCAGTTGAACTACCTGTTTCACTTCTTGCCAGGAGCAGAATGTAGCTCTGATCAGTCTGCCATAGGTATAAAGGTTTTTGTTTTTCATTTGGTTATTTGTTAATCACATTCAAAGGTGGCTTTAACCTTTCTCTCAATTAGCCAAGAGTGTATTATCATTGATTGAATTCAAGCATTGATGAAACAAAATGGATTTTCAGACAGTGGCCTTTTGTATTTATAAAATGAAAGCTGCAAAGAAAGGAAATCAAAGCCATAATTTATCTGTTGCATTTGGTTATTAATAAGCACCAGAGATGCCATATCATTTGATTTCAGGTTGAATAATGTGCTCCCAGACTATGTGGGATTGAAGCCTAGGCTACTTTGAGCCTGCTAACTTAGCTGCCTCAGTTTCCTTATCTATAAAATGCAGGAAATAATAGTGCCTGCCTCACAGTATTGCTGTGAGAATTACATGGGATGTTTGTAAAGCACATAAGCTATACGACATAGACTTTCTTGAACTGTTAAAACCTGCTTTGTGTAATATTTTGCAAGTTTGCTTTAAAGTCTCTTTGAAAATATATGGCTTGTGTTAAAAAATGGAAGGCCACAATGCATAAATAAATACAAGCCTCCTCCCTATATGAAACACAACCATGCCTTTAAAACTGATTCCTATTTGGTTGAGTTCAGAGAAAGAGACTTGCCAATCTGGATTTCGAATGAGCTAAACCGCATTAATTTGCTGGTCTATTCACATTTAGCACAAACACTATAGTTAGAAAAACACTGTGGAGCTGTTCAGAAATGGAGATGATGTTCACAGTGTATTTTAAAGGTGGAAGAAAATAGTTCAACTTCATTTGAAAGGCAAATAGCTACTAATCTATGTGAACAGGTAGTTGAACTTTCGGGCATCTTTTCCCTTCTACTAATCATGAAAACAAGAGGGGCAAATGTGAGCCTGGAAGTGAGAAGAATCACAGTGTTTTAGAGCTAAAAGTAAGTTAAAATCCAGGAGAGTCCCCTCATTACTGTCGAGGAAACTGAGACCTGGAGAATATATAATAGTGAACTTGCTGTAAACCACATGATTAGGTGGTGACAGGGAGCAGACCTTATGATTCATGTAATGACTCAATATAAGCTCAACTCCCTGGGTAAATTAAAACATCTAGGTAAGATGGTAACTTACAATTGATCAATCCTTGACACCGGGGAAACAAGCCTTGTACTGGAATTAATAGTGGGTGGTGTCTGTATCAGAGTTTCACCCAAAGAGGAAGGCTTTAAGTGTTTCTGCTACTGAAAGACTGTTGCGATAAGGGAGGGCCTATACAGAGACGATGGACTTCATCTGAACCCTAAAAGCAAGAGGCTGTAGATACTAAAATCTAAGAAAGGCAGCAGCACAATTTGCAGACTATAAAAATGGAAGGGAATTTAATGGAGTACAGAATATCAGGTGAATTGCCTTGACAATGGCTAGAGAGGTTAGAAGGAAATTCGGTGGCTTGGATGACGAAAACGGGAATGATGAATTAAATGACCCAGTAAGTTGAGTGAAAAGAAAGCATGTGACATTGAAGGAAACTCAAGTTACAAAAGAAGGGTAGAAGCTTAAAAGAAAAGAGGGAGAATGTTGGCATGATTGCTAGCACCTGAACATCTTAATAAAATTTAAAATTCCATAGAAATGTAGGATGCTATTAAGGTAATTTTGTCATTTTCTTCACTATGGTAAAACCATTTAGTCTTTGTGGCTTTTAATTCCTTTCTTGGTAAGATAAGAGTTAGAATAGTATACCATCCTAAAAGTCTGTTAGTCTATGACATTTAAAAGAATCAAGGATCATTTTCTTGACTCCTGCAAGCAGTGGCAATTTTGAATCTATTATTTTGTAATATCCATTAGCTTAGGATGGTTTTCTGTACCTAATACACAGAAAATTCTTACTTGAATTTATGAATATATTAGTTATTTGAGCTTATAAAAATGAATTCACATAGGGTAATGATACTGAATAATGACAATGATATTTTAGCTGTAAATTCCTAATTAGTTTTGCAAGCAAAACTCTCATCCGGAAGTTTTGGAAATCTGATTAAACATAATATTGACAGATCGTGGAGCTTCTACAGTTAGTAAAAAAAAAAAATTAAGGTAAATTTAACAGATTAAAATGAACTTATTTAATTGGGGTGGAGGGAGGAGTGGTTGTTTCAGGACTAAAATATTTTGGTAAACACAATCTTTTTTTTTGTTACAGCCCATTTAGCTAATGAAAGTGTCACTACAATGAAAGAAATTTGTATCCCTAATTGTTTTGGGTATAAACCCATCTGAATTGGTTCACTTTTAATTCTAATTTTAGAAATATAGCAACTGTTAAATGCAAATCTAATACTAGATCATAAATTACAATTTAACAAACTTTGAAAAACATTTCATGAAATTAAGGTACCACTGAAGTTCAGTTAGCATACTAAACTTAAGGAAAAATATTTCTCGGTAAATATTTCAGAAAAAATACAATATAGAAAATAATAGATGGCTAAATATTGTATTTGATTTTAAATATTAAGGCAAGAGGACATCTTAAAAACCATAGGACAGTTGAAAAGTAAGTATATAGCTATTTTATAAATCAAAATAAGAATGTGTACTTCGGATTGTGTTATGAATGAAATCAACTGCATTTTTTTTTCTCCTGAAAGTCAAAGTGGAAATAAAATATTTGACAATATGACTGATAAGTGTATAAATCTTGGTTATCATATGAGGGATATCTTTCCTCCCCGGCCTGTTGCACAAAGCACAGGAACTGGCAAAATGTGGTCTATCCATCAAAGGGAATATTACTTGGTTATAAAAAAGGATACCTCACTTTTTAATTTTCAAAGCAAGAACACATATTCTGGAAGAAATTTAGTAATCATGAATCAGTTGAGTTGTTTTACAAGTTCATGAGCCAATGTGAAGAAAGAGAGTATATGAGAGCATGAGTGAGGTGGAACGGAGAGGGACTGAGTTAGTGCCCCATAGGAAATGGAAAGACATGAGAGCTGCTGTATGATTTATGAATATATAATTAATATCCAATGAAAAAACAGCCTTCTCATATCATACACACAATAAACTCAGACCCATAGACATAAATGTAAAAGTTAAAACAATAAAACTTTTAGAAAGAAACCTGAGAGTAAATCTTCATGACTTTGGGTTATGCAAAGCCATATTAGATATAACACTAAAAGCACAAGTGACAAAACAAAAAATTAGATATATTGGATGTTATTGAAATTCAGAATTTTTGTGCTGAAAATGATACGATGAGCAAAGTGAAAAGACAACCTAAAGAATGAGGGAAAGCACTTGCAAATTTTATATCTAGTAAGGGACATGCATCAAGAATGTGTAAAGAGTTATTACAGCTAAATAATAAAAAGCCCAATTAAAATGGGCAGAGAACTTGAATATGTCTATTTTTCTAAAGAAGATATACAAATGACCAATAAGTATATGAAAAAATACTCAACATTCTTAGCTATCAGAGCAAAGCAGATTGAAACCACTATGAGGTGCCACCTTGTACCCACCAGCAAGGCTGTAATAAAAAAGACAGATAATAACAAGTGTTGGTGAGGATGTGGAAAAATTGGAACCTTAATATACTGCTGGTGGGAATGTTAAATTGTTTAGCCCCTTTGGAAAATAGTATAGCAGTTCATCAACAGATTAAACATAGAGTTACCATAGAACCCAGCAGTGCCACTCCTAGGCATAAATTCAAGAGAAATGAAAACATATGTTCAAACAAAATCCTGTACATGAATATTCATAGTACCATCAGTCATAATAGCTGAAAAATGAACACAACCCAAATGTCCATCAACTGATGAATGCATCAACAAAATGTAGTCTATTCATCAAATGGAATATTACTTGGCTGTAAAAAGAATGAACTACTGACATATGCTACAACATGGGTGAAGCTTGGCAACATGCAAATGAAAGAAGTCAGTAACAAGAGGCCACATATTATATGACTCTTTTTTATATGCAATGTCCACAATAGGCCATTCCATATAGGCAGGAAGTAGATTATGCTGACTAGGGCTGAGGGGATGGGGGGATTCCAGGGGTGGGGGAGAATGGGTTGGTGACAGGTAGTAGATATGAGGTTTCCTTTTCGTGTGGTGAAAATGTGCTAAAATTGATTGTGATGGTTGCATAAGTCTGTACAACATTGTACTGTATACTTAAAATTGGTGAATTGTTATGTGATTATATATCAATAAAGCTGTTTTTTAAAAAAGGCTTCCTCACAAACAAAACAAAAACTGTTCCAGTTGATCTTCCAGAAAATGACAAAAGTTTTTCTGTCTGAGGGTGGATTTGACTGAGTGTCCTACCCCGAAAGCTTCTTAGTTTGCCTTGTGGCTTTGGTGTGACAGACAGTATTGTCTTTGAAGTGACCTTAAGTATTTACATATGTCCTCTGTTTTTCTGGTGCATTGGAAGGGTAATTTTTGAGTATGAAGGGTCAAATCTTCTGGGCACAGCTTGCCTCAAGAGCTCTGGTAGGTTCTTGTATGAAGGTTCTTTAACATGTTGCTAGACTCCCCTTAAATCCAATTTGGATCATGACCAGTTTTAGCATATATTCCAGAACTCAGCATGCAGCAGTTCCAAGGGCATGTAGCCCAGTTGTTTAGTATCTTATTTTTGAAAGTATGAATTCTTTCTATTTGTGCTGTGTACTGCTTTGATTTTTACTTTGTCCTAATTATTTGGTCAGACTATTCTCTTAATCTTTTTACCATTTTATAATAGCTCTTAAGAATGTTGAATCCACTTAAGAGAAAAAGAACATGAAGATAAAGGTTGGATACAATACGGGAAGAAAATAATGAAGGAATATATATTTAATTCCATCAAAGAGACATATATCAATTTCCAGGTTTAGGGAAGAGAAGTGAAAATAGACTAATAAAAACTAAATTTGATTAACAGGGTTTCACTGTTGTGCACAGAGCTCTTGCTTACCAATGGGTGTTGTTCCACGCATTGCTTTGTAAGCTATTTGGAACTTGAAAGACACTTTCCTATAAAAGTTGGGGCTAAAATCCAGAGCACAAAAGCCCATTTAATCTGAATTTCATGTATATCTGAATTTCAAGGTGAAGAGTCCTATAAAGACTAATGAAATATATAATTGATTCATTCAACAGATCCGTATTAAGCACCCATTGTGCTGGTTATGGTGATAGATGCTTTTCCATGTTAGATGCTCTTAGAATTCCTACTCCTCCAACTACAGTAGGATGGGGCTAATTAATTACTGCCTTCATTCAATAAATATTTATCGAGCAGCTGCTGTTGG